>NC_000011.10:74995089-75298120 GCF_000001405.40 Homo sapiens
TGTGCCTTTCATTTATATTCCATTTAATCCTCATAAATCACCCAGGGAAGTAAGCATTGGTAGTCCAGTTTTGCTGATGAGAGATCCTAGTGCTCCAAGAGGTAAGTAACTTGCTCAGGACCACATTTAGCAGGTGACAGGGGGATACCAGTAATAACCACGCTTCTACTACTAAATGCTGTATGTGAGGTATATTTTATTATCCCCATTTTGCAGGAGGCAACCAGGCCTGAGAATTAAGGTCATTTGCTTTGGTCACGCGTCTAATAAGTGGGAGAACTGGAGTTAGAGCCCTTCCTCTTCAGTAGAACATTTTGACTGTATTTTTAGTGAGGAAAGAAGGGTTACTGCTCTTTGGCCTGGAAGCTACAGGGTTATTTCAGATCCCAAATAGGCATACGTCGGAGATATTGTGGATTTGGTTCCAGACCACCACACTAAAGTGACTATCACAATAAAACAAGACACATAAATTTTTTGGTTTCCCAGTGCATATAAAAGTTATGTTTACACTATACTGTAGTCTGTTAAGTGTGTAGTAGCATTATGTCTAACAAAAAGTACACACCTTAAAATACTGCTGAAAAGTGCTAATGATTATTTGAACCTTTGGCTAGTCAATCTTTTTGCTGGAGTGGGTCTTGCCCTGATGTTGGTGACTGCTGACTTATCAGGGTGGTGGTTGCTGAAGATTTAGTGTATTATTATTATTATTATTATTATTATTATTTTTCTAGAAGCATTTCTTACTTACATAGATAATTTCTTAAAATAAGACAATGGGCTGGGCACAGTGGCTCATGCCTGTAATCCCAGAACTTTGCGAGGCCAAAGTGGGAGGATTGCTTGAGCTCAGGAGTTCAAGACTGGCCTGGGCAACATAGCAAGACCTTATCTCTAATAAAAATAAAAAACATTGGGTGGGTTTAGTGGCACACATCTGTAGTGGCAGCTACTCGGGAGGCTGAGGGGGAGGATTGCTTGAGCCCAGAAGTTCAAGGCTCCAGTGAGCTGCGATTGTGCCACTGCCCTCCCGCCTGGGGGACAGAGCAATACCCTGTCTACCCCCAACAAGAAATAAGACAACAATGAAGTTTGCTGAAACAGTTGACACTTCCTTTCACAAAAGATTTCTCTGTAGCATGCAATGCTACAGAATTTGATAGCATTTTTCCCATAGTAGAACTTATAAATGAATCCTCTCAAACCCTGCTGCTGCTTTATCAACTAAGTTGATGTAATATTTTAAATCCTTTGTTGCCATTTTGACAATGTTTACAGCATCTTCACCAGAAGTAGATCCCATCTCAAAAAACTACTTTATTTGCTCATCTATAAGAAGCAACTCATTTATTCAAGTTTTATCATGAGATTGCAGCAATTTAGTCACATCTTCAGGCTCCACTTCTAATTCTCTTGCTATTTCCACCATATCTGCAGTTACTTCCTCTACTGAAGTTTTGAACCCCTCAAAATCATGAGTATGGGAATCAACTTCTCAATGTCTCTTAATGTTAATATTATGACCTCCCATGAATCATGAATGTTCTGAATGGCATCTAGACTAGTGGAATTTTTCCAGAAGGTTTTCAGTTTACTTTGACCAGATTCATCAGAGTAATCACTATCTATGGCAACTATAGTCTTATGAAATATTTCTTAAATAATGAAACTTGGAAGTTGAAATGACTCCTTGATCCGTGGGCTACAGAATGGATGTTGTATTAGTGGCCGTGAAAACAACATTAATCTCCTCATACATCTCCATCAGAGCTCCTGGATGACAAGGTACGTTGTCAATGACCAGTAATATTTTGAAAGGAATCTTTTTTCCTGAGCAGTAGGTCTCAACAGGGGGCTGTAAACAGAAGTGCTTCATCCAGGCTTTGTTTTTAGAGCACTGGCAGAGTAGATTTAGGATAATTCTTAAGAGCCCTAGGATTTTCTGAGTGATAAATGAGCATTGACCTCAACTTAAAGTCACCAGCCCGTCCTTTGAAGGTTTGAAGCCAGACATTGACTTCTCTCTAGCCATGAAAGTCCTAGATGGCATCTTTCAGTAGAAGGCTGTTTTGTCTACAGGGAAAATCTGTTGTTTGGTGTAGCCACCTTTGTCAGTTACCTTAACTAGATCTTCTGGATAACTGGCTATAGCTTCTCCCATCAGCACTTGCTGCTTCACCTTGCCCTTTTAAGTTACGGAGACAGCTTCTTGCCTTAAACCTCATGAACCATCCTCTGCTACTTTCCAACTTTTCTTGTGCAGCTTCCATACCTCTCTCAGCCTTTGTAGAACTGAAGAGAGTTAGAACTTTGCCCTGGTTTAGGCTTTGTCTTAAGGGAATGCTATGGCTGGTCTGATCTTTTATCCAGACCTCTAAAGCTTTCTCCCTATCAGCAATAAGGCTGTTTTGCTTTCTTATCATTCCTGTATTCACTGGAGTAGCACTTTTAATTTCCTTCAAGAACTTTTCAGCCTGGTGTGGTGGCTCACGCCTGTAATCCCAGCACTTTGGGAGGCCAAGGTAGGCGGATCACGAGGTCAGGAGTTCGAGACCAGCCTGACCAACATGCTGAAATCCCGTCTCTACTAAAAATACCAAAAAAAAAAAAAAAAAAAAAAATTAGCCGGGCATGGTGGTGCATGCCTGTAATCCCAGCTACTCAGGAGGCTGAGGCAGGAGAATCGCTTGAACACAGGAGGCGGGGGTTGCAGTGAGCAGAGATCGAGCCACTGCACTCCAGCCTGGGTGACAAAGGGAGACTCTGTTTCAAAAAAAAAAAAGAACTTTTTCTTTGCATTTACAGCTTGGCTGTTTGGCACAAGAGGCCTAGCTATCGGCCTGTCTTGGCTTTCAACATGCCTTCCTCGTAAGTTTAATCATTTCTAGCTTTGATTTAAAGTGAAAGATGGGGGACTCTTCCTTTCACTTGAACACTTAGAGGCCATTGTAGGGTTACTAATTGGCCTAATTTCAATGTTGTTGCATTTCAGGGAATAGGCTGAAGGAAAGGAAGAGAGATGAGGGAACAGTTGGTTGGTGAAGCAGTCAGGACACATATAGCATTTATCAAGTTCACCATGTAATATGGGCACAGTTGTCATACTCCAAAACAATTACAGTAATAACATCAAAGATCACTGATGAAAGATCACCATAACAGATTTAATAATAATGACAATGTTTGAGATATTGTGAGAATTAACCGAAACATGACAAAGACATGAAGTGAGCACATGCTCAGTTCAGGGTTGCCACAAACCTTCAGTTTTGTGGCAATATCTGACAAATGCAGTAGAGCAAAGTGCAATAAAATCACATAGGCCTATATTTCTTATTGTTGCTTTCCTCTCTCCCAGGGCTAGCTTAAGTGAGACAAATGAGACAATGGTTTTGAGAGTCTTTTGTAAAAAAAATATATAGTTGTGTCATCTCTCTATATCTACATAGTAGGCACTTTAATACTCCTAACCTACCCTGCTTTTTTACCTACAGATGTCTCAAATCTGACCATTAAATCTTCATATCCACAGCAGATAACCTTCTTCTGCTGTTAAAGTACACAGTGCAAATGCTATTCTGCTGAACATGGGCCTTGCCATCAATCCCTGTCTTTGCTTTTGATAACATTGGCTCACATTTCTCTTGGTGAAGTTTTTTACTTTGTGGGATTTTCAGTTCCTGCTCTTTCACCTTATCTTCTCATGAGTCTTTCTCATGGCCTCCCAGGACCAGACTTCTGCATGTATAACTAGCCTCCACAGAGGCCCAGCCCTACAGCCCAGTAGTACTTGGGATTCTAGCTCTTTCCTTTCTTCTAGGACAAGCATTGCCTGTGGTCATCGTCATGTTGCACTGTTTTTGATCACAGACAGTAGGCTGTTAAGCATTTTTTTTAATCCTATTTTTTAGAGACAACTTCTATGTTGCCTAGGCTGGTCTTGAACTCCTGGCTCAAGCAATTTTCCTATCTCAGCCTCCTGAGTAGCTACGACTACAGGTGTACACCACTGTGCCCAGCCTTTTAAATTTTAACTGTCTGTTTGTCTGTCTGTCTGTCTAGAGACGAGCCCTCTCTGCATTGCCCAGGCGGGAGTGCAGTGGCTATTCACAGGCTTGATCATTGCATACTATAGCCTCAAACTCCTGGCCTCAAGCAATCTTCTCACCTAAGCCTCCTGAGTAGCCGCCACTACAGGCAGGTGCCACTGAGCCCAGCAAGCATTTTTTATCAGACCACACCTGTTGCATAACTTCACTACTCAGTAGTCACACACATCCACAAACTTGTCCACTTTAACTCATTCTCTCTTTATTTCATTCTCTGACTTATTTAATTGTACAATCTTGAAGTTAGAAGAATCATGAGCCCAATTCTTTCCCAATATAGAAATCTGTATTCTATTGGTAGTTACTGAAATCTTAGTGATTAAGAGCATGGCTTTGGAGTCAGTCAAGACCTATCATTTATTGGCTTTTTGGCCTTGGATACTTGACTCTTCTCTGTTTCATCAGCTGCAACATATAATTAATAATAGATACTACATAGTAAGAACTAAACATTTGTCATTTTCCATTAAGGGTCTCCTTGCACAACTCTTCAGGTGAGCACCTGATTGCTGTGGCAGCTGGTTTTTATGTGTGAATGAGATGATCTCTACTTCTCTATAATTACCCATTGGTTTGTTCTGCCTTCTGGGGCAGTCAGTCTATACAAAATGTAGATAAAATCTCTTTTTCAGAGAACTACTCTCTGAAGTACCTGAAAGCTGTATTCATGCCCTCTGAGTAGTCTGTTTTCTGGGCTAAACAGCTTCAGTTCTTTCTGTAACTTCTTAGGGCACAGTCCTGATTTGGTTTCTGGCCCCTTGAAAATTGTGATTACTGTCGTTGGGATCTGGTCTGAGATAGCAGTGTCCTTTTTTAAAGTAGGATACTCAGAATTGAACTTGGGACTCCAAGGGTAGACAGGCCAGCTCAGCAATGAGGTGAGCTCTCCTATCTTGTATTCCCTTTAATGCAATTGAAAGTAAAATAGCACTTTCTTGGTAGCTACATAGCACAATTGACTAATGTTGAGTAGATGGTCAGCCAAAACCTCCAAGTCTTTTTCACATTTGTTATTCTTTTAAAAAAAAAATTAATTGTAGTAAAATACATCTAACATAAATTTTACCATCCTAACCATTTTTAAGTGTATAGTTCAGTAGTGCCAGGTATATTCAAATTGTGCACCCAATCTTCAGAACTTTTGATTTTTCAAAACTGAAAGTCTACACCCATTAAACAGCTCCCCATTTCTCCCTCCTCAGTCCCTGGCAACCACTAATCTACTTTCTGTTTCTATAATTTTGACTACTCTAGATATCTCATATAAGTGGAATTGTATAGTGTTTGTCTTTTTGTGATGGCTTATTTCACTTATATAATGTCCTCAAGTTTCATCCATGTTGTAGCATGTATCAGAATTTCCTTCCTATTTAAGGCTGAATAATATATCATTGTATGTATATACCATATTTTGTTTATACATTTTTTTTTTTTTTGAGGCAGGGTCTCACTTTGTTGCCCAGGCTGGAGTGCAGTGGCATGATCATGGCTCTGCAACCTCGAACTCCTGGGCTCAAGCAATCCTCTGCCTCCTGAGTAGCTGGGACTACAAGTGTGTGCCACCATACCCAGCTAATTTATTTATTTATTTATTTATTTATTTATTTATTTATTTATTGTAGAAATGGGGTTTCAGTATGTTGCCCGGGCTCCATTCATCTCTTGATGGATACTTTGGTTGCTTTTGCCTGTTGGGTATTGTGAATAACATTGCTATGAATAAGGGTGTGAAAATATCTCTTTGGGACCTTGCTTTTAATTCTTTTGGACATAAACACAGAAGTGGAATTGCTGGATCACTTGGTAATTTTATATGTAATGAGAAACTGGCATGCCATTTTCCATAGTGGCTACACCATTTTATATTCCTACCAACAGTACACAGTGGTTCTAGTTTTCCACATCCCCACCGACATTTGTCATTTTCTGGTGTGTGTGTGTGGTAGCTGTCCAAATAGTTGTCAGGGTGATACCTCATTGTGTTTTTTAGTTGTATTTCCCCATTAATTAGTGATGCTGAACATGTTTTCATATGCTTGTTGGCCATTACGTTTGTTCTTGTTTTTCTTTTTCTTTTTTTTTTCTTTTTTTTTTTTTTGAGATGGAGTCTTACTCTGTCACCCAGGCTGGAGTACAGTGGTCAACTCGGCTCACTGCAACCTCTCCCTCCTGGGTTAAAGCAATTCTCCTGCCACAGCCTCCCAAGTAGCTGGGACTACAGGTGTGTGCCACCATGCCTGGCTAATTTTTTTTGCATTTTTAGTAGAGACAGGGTTTCACCATGTTGGCCAGGCTGGTCTCAAACTCCTGACCTCAAGTAATCCACCCGCCTTGACCTCCCAAAGTACTAGGATTACAGGCATAAGCCACAGCACCTGGCCTACATTTGTTCTTTAATCAGTTTACCCCATGCAAATTTTTAAGCCACAACCTGTTTTATCTCTGTCAAGCCTCAGCTTGTTTTATATGTCCCATTGCTCCAGCTAGTTGAGAGCATCTTAGATTCCAAGACTTTCATGCTATGTTTACTCTTTTTTCCATCTTCATGTCAACTGTATGTTAGATATACCTGGCTCAAATAATTTTCTTCTCTCAGCCACTAAGGATGACTAAACTTCTGACTTCTCAAAAACTAGACTGCTTAATAAGTAAGCTGACTTGATCACATATCTCTGGCATGTTTAGTGTGCTCAGGGCACTCAGGTATAGAATGGGCTGTCCCAGAGATCTTGAATTCCCTGTTGAACTAGCTTAGTTCAAGGACGGAATGGTCTTTTATCCAGAAGACTGCGAGGGGACTCTTCCGTGGGATGGGAGTTAGCACTAGATAACCCTTATGGTCCATAATGGCTTAGATTTCTTTTTTGTTTTTGAAACAGGGTCTTGATCTGTCACCTAGGGTGGAGTGCAGTGATTGATCATAGCTCACTGCTGCCTCAAACTCCTGGACTTAAGTGATTCTCCTGCCTCAGACTTCCAAGTAGATAATGTAAAAATTATCTAGACCCAGATCATGTAAAAAAAAATGTTTTGTAGAGATAAGGACCCACTATGTTGCCCAAGTTGATCTCAAACTCCTGGCCTCAGGCAAATGGCTCTGAGAGTCTATGATCTGCGCCTGCTTAATCTGTTTTGTCCATTTATACAGAAATTAATTTTTTAAATTTATTTTTTGTTTTAGGTAGTTAATACATTTCATATAGCTGAAAAATAAAAAAAGTATAAAAAGATATATATCTCATTTCCATTCCCCTACCTCTTATAGGCAATCACTATTGTTTCTTGTTATCTCTTCAGTGCTGCTTCATGCAGTAGCAAAGCAAAGAAGTATGTACTCTTAATAGCCCTTTTAAAAACTTTTAAAAATGTGAAGTGATAACATATACAGAAAACATAAAACATAAATGTCAAATGCACAAAACATAAATGTCAGCTCAATGAGCCCTTATGACAAAGCCAACACTTGTGGACTCATATATAGAACTCACAACTAATATTCCAAGAAATAGAATGTCGTCAGCATCTGAGAAGCTTCTCTTATGGCCCCACCCTCCTTCCCAAAGGAGAAGTTGATTATATTAAGTTGATTTATAGCCCTAGAGTTTAGTTTTGCTTATTTTTAATCTATGTATTCTTTTGGTCTGGCTTTTGTTCAGTATTCTTGAGATTTATCCAAATTGTTGTGTGTAACCCTAATTTGTTTTTCATTGTTACATAGTATTCTATCGTATGAACATACCACAATTAAGTGATCCATTTTACTGTTGTTGGATACTTGGGTTAGTTATTATAAGTATAGATTATACTGCTGTGAATATTCTTATACATGTTTTTGGTACTGCGGGCATACATTTTGTTGGGTATGTAGCTAGGAGTGGAATTACTGGCTCATGTGGTATGTGTATGTTCTACCTCAATAGATAATGTCAACCAGTTTTCTAGAGTGATGGTTTTAAGGGTTGTTCTGCCTCAGTTCCATCCTTATTCCTTGGATTTGGCCCTTTAAGGTTCCATCTCAAATTACATGACAGTTTACCAGGCCTTCAAGTTTTGTCCTTCTGCTCCATAAGGTTGTCAAATGACTTGCTCAGCTTCTCAGCCTTTCAGTTACTTCTTTGAGAATTAGTAGGATACCCTAAGGGAAAAAGGGACCAGCCAACCTCTCTGAAAGAACTTAGCCTGTCATTCTTCATTCTCTTGTTTGCTCTCTGGTGCTTTCAGATATTTTGTTTTTGTTTAAATATTTTATCTATCTTTTCAAGTTCTCAGTGGAAGGATTGGTCTAATTATTTAGTTTGCTGTAACCAGAAGTCCCTTTCCTCCACATTTCTGATGCAAAAGGTAGCATACTACATACACTATTCTGTATTTTGCTTTCTTTATTTAAGAATAAATTATGAAAATCAGGCCAGGCTCGGTGGCTCACGCCTGTAATCCCAGCATTTTGAGAGGCTGAGGCAGGCGGATCACCTGAGGTGAGGAGTTTCAGACCAGCCTGGCCAACATGGTGAAACCCCATCTCTACTAAAAATAAAAAAATTAGCTGGACGTGGTGGTGCAAGCCTGTAATCCCAGCTACTGAGGAGATTGAGGCGTGAGAACCACTTGAACTCGGGAGGCAGAGATTGCAGTGAGCTGAGATGACACCACTGCACTGCAGCCTGGTTGACAGAGAGACTCCATCTCAAAAAAAAAAAAATTATGGAAATCTTTCCATATCACTATATATGGAAAAAAGGTCTTCCCCCATGTATTGCATGTTCATTTCACCCATTCTGTATTGACGAATATTTGAGTTGTTTGTAGTATTCTGCTACTTCAAGCAATGCTACATTTGAATAATCTTATACATACTTAATTTGATGAGCAGATATATCTTAGGATGAATTCCCAGAATTGGGCATGATGGGAAAGGATAAATGTATTTGTAATTTTGATATATGTCCTACATACAGGTTGAACCATTTGCACTTCAATCCATATATGAAAGTCCAGTTTCTTCACATTTGCCAACACAGTATTGTCAAGCTTTATGATTTTGCTAATTTGATAGATGTAAAGTGTTATGTCAATTTAGTTATTTTGTTTTATTTTTATTTTTAGAGATGGGGTTTTGCCATGTTGCCCAGACTGGTCTCAAACTCCTGGACTCAAGCTATTCTAAAGTGCTGGGATTACAGCATGAGCCACTGTGCCTGGCCATTGTCAGTTTCGTTTTAATTTGCATTTCTCTCTTATGAGTGAAGCTGAACTTTTTTTTCTCTTTCTGTGAGTTGTCTGATCTTGCCCTTTGCCCATTTCTGTTGGATTCCTGGAAATTTTCTTACCAATTTCTACTATTGTTTTGAAAATATGTTAGGGAGATTAGACCTTTCTTTATTTGCAATATGTCTGATTAGGCATTATCTCATTGTATCCTTATAATAACTCCTCTGTGAGGATGTTATTAAATTTTCCATTTAACTGATAAAGAAATTGAGGTAAAGTAAGATTAAGTAACTTGCCCATAGTCACAAAATAAGTGATGAAAGCATGGTTTGAACTAGGTGTCTCTGAATCTATGCTTGAGCTTTCAACAAAAGTTATGAATTGCCTTCCCAGTGTAGTACAGGAGGGAAAAAAATTTGTCTTAAATTTCCTTTTATTTGCTTAAAATTTCTGTATTTGTTTGCCTTGCTTTTCTTTTCTTCCTTTTCTTTTTTCTTTCTTTCCTTTCCTTTCTTTTTTTTTTCTTTCTTTCTTTCTTTGTAAAAATATTTAGCACCTATTATGTACCAGGGGCTGGAGAATCAATATTAGTAACCAATAGTATAAGCCCTGAAAAGGCTCATAGTCTAGAAAAGGAAGACAGTCATAAAAAGTTACAATGTTATACAATAAATGTATTAGGGGAGGAGAGTGAGTTTCATGGAAGGCTTTATAAAGGAGGTGACTTTTGAGTTGGGTATGGAGGATGATTTGGAAGTCTAGATGAAATGAGGAATAGCATTCCAGACAGAGGAGACAGCTTGTACAACATTTAGCATTGTCTCTTTCCAGCTTTGTAAGTTATCCTGTAATATCCGAGAATTTAGTGAGTAGTTAGGCCTTCGTGATTTTATAGATTTCAATATCATTTATTTCTTATTTATGAAAAATACTAATACTTTTAATGAGCTTCATGTTTTCCTATTAGTATCTCACTCCTACTTTCTCCCTTCTCCTTGTCTAGTGGGGGCCCCTGAAGCCACTGATGGAAGCCACACTACCGGGGCATCGGACCATGAACCCCTGTCCTGTATGGGAGCAGAAGAGTGGTTGTGTGTTCCTGTTCTTCATCTGTGTGCGGGGCCATGTCACAGAGCGTCAACAGATTGTGTCAGGCAGGAATGCTGCCCGCCTTTGCTTCATCTACAGTCAGGATGCTGGATGTTCATGGAGTGAGGTGAGGGACTTGACTGAGGAGGTCATTGGCTCAGAGCTGAAGCACTGGGCCACATTTGCTGTGGGCCCAGGTCATGGCATCCAGCTGCAGTCAGGGAGACTGGTCATCCCTGCGTATACCTACTACATCCCTTCCTGGTTCTTTTGCTTCCAGCTACCATGTAAAACCAGGCCTCATTCTCTGATGATCTACAGTGATGACCTAGGGGTCACATGGCACCATGGTAGACTCATTAGGCCCATGGTTACAGTAGAATGTGAAGTGGCAGAGGTGACTGGGAGGGCTGGCCACCCTGTGCTATATTGCAGTGCCCGGACACCAAACAGGTGCCGGGCAGAGGCGCTCAGCACTGACCATGGTGAAGGCTTTCAGAGACTGGCCCTGAGTCGACAGCTCTGTGAGCCCCCACATGGTTGCCAAGGGAGTGTGGTAAGTTTCCGGCCCCTGGAGATCCCACATAGGTGCCAGGACTCTAGCAGCAAAGATGCACCCACCATTCAGCAGAGCTCTCCAGGCAGTTCACTGAGGCTGGAGGAGGAAGCTGGAACACCGTCAGAATCATGGCTCTTGTACTCACACCCAACCAGTAGGAAACAGAGGGTTGACCTAGGTATCTATCTCAACCAGACCCCCTTGGAGGCTGCCTGCTGGTCCCGCCCCTGGATCTTGCACTGTGGGCCCTGTGGCTACTCTGATCTGGCTGCTCTGGAGGAGGAGGGCTTGTTTGGGTGTTTGTTTGAATGTGGGACCAAGCAAGAGTGTGAGCAGATTGCCTTCCGCCTGTTTACACACCGGGAGATCCTGAGTCACCTGCAGGGGGACTGCACCAGCCCTGGTAGGAACCCAAGCCAATTCAAAAGCAATTAATTGGCTTAGGACCCAATTTCCATAGATGCAAATGGCAGTTACAGACAGGTTAACAGAAGCTACTGAAGTCTACAGATAATCAAAAAACTTAATATTCTGTTCCCTACCTTTTTTCACTTTTCCTCCTCCAAAGAGCAAAATGAAAATTTTGCCTTAGCTACTGCAGTGGAAAGAGCACTGAACTAGGAGTTGGAAGACAAGGATGTGGTCCTGGCTCTGCCACTGGCTTGCTTTTGGACCTTGGATGTGTCACCTGAACTCTCTGGACCTCAGGTTTCCATCTGTAAAATGAGAGTATTGGTTCTAAGATTTCTCATCTTCTCATCCCTAGGACAAGCATAGTGCCTGCATGCTTCATGATCAGTAAGTCCTGGCTGCATAAAGGACTCTGATGTCAAAATGGAAACCAGGGGACTTACCTTTTCACATGACTTACCCCTCATCCGAGTGTGAGGTTACAAGCAGGTGTCATGGCAGGAAGGAAGACCAGATCTGTATGATTTGTTCCATTTTTAATAACAAAAATATCCACACCCTTTTAATAATGCTCAGTTCTGTAGGCTCTCTATCCTAGAGGAATTGAGCAAAACAGAAGAATCATGAAGTCTCCTACCTTCTACAGCCTTGTAGTTCTGCTTACCTTCTCTTCCTCATCCAGAAAGCATCATTTTCTAGGGAGAACAATGAGAATCTCAATGCCAGTAGTACTGGATAATAGTGCGTATTGCTTCTGGTGGCATTACCCTGATGATGGGCTGAAGTTCATTTATTAGGGTGGTTCCTGATGGGAAAAGGACATGGATTAGGACTTTAAAACACTGGACAGAATTTCCCACAGTCTTTGCCCTCAAGGAGTTCACCAGTTTATGGGGCTAGAAGAGCGAGAAAATTCAAGAAAATAAATGTAGCTGGTGGGAGACTTTGTAGATGTTGGGCTATATGTTGGGGTGATGGTAGCTCCTGATGTAATTTTCTTAGTTGCATCTTCAATATGCCTGGAGTCGTCTGTCCAAGGCTTGTCCAGGCTTCTGGGTTTCTCTCAAGTTTGTTTTTCTCAGGATATTGTCCTGGCCCAGCTACTCCTTTACCTGTGAGAAGATCTTCACCATTAGGAAGATCTCTAGACCCCCAGATCTCAGAATCAGGCCTATTTGTGTAGGCCCATGGAAATCACTACTTGTGAAGTAGAGATGCCTTTTTGTCTAATGGTTTTCGTGCTGAACTTAGTTCATGCTGAGTCTCTCAGATGATACCACGTTGGTTGTTCCTATCTTAGATTGTTTCTCCCATAGCCTGTTATTGCAACAGAAATTCTATCATGAGAGATTTATTTTTTTGTCCCTATTTTAGGAGTCTAATGCTTAAACTGGTATCAACTAAATATATTTGGTGTTGTACAATGACCACAGAGAACAAGTCTTAGTCATGAAATATAGCCTAGGAGACTAGGGGTTACAGTTGCACTAGTTGGGTAGAGAGAGTCCTACAGGATAAAAGTGGAGATTAACTTTACCTACTTTAGCAGATTGCTTAAGCCATGGCTTAGAGTGGCTTTTAAAAATCCCCTTAGCCTCTCCTACATTTGCCAAGGTAATCTTCCCAATACACAATTATTCACTCATGTATACATTTATCTAAATATTTCTTGAGTGCCTAATACAAGGTACTTTCTACTGCCATTCCTTGGCTCTAAATCATTTGTGGTTCTCCATTGCCTATTATAATGTAAAGATGTTTACATTTAGCCTGGCATGTAGGACCTTCCAGCTGTTGGGTGAAATAATGCACACTTTCCTCTACTTCCTTATATGAGGCCCACTGTCAGGGAAAACCTCTGTCAAGTTGGCAGGTGGAGGGTGGTGGAGGTCTAGGGATGGGCAGGATTGGTGCAGGGAGGAATTGGGGAAGGGGAGAGGATTAAAAGGGCAGCCCCCTCCTGAGTGGTAGAAACTCCTTGTTTAGCAAAGCTTTCCTGAACACTGTACTGCAAGTGGATAGGAATAGGGAGGATGGCCAAGTCGTACAACCAGGGCTAAAGGATGAAAAGAATGAGAATATCAACTTCTTTTTTTTTTTTTTTGAGACAGAATCTCACTCTGTCGCCCAGGCTGGAGTACAGTGGCACAATCTCAGCTCACTGCAGTCTCCGCCTCCTGGGTTCAAGCAATTCTCCTGCCTCAGCCTCCCAAGTAGCTGGGATTACAGGTGCCTGCCACTACGCCCAGCTAATTTTTTGTATTTTTAGTAGAGACGGGGTTTCACCATGTTGGCCAGGCTTGTCTCGAACTCCTAGCCTTGTGATTCGCCTGCCTCGGCCTCCCAAAGTGCTGGGAATACAGGCATGAGCTACTGCGCCCAGCCGAGAATATCAACTTCTTTAGGACTACTCAAGAAGGGAGTCAAGGCAGGGACCTTGGTCTGTGCCACTGTGACGCAGAGATGTATAATACCAGTACTCATAAGAGGTCCATCTCTAAATTGCCCTCCTCTTACTTCTTCCCCCTGCCTCATGTTTTTTCTCTTTAATGACTAGCATCGAAACTCTTTAAATGGGGCAGGCCTGTGTTCTTATCTCAGGAATAGTAAGAAAAGGGGGTTGGGAACAGGGGAAATCCAGAATAAAGACTTGAGAAAGGAACAGAGTGGGTGATGGCAGCTATGAAGAAAAAACAGATCAGAAGAAGAGTCCTGGCACCTTAGGAAGAGAAAGTGTCACAGACACGAGGCCTAGGCTAGAGAGATGGTGTAGGTGGTAGCTGCTGTGAAGAAGAAATGACAACAGGCTGGAGCTGTTCCCTGAAACCTGTGGGAAGGAAGAGAGACCTGCACAGGCCGGCACTTAGCTTGTGGAGAAGGTCCTAACTCAACACTGCAACTTTAAGCTGGCTTAACTTGTCCAAGTTCCAGATGACCAACAAAGACAGCTATAGACACTCTAACTCTGTGCCAATTACCCAAGGCCTTCAGGGCCCTGGGACCTATTCCATGATAGTGGTACCCTAACTGAACCCATTTCAGCCACTCAGATTGATAGGATGGAAAAGACAGGGCAGGTGGTAGCAGCTGTGAAGAAAAGAGGAAAGCAGAAGGGTGGCCTATAATCTACAGGCATGTAGAGAGGACTACATAGGCCTCTGTTCTTTGCCCTCAGGAGCCCCCTTCCTGTCCCTTGGACTCAGAATGGATCCTTCCAGCACACATGGCCCAACACTGAGAGTGCAGGAAGCATGGGTAGGGGCCTCCTGCTGCTGGTATGTACCCAGGCCAGCCTCCTGCCGACACAGCCTACTGGCTGGGTTCATGTTCTTACTATTCACCTCAGGCCATTGTCTGGGTGCTTAATTTGACTTGTTTCCCCTGGTCACCAGTCTCCCCTCCGATATTCACAGGACATCAAGCAGCTTCAGCCACGGGTAAGAGGCTTTTCACCCTGCCTGTTGGGTAGCCCAGAGGACCCACAAAGGTCAACCTGAGTCTCCACAGCCTCCTCCCCAGGGCAGTAGGAATTGATATCTCACTTTTGCCAGATTAGGCTTCTCACTCTTCTTGAGTAGGCCATAATCCACCTCTTCAGTAGGCCATGCATCTTGTCTCTGCAGTGCCAGAATTCACAGTCTGGGCCTCCCTTTGGTCCTTACCATAGGCTGCCATGTATTATTGTCTATGTTGTGCCCTGTAGGCCTCTGCTAGGCTGTGAACTCCTTGACTGACTCCTCACTGTGTCCTTTTTACCTTGAATCACAGTGGCTTATCTAAAAATATAAGCTTTTTTCTGTCATATTCTGAATTCCCTGAAGGTAAGGACTATGTCTGATTCCTCTCTTTGTCCTCTGCACCCAGCGTAGGGCCTGAAACAGAGTAGCTAGCAGTAAAGATACACTGAATGAATGAATGAGTCAACCATCCTTGGCCTCTGGAGCTAATTGAGAAGGCTAGGGGGAGTTCCGCTGTAGGGAGAAGGATGTTGCATCCCTTTGTAGATTGTGTAGCATTCAAAACCTGCTGAACACTCACCCTCAATGTATATTCTCTGTTCTGGCCTGCTTCAAGGTCAGTTACACTACTTCCTGGGATGGGCCTTTCTCTGGCTTAAGCTTGGTTGTCCCTGGCTTTCCCAAGGATCACAGCCCAAAAGGCACAGTGGGGAAAATTTATGGCCTATTCCAGAAGAGTGAGCAGCCTAATCAAGCCAAGCCTTGATTTGGGGTTCTCACTTCACTGGTATTTTCCCTCTGTCCCTAATTGGGTTTTCTATAGTTACTAGTTTTCCAGGCCTCCAAGGGAGATTCTGAGGCTTGATGTGTTCTGACTGTGTCTTGGCTTTGTGATGCTGAGTGCCAGAAATACTCTGTACTATAAAAACTACCATCGTTCTTTGAAACAACAAAGAGGAATAAAGAACTTAATTCTGGTGACTATTGTTTTTTTTTTCTTAAACTATAAGATGACTATTATACTAATATCTAGTTTGTACCCAACTTGTTTTAAAAAATGAATTTGAGGCAATTTCTTGGTTTTTCATAAGAACTTTTACTCTCAGAAACTTTACTAATGATAATCCTTTGCACTTTTACACATTGTTATTTGAACTTAATTACCTATTAAGGGAAGCAGAGCAGGGATTACAATGCCTGCTTACGGAATACAATGTCATACACTAGCTTTTAAGAGGAGGAGCCAGAGGTACAGAGTCACCACTGACAGCAGTGCTGGTGCTTGCCACTGCATATCTTACCCTTTTTTCAAAACACCTTGAGATTATTCTCAACTTGTAGCTGAAGGGGCCACAAATATTTATTAACAGCCAAATCAAGTGGAATGATAGCTTTAACTTAACTGCTAATTTTTACTTGACTTTGTTTGTTCCATTGAGACGTTTAAGGCACTACTGAATTTGGCCAAATTTTTCAGCATAACTCCTTAAGCTCTGTCAGTAGGTCAGTCTGCTCTCTTAATTTCACTATTGGAAAGCTTTCAGGCTGGGCATGGTGGTTCATACCTGCAATCCCAGCACTTTTGGAAAGCTGAATCACAGAAAAACATCCTTGGCTGGTGGAGAATGCCTGTGTCAGTAGAAAACTGAAAGAAGGGAGCCAGGCAGAAACTGATAAGGGTTGAGAGGCGGCAAGAGTCCTGATGATAGCCAGTAGGGTCCTTCACTGTTGTGGGAACCAGTGACCCACCAGCCTTTATTTCTTAAGCTAGCTTGAATTAGACATATCTATATATGTAGCTTGCAACCAAAAGAATTTAAGTACCCATCCTCACAGAAACTTGATTAATTGGTACCTAAACTTGTTAGTCACTACCTGGAACTGAAATGTAAGCCATGAGGAGTTAACTTTTTTTTTTTCCTAAGTTTGCATGCACTCTCTTGCCTCTATTGCCTCAAGAAGCCTTGATAGAATCCCCACTTGCTCATTGCCTGGCTTGGGTGTTACAGCTACCTTGATCTCCTCTTTGGTTACGTTGTATGCAGTTTGTAATCCATCTTCGTCCTCTTTGCTTATAAGTGCCTTCTTGAGGGGTGGCTTTGAGACTGCTTCATCAACATCATGATCTGGCAGTTTTGACAAAGATTCCTTGGTTGATTGATAGTCCCTGAGTGACGTGTCCAGTTTCCGTCTGCATGCATTTACAGCCATGCAGAGGTTTGGGGACTTAGCGGGTGGTAATTCCTCACATCCTCGTAGCCTAAATACTTTGAGGAAAGGAAATAGTTCCTCACCATTTTCCTCAATCAGGCATCTTCTGACCATCAGGAACCTCATGATGTCATGACCTACTCCAGTCAACAAAGCTGCATGGTTGAAACCTTCCTCAATGAACCTATGCATTGTCACATATGGTGTCATTTCAGAAAATGTGGCAATGAGTTTAAATTGGCTTATAAAGGTACACGGGGTCATCCGTAGGCTTGGGTGAGCATCAAGTTTAAAACGAAAGTATGTGATTTTGATGTCAAGGCCTTTGCATGCTAACCATGATGCAGCCTCTTTAAAGTCACACACAGGATCTAGATCGACTGACAGAGACACCTCCAGGCCTGACGGTAGATAGTAGAGTATTAAACCTTTTGGCGATTTGTCGCATTGGATTGCCACTCAGCTTGCACACAATGTAATATATCAGAAGACAGCTTTAGCGACTTTGCACTTGTGTTGAAGTTGCTCATTTTGTTCCAGTCAGCCATGAACCATGGAGCATTTTGACCCTCTTTTCCCAAGACTGATCTGTCTGGAGTAATGAATTCTTTAAGCTCTGGAACGAGGGTATAAAGTTGATCAAAAGTAGCAACGAGCACTGTGATAGTAACTGACACAGTACCTCCCAAAGTGAGAGAGTTTGCTTTTGGAATTGAAGGAAGAGCTGTGCAACAGGCAGCGTACACATCTTAAGTGAGGCAACACAATCACAGGTTGATCACCTTCGCTATGTTCTAGTGGCATGTTTGCAGGTTCCAATCACTAGGAGCTTTAATGGCTTTGTTAACCTGTTGGTGATGTCGCATGAAGATTGTCTGACAAATTACTTTAAATACTAAAGTTTGATAAACAGTATTACCTAACAGTACATTACCAGGAGAGACATTGGGCTAGAACAGAGAGAGAACTGGACTAGGAGGAGCCAGGAGTTCAAGGTCCTTGTCCTAGAGCTTGTCAGTGACCTGATGGATGACTTTGTGCAAGTCACTGGCCCTCCTGGGAACCAGTTGATTCAGCTCTATCATGAGCACAACCCTTGCCCAGCCCCCTCACCAGAGAGTGGTGTAGATCTGATGAGTCAGTGAATCCTCAAAAGGGTTTAGAAAACAGTGAAGTGTTGTGTCAATAGGAAGAAGATAAATTGCCATCCTCCCTTTGATCTCCATTATCCTTCAGCACTGGCAAGATTTGACTGTTGGATGCTAAGAATGAGAGTGATGCAGAAAGAGGGGAGGAAGGCAGGGCCCACTGAGGAGGGAACTCCAAGGTGGACGACCGTCATGCCTTGCCTCAGTCCATCCTTAGCAACTGCAGGCCTGATGATTTTCACCAACCTTCTGACTGTGCCCCAGACTTTTTGCTCCCCTGCTATGAGGAACAACCCAGCCTGGGTATGGAAGAGGGAAATCTCAGCCCCAAGTAGTTGGGAAGGGACTTGGTCTGAGTGGTCTCTGTCCTCTGCCCACCACAAGGCCAGGTATATTACAGTATAGGAAGAAGAGTACAAGGGAAATAACATTTGTAAAGTGCCTACTATGTACTTTGGGTTATACATACATTCTCTCGCTTAATTCAGCAAGCCTGTTTAGAGTTAGGAAAGCTGAGATTCAGCAAGGTTACACAATACATTCCAATGTCACACAACCAGTAAGTGTGACAAAAACCTCTGTTTTTGTCGTATAGCAAAGAAGAGGCAGAACTGAGGGGCAATGTTTACCTTGCAGGTTGATATGAGGCAAAGATAGTGCCTCTTAAGTCCTTGGAACATGGTGGACATTCAGCAGCTGGTAAGAGGCAGCTGATGAGGCAACTGTAATAATGTATCTTACAGTGCACTAGAGTCACCTCTCAAACCAAAGGTTTCCCCCTTCCATTTTATCCAAGAGAAATGCATTCATTTCTCTCCTTGGAAGCCCAGACCTAGCTGGAGATTATTTTCCAGTGCCCCCAAGCTTCAGATCAGATGGCTTCCAAGACTCAGAGTCATCCTAAACATAGTTTCTGTTGTCACCAACTAGGAATAGAATCAGAAATGAGAACCTGGATTCTCTTAAGGTGTAAACAGAACTTGATAGCAGATGAAGCTGACTTAGTGCCAGAGGCCTCAGACACGAGGCAGATCTCTGAGTCACAAGTTGGAGATAGATTCTGTTTGGGACTACAGCCAGTAACCCTGTCTCTGCCTTTCCCCACTATGGGGCAGTCTCTGAAGCTGTACCCAGTGACTAGGTCTCAGCCCACCATTGCAATGTGGATGTTCCTTCACACATCATCCCTAATCCTCACAACAGCCAAAGAAGCAAGGCATTGTCCCCAACCTGCAAATCAGGAAACTGAGCCCTGGAAAGATTGAGTCACTTGGGAAAATATAGGTTTTTCATCTGTAAAAACTAGAATAGGCTGGGCATGGTAGCTCATGCCTGTAATCCCAGCACTTTGGGAGGCAAAGGTAGGTGAGGAGTTCAAGACCAGCCTGGGCAACATGGTGAAACCCTGTCTCAACAAAAAAATACAAAAATTAGCCAGGTGTAGGGGCACGCACCTGTAGTCCCAGCTACTCGAGAGGCTGAGGTGGGAGGACCACGTGAGGCCCAGGAGGTTGAGGCTGCTGTGAGCTGTGATTGCGCCATTGCACTCCAACCTGGGCAACAGAGTGAGACCCTGCCTCAAAAAAAGAAAAAAAGAATAATAAAAATACCTTTTATCTCTGAGTCACAAGTTGCAGATAGATAAAACTTTTTTAGATAAAAGTTTAAACCTTTGGCACATAGAAGATGTTCAAAACATGGGAGCTGCCTTGATTATTATTTTTTCCTACAGTAATCATACTAGCCCATAATGTGTGCGCAATGTGTATGTGATGGTCTGGATATATGTGTCCTCCGCAAATTCATATGTTGAAACCTAACACCCAAGATGATGGTCTTAAGAGGTGGGGTCTTTGGGAGGTGATGAGGTCATGAGGGCAGAGTCCTCATCAATGGGATTGGTGACCTTATAAAAGACCCGAAGAGGCTTGTTAGCCCCTTTGCCCTTCAGTCATGTGAGGATGCAGCAACAGGGTGCCATCTGTGAGGCAGAAAGCAAACCGTCACCAGACACCAAATCTGCTGGTAGCTTGATCTTATACTTTTCAGCCTCCAGAACACTGAGCAATAAGTGTCTGTTTAAAAATTGCCTAGTCTAAGGTGTTTTTGTTATAGTAGCCTGAACTAAGACGTGTTAGCAATACCTTCAAATTTATGTGTGCATATGAATCACCTGAAGAGGTTTTTAAAAAAACAAAAAAAGTTTCCTGGCCCCACCCACTGCCCCTCAAGCTTCCCCCTCCACAAGAATTTAATTCGGTAAATCTGGGATGGGACCTGAACATTTGCATTTGTAACAAGTTCCCAAGTAATGCCGATGCTGCAGGTGCACAGACCACTCTTGGAGTAGAATTATGTTATGGTACTTACTTCTTCATATATTACCTTACCTGCCTCCTACTCACACTTTTGCCAGCCTCATGAGGTAGGAGGAATACAGACTGTTACTACTACTGTTCCTATGGAATCAAGCTTCACTTCCCAAACAGGTGTCCAACTTGTGTCCCTAGTCTGTCAGTCAGCTGTATCCTTCCTGGGTCAGAAATTTAGCTTTCTCATGACATAATAATTACCTGGAATTCCTACTGATATTCTTTCCAATAAAGGTAACATCATAGCATGAGCACAGATCTGGACAAGTGGGCACAGGATGTTTCACCACCCATACAGCTGGTCTGTAAGACTCTGGGCTCAGCCGAGGACTGGATAGTCTGTGGACAAAGAGACCTCGAGTTACTTGGGCTGCCAAGGACTCAGCTGTGTGGAAGGGGCTTTTTATCCTTGCAAAGGGGAGAACAAGGGTCAGAGCACAGAGCATAAGCTATGTCTGGACAGTTGCCAAGCTAGAGATTGCTGAACTCCATGGGTTTATGGGTCAAATATGAGATTCAAGGGTGAAAACTGTGGGGCTTCATTGTACCCATCATCCAGACAATAACCTGACCCTATGTCTGATCTGGACTCTCATGTTCTGCCTTTGGTGGCCACACTATGGCCAAAGACAGAGGTCCTCCTGTGTTTCTTGATACCTCTCTCCTTAGCTCCCTCCCCTAAGCGACCCCAGATTCAGATTTCTTTGGGGTCAAGGCATTGGAAAATTGTCAAGAAGCTGCAGTGCCCTTCTTGCTACTCTATGTGCCTGGTTTCAAAGCTCAGGTTTCTGTTTTGAAGTTGAATTATGGTTATAGGCCATGCATTTTGGGTTAACACCAAGTCCTATGGGCAGGTATGAATTTTGAGGGGTGGGTGCCAAGTTTGTTTGTTTACCATATTATTCCATCCCCTAGCATAGTGGGACTTAAGTATTTGTTGAATGAATTAATGGCCATTCTATTTTTAATCACTTGGAGAAGCAGAGATCCTTCAAAATTGGAAACTCAAAGGTAGGTCCTGGGTAGGATAGGACACTCTTGCCTTTCTTGATGCACTCCTTTCATTTGGCTTTATGGCATTGAAGTGACCCTAAGGATGATCCCCAGCAGCCCGAGTTAAAGTGAGCCATGGATTCAGGAAGATGCCATTGAGAGAATCCCAGACTGGAGCTGAGGAAGATCTACTTTGCCAGTCCAATCATCCAGGTTCATAATGTGTTCTTTGTTGCTACTCAGAAACCTTTTCTAAAGCCTGGTCTGAACACTCTAGCCTGGCATCTGCTGTGTCAATGGCTGTAAGGAATAGTTGGGTGAACACATCCGACCTAGAGCCCTGAAAGTGGAGAGTGAGGCTCCCAAAGGCCAGAATGGTGGTGGCAGTAGAAATCAGTGAGGGAAGACCTAACAGGAAAGATAAATCTTGAGGCCAGAGTCAAGAATCTCCACCCCTTATATGAAGATGCTGACTTGGAGGAAAGCTATAATGTCCTTACAACTCTTGGGAGAGTAGGCTTCCATGTCTGCTTCCAAGGCCAGTGAGTATCCCAGTGCTTCAGGCATTCCAAATGGGAGGGCATAGGTCTTATACTAGGCCCAGAGTTGGGGCAGATCCTTGTGAGACTTCCCTGAGCTTGATGGGGTGGCAGACACACTTATACTTGCTAAGGTGCTGAGGCTGATCCCACCAGCTAGGGACGGATGGGTTCCAGATTCAGCGGCTCAGATAGGTGGATGTGTTTGAGCAGGGCTGCTACTGTTGGTGCCCCATACAGAAGTATCTGGCCAAGGGGAAAATGAGGCCTGAAATCCAGCCAAGAGTGGAGCTCCCAGCCCTTGCAATTATAAGGCTGCAACTGTCAGAAGGGGCACCTTTTCTAATTAGCACAGGGTAGACCTTGGGAAATCCTGATTTGGGGTGTCCGAGGTAGGCTAATCATGGCTGCCTGAGTATGCTGGGCTGAGGAGTCCATGCCTGGCTTCTTTGGGGATATTGGGGCCAAAGGCTGGCTCTCCTTGCACTGTCTGAAAGAGGTTGACCTGGGCCTGTGAGCCAGGCTGAGTTCTCCTCTCTCAGGGCTATGGGGGGATGCCTCTAGTATATGCCTGCCCTGCCTAGAGCACTCTAGACCACTCTCGAAAAAGACCTCTGTACTGAACAATGGGGGCCTCTGGTCTTTGGGGTAGGAATTAGTAAAATCTATTTTCAGTGACAAGACTGGGAGGTAGGGAGGAAAACACTTAAATGACATTTAGGAGAATGTCATTTCTCTCTTAGTGAAGAGAGAAAAATTAAATTAAGGTTATGCTTGCAATGAAGAGGAGCTTTGAGCAGAAGTGACAAGTCTTCATTCTAACTCAAGTTTTAGCACTTTTTTTAAGCCTTCCCTTCCCTCTCTCCTTCCTTTCTCTCCCCACCCACCCACTGCCTTTTTTAACTAACTGAGTGAGACCTTGGGCAATTCACTAAATTCTGAGCCTACTTTTCTTCCTCAGTAAAGTGGGCACAACAACTCTCACCTCTTAGCTTATTGAGAGGATCTAGAATGCATTTGTGTAATGGGCTTCAGATGGAGATAAGGTGAGCTTGTTCTCCCCCTCCCTGCCTTCTTCCCACTTGTGATGGTTAAAACTGACTCAACTTGATTGGATTGAGAGATGCAAAGTATTGATCCTGGGTGTGTCTGTGAGGGTGTTGCCGAAGGAGACTAACATTTGAGTCAGTGGGCTGGGAAAGGCAGACCCACTCTTAATCTGGGTGGGCACCATCAAATCAGCTGCCAGTGCAGCTAGACTATAAAGCAGGCAGAAAAACGGGAAAAGACTTGACTGGCCTAGCCTCCCAGCCTACATCTTTCTCCCTTGCTGAATGCTTCCTACCCTCAAACATCAGACTCCAAGTTCTTCAGTTTTGGGACTCAGACTGGCTTTCCTTGCTCCCCAGCTTGCAGATGGCCTACTGTGGACCTTGTGATCATGTGAGTTAATAAAATCCCCTTTGTATATCTATCTATTTTATTATTTCTGTCCCTCTAGAGAACCCTGACTAATACAGTAAATTGGTACCAGTAGAGTGGGGCATTGCCGAAAAGATACCCAAAAATGTGGAAACTACTTTGGAACTTGGTAACAGGCAGAAGTTGGAACAGTTTGGAGGGCTCAGAAGAAGAGAGAAAAATGTGGAAAAGTTTGGAACTCCCTAGAGACTTGTTGAATGGCTTTGACAAAAATGCTGATAATGATATGGACAATGAAACCCAGGCTGAGGTGGTCTCAGATGGAGATGAGGAACTTGTTGGTAAATAGAGCAAAGGTGACTCTTGTTATGTTGTAACAAAGAGACTGGTGGTATTTTGCCCCTGCCCTAGAGATTTGCAGAACTTTGAACTTGAGAGAGATGATTTAAGGTATCTGGCAGAAGAAATTTCTAAGTGGCGAAGCATTCAAGAGGTGACTTGGGTGCTGTTAAAGGCATTCAATTTTATAAGGGAAGTGGAGCATAAAAGTTCAGAAAATTTGCAGCCTGACAATTTGATAAAAAAGAAAATCCCATTTTCTGAGGAGAAATTCAAGCTGGCTCTAGAAATTTGCATAAGTAAAGAGGAGCCGGATGTTGATCCCCAAGACAATGGGGAAAATGTCTCCAGGGCATGTCAGAGGTTTGCATAACAGCCCCTCCCATCACAGGCCTGGAGGCCTAGAAGGGAAAAATGGTTTCATGGGCTGGGCCCAGGGTCCCCGTGCTGTGTGCAGCCTAGGGACTTGGTGTCTTGCGTCCCAGCTGCTCTAGCTGTGGCTGAAAGGGGCCAATGTAGAGCTTGGGCCATGGCTTCAGAGGGTGCAAACATCAAGCCTTGGCAGCTTCCACAGTGTTCAAAACATGGGAGCTGTCCTGATTATTATTTTTTCCTATAGTAATCATATTAGCCCATAATGTGTGCACAATGCATATGTGATGGTTCCTGCCCCACGTGGTGTTGAGCCTCCCAGTGCACAGAAGTCAAGAATTGGGATTTGGGAACCTCTGCCCAGATTTCAGAGGATGTATGAAAACACCTGGATGTCCAGGCAGAAGTTTGCTGCAGGGGCAGGGCTGTCATGGAGAACTTCTGCTAGGGCAGGGCAGAAGGGAAATGTGGGGTTGGAGCCCCCACACAGAATCCCTACTAGGGCACTGCCTAGTGGAGCTGTGAGAAGAGGGCCACTGTCCTCCAGACTCCAGAATTGTAAATCCACTGACAACTTGCACCGTGCACCTGGAAAAGCTGCAGACACTCAACGTCAGCTTGTGAAAGCAGCCAGGAGGGAGGCTGTACCCTGCAAAGCCACAGGGGAAGAACTGCCCAAGAACATGGGAACCCACCTCTTGCATCAGTATGACCTGGATGTGAGACAGGGAGTCAAAGGAGATTATTTTGGAGCATTAAGATTTGACTGCCCTGCTGGATTTCGGACTTGCATGGGCCCTGTAACCCCTCTGTTTTGGCCAGTTTCTCCCATTTGGAATGACTGTACTCCCACTGTATCTAGGAAGTAACCAACCTGCTTTTAATTTTACAGGCTCATAGGTGGAAAGGACTTGCCTTGTCTTGAATGAGACTTTGGACTGTGGACTTTTGAGTAAATGCTGGAATGAGTTAAGACTTTGAGGGACTGTTGGGAAGGCATGATTGGTTTTGAAATGTGAGGACCTGAGGTTTGGGAGGGGCCAGGAGCAGAATGATATGATTTGGCTGTTCCACCACCCAAATCTCATCTTAAATTCCTACATGTTGTGGGAGGGACCCAGTGGGAGGTAATTGAATCATAGGGGCAGGTCTTTCCCATGCTGCTCTCATGATCGTGAACAAGTCTCATGAGGTCTGATGGCTTTATAAGGCAGAGTTCCCCTTCACAAGCCCTCTCTTTGCCTGCTGCTATCCATGTAAGACGTGACTTGCTCCTCCTTGTCTTCCACCATTATTGTGAGGCTTCCTTAGCCACGTGGAACTGTAAGTCAATTAAACCTCTTTCTTTTGTAAATTGCCCAGTCTCGGGTATGTCTTTATCAGTAGCATGAAAACGGACTAATACAACTAATACACCACTCTCATGTCTGGGCAGGGCCAGTGGGCCTGGGAGGCAGAGTCTGTCAGTGGGACTGGGGCAATAAGGGGTCTCTCTTGTGTCTGAAGGAACCACAGTGACCCACTCAGGGGGCCTAGAGGCAGTGAAGGCTGTGGGCCTGCCACATCTTGTCAAGACTGCTCAAGCAAGTCCTCACTGCTCCTCCAGCTCCCTGCCACCCTCCAATCCATTCTCCCACATAATGGCTCCTTCGCCAGAAGGATGAAGACTTTATGTGGGTGTTCAGGGCCTGATCTCTCTACCCCATCTCCACAACAGTCCTCCATACACAGCCCAATGTTCCTGAACAGGTCACAGTATTTATGCCTCTGTGTACACCTTGCTTTGTCTGAAATGCTCTTTCTCCTTCTTTGATAGAATTCCTCCTTTTCCTCTCAGGATCTAGCTTAAATGTGCCATTCACGGGGGAGCCTGCCCTAACCCCAGATCAGGTAGGCCCCACTTCTGGCCTTCCACTGTGCCCCTTCTAACGTTGCACTGCCCATTCTGTGTGGAATGTTCTGTTGCTATATATGGCTCCTTTTCTAGACTGTGAGCTCCTCAAGGACAAGGACCACATCTGATCCTTTCTGTGTTCCCAGTGCCCAGCCTAGGGTCTGGCAGAGAGTATGGGCCCCACAGAGCTTGTTGAATTAGTGTGTATGTAAGTGAAAATGATAGGGTGGGCAGTTGTGGGTAAGTGGCGAGTGGCAAGTAGGTTTGTCCCCAAGCCTGAGAGGGTCACCTGAATTGGGTACAGAGTTGAGAACTCATCATTTTGGTCTCTTTTACCAAATGAGATTGGGTCTGAATTTGATTAGGACATGTTATCTGTAAGACTGCCTGGGGCTAGCAAGACAAAAGTCTAAAATCTGAGGTATCTGTAAGGAGTAGTCAGAGGAGACCATGGGCCCTGCACAGCTCTGTCCAAGGCTTGGAAACAACTTCAGGTGGATAGGTATGGATAATAATACCGTAGTCAGTCCTTCCCATGTGGGAGTGAGGCTCCCAGCGAACAGTCCCACAAATCCCAGAACAGTCCCTCTAGTGAGTCAGAGATCTGGGTAATATGGAAGTCCTCAGATTGTCTGCTCCTCCACCCTTCTGGAATCACACTTTCCCTCAGTTTCTTAAGATGTTGCAAGTCATCGGCCGGGTGCGGTGGCTCACGCCTGTAATCCCAGCACTTTGGGAAGCTGAGGCGGGTGGATCATGACGTCAGGAGTTCAAGACCAGCCTGGCTAAGATGGTGAAACCCCTCTCTACTAAAAATACAAAAAATTAGCCAGGCGTGGTGGCGGGTGCCTATAATCCCAGCTACTTGGGAGGCTGAGGCAGGAGAATTGCTTGAACTCGGAGGGCAGAGGCTGCAGGCAGCTGAGATCACGCCACTGCACTCCAGCCTGGGCAACACAGTGAGATTCCATCTCAAGAAAAAAAAAAAAAAAGATTTTGCAGGTCATCATCCTATATTCTGGGCGAAGCATAGAGTCTTTCCCAAGAGCCTGAGAGTTCCTGGGAGCTTATATTCTGATCACCTCTCACTCTTAATTCCTGCTGCTATTGCATTCTTGTGACTGTGACTGAGTTGTTTTGCTCCAGGCTCTGATGCTGCCCTTGCTGCCTCTTTCCCCAAAGCACCAGGTGCAAGCATGTGCACGTAACAGACTTTCCTTCAAGAGTTGAGGGTAAGGAAGTGAGTTATAGCACAATGCAGAGCCGAAAGGCAGAGCAGGAATCATTACCTGCTTTGTACAAAAGAGGAAACCAAAGCTTAGATATTAACCAGGTGACTTGACTAAAGCTATACAGCAAGTTAGTGACAGAACTAGGCCTGGAATGAGCTCTCCTGATCCAGACTCTAGAGTCAGCATTTCACGGTTCTGAACATCTGGAATCCAAAGAGCTGTCCAGGTTTAGGTTAAGAACAGTTCCACACACACAGAAAGACGGTCCTGGGTGGCAGGCAGTGAAAGAAACCTGGGGAGCTGGGGATCTCTATGAGCGTGGCTCACCTCCCCCTCTGTCTCCTGGAGCTGACCCTTGCTCATATCCTGCGGGAACAAGACCCAGGTGGATCAAAACTTTATTGAGGCCCTGCTCAAGACAGGCACAGTAGTGCAGTAGGTTTAATCTTCACTATGGTTCTGCAAGGCTGGCAACATTATTCCCCATTTTAGTTGAGAAAACAGTCTCCAAGAGTGGAAGTGACTTGCTCAAGGTCATACAGATAGTCAGGCCTGGCTCTGAGCCTGAGGACTCCCAGTCCCCGACTCTGCTGCAAGCTCCATGGCATTGCCAACATTGACCACCAGGTGGCAATCTCCCCCAACTCCCTGCAGGCCACAAGCACCCTGGAATTTTAAGCAGTAATGCCTATGGTTGGTGGCAGAACAGCAGTCTCTGCCTGGATTTTCAAAACTGCCCTGAGGCAGTTTTATAACTCTTTTGTCCCAAGGGGAAATTGATGTCCAAGAGGGATGGTGGCTTTACAGAGGAGGAAGTTCTATGTGTGTGTGCGTGTGAGCATGAGATCTGCTTCTGGTTCCAAGGCTGGTGAATTCTGCTGACCTATTGTTAGCTGGGAGTTGGTGGGCATGACTTTCCTGGCACGATGTTCAGTTTCTCCTCTGTGCCTGCTGTTGCCAAGCCTCACTCAGAGATGGGCAGCCGAGTTTTCCTTGGACTCCCATCAGAGGCCCAGGGCCCAACCTCTTGTTTAGGTGGGGTCAGACTTACCTGGTCTGAGGCCATCTGAACAGCCCTGTGGATCCTTCCCCTATTTTAATCTGTGTGCTTCTTTGTATGGAGCCATGGAAACTCCTATGATCTTCCATGCCTGCCTACAGCCAGGAAACACTGGGAGAGAGTCCTGTGCATTCTTCCTGCAGTACTCACCATGTTCCCTTCAGGCTCTGCTGGATGGACCAGACCCTCTCAGCAGGCTTCCCGCCACTGGATACCCCTTTACCTCTGTGCTGCTCAGTGGCAGTCCCAGGGTGGGCCTGTGAGTTCTCGGCACAGCAAACTTTCTGCCCAGATGCCAGGGTGAGGCTCCCTTTCTGGCAGGCACGCCCAGCTTCTATGCAGGGCTTGGGCACATTCTCCATTCCCCATCATGGCAGTGACTCTCAGCACAAACACCGCAGTGTTCACAAGGCCACCCCAACTTCTCCCCCCTTCCCTCCTATGTCCTCTCTTTGTGTGTGTGTGCACGTGTACGCTCCTTCATGTCTCTCTTTACAGAGTGTGGTCTTAGAGCCTCTTGTCCTCAGCTTTGGGCCTTCACTGCAATTCCACAAATCCAGAACTCAAGGAAAGTCCTGCTATACGTCCTGTCAGGTAAAGGTAGTGACAGCTCCCTTGCCAGATTCAGAGGAGAGTTCCTGGGAGTTTCCTGAACGCAGGGCTGTCGTTTGAGCTCTGTGTTCCGAGCACCCAGCACAGGGCCTGCATGGGACAGGCCCCAAGGGGAGGGAGGTGGTTCTCACATGAATGAAGGGCCCTGAACTAGAGCAAGTTAGCCTCTCAGAACACAATGAGTCCCCTTCTTCTGTAGGGCACCACACATCCCTCTGCAGAAACTGAGGGAAAGTGGAGAACAGAGCAAATAGTGATAAAGGCAAGCAGCACGCAGTCATTATGTCAACGTTTCTCAAGTTTCTCTCATGCATGTGCCTCCTCCATGATTTTTGCTAAATCCATGGATTCTTAATAATTTTCTTTAGCATATTTTATGAAAATACCTAATTCATGGTCTCCTAAGGAATAATATTCATGAAATCACTGGTTTGATTTATCTTTCCTAATATACATTAAATTATATACATACCTATTAAAAAATAGCAAAGACCACTGAAGTAGGTCATACCTACCACCAGTGAGATGTATACTGCACTTGGGTTATTTAGTTTTCACAAAACCCTATAAGGTCAATCATGCTTTTTCTGTCTTATAGGTGAAGAAATTGAAGGTCAGAGAATTGACTTGGCTGAGGTCACACAGTCTTCTGATCTTTGGCCTACAGCCTTTATAAAGATGGGAGAGGGGAAGGGAGGAGCAGGTGCTTGGGAGATGATGGGGGAGGGAGGCAGCTGCCACTGAAAAATGAAAGAAGATGGTGAAGATAGGGAGTGGGGGGCAGGACTCCATGTCAGAAAGGCAAATGACCTGAGTCCCAATGTCCTATGCACAGTAATGGCCATGAAAATAGCTGCAGATTTGCCTGCATTTGTATGACCAAGATTTATTGTGCCAGCAACTCCGGTAATTGGATGATGAAAGCACTGCAGCTGGGACTGTTGGCTGGAGATTAATTATTAGAGAGAGGAGGTAGGATGGGGAGTAGCCTGGATGGTGCCCAGCTGTGGAGAGACTGGAACCCACTAGAAGAGCAGGCAGGCAGACCTCAGACATCTAGTGGACCCTCCTCCCCACTCAGCTAAGACCCAGGGAGGGAGGCAACTGGACTGGGCCAAGGCCACAGCCATTCCACAGCAAGGCAGGATGAGAGCTCTTCTCTGAGTGAAGTTGATTTTCCAGAAAAGATGGGCAGCTACAGCAGCAGGAAGGGCCTGCACTTGGAGTCTGAGACCAGAGGGGAAGCCTCAGCTTTGTCTCTTACTTGCTATGTGGCCTTAGGAAGGTGACTTAGCCTCTTCGAACCTCAGTTTTCCCAGCTGTACGATGGAGATGATGGCATTGACTTTACTAGGAAGTCATGAGGCTCCAAGATTATTGGGTCCTGTTTAGATCTAGGACCCACTCAGGGACAACTTTCATTCTCACCCCCTCTGCTCAGGTCTGGCCCTCATCCTTCCTGCCTGGGTCCTGTGAACCCCTTCCCTGCTCTCTCATCAAGCCCTAAAACTTGATCCTTAGCCACTGTGGGGACTTTCTGCGTGAATGTCAAGTCTCCCAAGTAGGAACCTAAAAGGGACTGGGAGATGGGGGGCAGGGGTGGATCCCAAGAAGAAGTCATTTTCCCTCACAGCCTTAGTTTTCTCATCTGCAAAATGGGAATAGGCTTTATTTGGATTTATTCTGTTGCAAAGAACAGCAAACCACTTGAGCCCAACCAAGTGGGTTGGGGAAGGAGCCAACTATGGGGACTGGAACTGGAACCTGCACATTGGAAGGAACACAGGCCACTTGGGGCTAGCTTCTCCTCCATCTCTTTGTCAATGGGTCTCTGTTGCTATCTGCCCATCTTCCAACTACTCATAGGTGGATTCTTTCCCTCTCTCCTCTCTGTCTTAAGCTTCTGTTTCCTCAGAATCTCTGTTCTAGCACAACTTTTTCTTACATGTGACTGCTCATGGCTCCATTTCAACTCCATAGTTCGTTCCTCTGGGCTCCTTTGTAGAAACTAGTAGTTTCTCCCCATCCTGCTCAATTCACGTGCATAACGGAGGGAATCTGATTGGCCCTCTGATTCTTCCTGCCCAAACTTGCCAGAGATTTGTAGACTGGTTTATGGTCTGCAAGGCCCTCATAGATTTGTGGGAGTGACAGGCCCTGGATGGGCAGCAGGGAGGGGTTGAAGTTGGATTACCTCATGTATATAAAGTGCTGCAATAGTGCCTGGCATACTATAGGACTCAGAAAACTTTGAATGAAACTCAGAAATCTTCCTCTCCCACCATAGACCCTTCTCCTGGCCCCTCCCCTTTCCCTCACCTTTGCATAGGCCTCCAGCCTTGGATCCCTCTTATTCCTGCAGATTTTCTTGGCCTCCCTTCCTTCCCTGGCTAGCCTGGTCTTAGGGTAGGGTGATCTTCCTGCCCCGATCTTCTATAGCACCCTGCACTTCAAAAAACTTTGCACTTAAGTCTCCCAACCGCAGCTGTGCTCTCCCCATCAGCAGACACCCTGCCAAGGTCCATGTCACTGGGAAGGGAGTAGGAGAGCTTTATACGTAGCTATCATTCACTGAGCACCTCTAAGTACCTGGCCCCATGTTCAGTGCTTTACCCATTTATGTTAAGAACTCTTTGCATTCTTCCCTTGAGATGGAGCTTTTTCCAGATGAGAAAACTGAGATTGAGCATGGTGAAGTGACGTGAACCCAGCTCTAACTCCAAATCCTTGGCTCAAGAGCAAAGCTGTTGGTGTGAACTCTATCATCATTTCTCCCTTCCAAATACAGTTGCCACAGGCCACACCAATATTTTCCCCTTTCTTTCTGGTTTTACAAAATGAATTAGCTAACAGCTGATTTTTATTACCACTAACAGATAATTTTTGTTAAGAACTTAACATGTGCTAGGTGCTGTTCTGAGCACTTTACCTGTATCAACTCATTCAATCTTCATAACAACTCTATAGGATAAGCACTATCAGGATCCCTGTTTTGCAAAACTCTGCCTTAACTTAAGGCAGGACCAAAGTCGCATGATGCTGGTGGAGCCAGGATTTAAAGCCTCACTCCAGTTCAAGCCCCGGGAGCCCATTTTCTGCCTACTTCCTCTAGAAACTCCTTCCATCAATCCCTCCCTCACCTCTTTAAGCTACCTCTCTCCCCTGGCTCCTTAGCATTTAATGTGTTTACAACTTTCCCATCTCAAAAGAGTCCTCAAACCCATGTTACTCTGCAGTCACTACTCTTTCCTTCCTCCCTGTCTTAGCCCAATTTCTTGAGTTTCTCTACTTGCTAGCTATTCTTCCTTACCCCTCTTCAAACCAGCCTCCACCCCCCCGCCCCTCTGCCTAAACTGCCCTAAGCATAGGAAGATTGTGCCGCCACATTCCCAAAGGAAAAAAATACTCCCTTCAATAGCCTAAAAATACTGTCAATCAAACTTGAAATCAGCTTTCTAAATTGTAAGACATGTCACAGCTCTAGTAGTTCTGAAACAAATTTTTTATCAAGAGTAAAAAACGAGCAAAGATAAATACTGAATACTTTGGTATAACTTAATTAGTGATGACACCTCAGTTGAGCCTTCTCTATGCAGCTGGAGTTTTGCTTTTCTGCTCAAATGCCCTCTAATATTATATCCAGCCAAGGTATCATTCAAGTATAAAGACAACAGCTAAAGTGTCCTTAAAGGCAACAGACCAATACCTGCGCTGTTCTGTTTTGCTTCGTCCACACAGTTTTTATTCTTCTTCACTCATTTAACATTTCAGCCATGGTGGGCTATGAATTCTTTCTTGGTAACTAAAATTGTTTGTAAACGGTATTAAAATAAGTCTCCTTTTTACCTTCTTGGTGGTTTCTCAGTTGTCATACCCCCATCTCTCCTCTGTTTCCCTTTCTAATACTGGTACTTCCCTTACTTGGCTAAGGATTTCTGGGAGAGGTTGGATAGGAGTTACTAGTGTCCCAGTAATGCTGGTCAAAACTTTCCCCATGCCCAGAGCCCAGAGATAATTCAGGACCACAGGTAGAGTGTGTATAGGTCCCACTGTTTGTTAACACTGTGTCCATGAAGACTACCTTGCCAAGGTTTCCAATGACTGCTGCATGGAGCTCTTCTGCCCCACTGCTGCTTGCTGATCTCTAAACCCAGGTGAAGTTTTTCGCTTTCACCTTACGGACTACTGGGCAGCATCAGGGACCATTTACTCCTTGACCTTCCTGAAGCAATTTCATATTGCACCACTCTACTTTCTCATCTGCCCTCTTAAGCTCATCCTCTAAGGTCTGGAGTTCTCCAAGATCCCAGCCTTGATTTTCCATTCACCATACACACTCTCTTTAATGACCTAAACCACTCACACAACTGTGAGTACTCATTTGTCAGCAATTTCCAAATCTCTATTTCCAGGCAGGTCCTGGCTCCACACCCAAATATTCAATTGCCCTCCAGTTCAACTGGCCAAAACCAAATGCATCTGTTTCTCCCAAGCCTGCTCCTCCTTTTGTGCTCTCTCTCTCTCTGTCCACCCAGTCTCCCTGCCCAGAAGCTTGCACATCATTTTTAAACACTCTTTTGCTTTCCATTTCCAAAGATTCACAAAAATCAGATGGAGTCTGCCTTTGTCCAATTTGTGTTGTTATAAAGGAACATATGAGGCTGGATAATTTGTAAAGAAAAAAGGTTTATTTGGTTCATGATTCTGGATGGCTGGAAAGCTCAGCATTCATCATCTGCATCTGGTGAGGGCCTCAGGCTGTTTACACGCATGGGTGAAGGTGAAGGGGAGCTGGTGTGTACAGAGATCATATGGAGAGAGGGGAAGCTCTCAAGAGGGAGTGGGGAGGTGCCAAGCTCTTCTTAACCAGCTCTCATGAGAACCAATAGACTGAGAACTCACCCCTAAGGGAGGGCATTCATCTATTCATGAGGGGTCCACCCTCATGACCCAAACGCCCCCTATTAGGCTCCACCTTCAACACTGGGGATCAAATTTCAACATAAGTTTTGGAGATGACAAATATCCAAACCATGGTAGAATCTATGCCCCTTTAGGCTCTCTAGAAACTGTGCCTTCCTTTCTAGGAAGGAGAACACAGTAGAAAGACCTGGGTTGGACAGGTATAGGCTTTAGGGTTGGACAGACCTGGTTTGAAATCCTGCCTCTATCACTTACCGGCTGTATGACTGTGTATTAAGGGCAACTCTCTTAATACATTCAAATCTTAATTTCCTTATCTACAAAATGGGGATAATAATCTACTTTGAAGAGTTATTGTGAGAATTAGAAACAATGATGTTCATACTTAGGACTGTGCCTGTCCCTACTAACACTTAATGATAGTATTCATTATAATAATGATGATGATGATTTCTGGCTCCACTGTTATTGCTTTATCTAGGATATGGTCTTTTCTCTCCTGAACCATCACATGAGTTTCCTCACTGGACTCTCTGTCTTCACTCTCTGTTGACTGCCAAATCTGCTTTTCACATAGTAGTCAGAAAAATTTTTCTAAAGTACAAATCTGATCATGACATTCACCTGCTTAAAACTCTTTTCTCCCCCCATTCCATCTACCCTATGCCCCAGCCATACTTGCAGGTCTCTGAGCACACATTGGTCACACACTCCCTTCTGCCATGCTTTATTCAAGGAGTTCCCTTTGCCTAAACCTGAATGTATTCTCTCCCTCCCCTCCCTCACGTCCTACCTGACGAATCCTCATCCATCACACCCAGTGCCAATGAATGCCACCCCTCCTTGGGATGTCTGTTTACTTTGAGTCAACTGCTAGCTCCTTGAGGGCAGGGATCAGGTTTGATTCTTCTTTGTGGCCCCCTGCCTTCCTGCACAGGGCTTGACATAAAGAAGCCCTCATCAAATATTTTCAGACACTTGCTCAAGGTTGCACATGGGGTCAGAGGCAGGGTTGAGGCTTGAACCCAGGTCTCTCATCTTCCTGCTTAGGATTCTCCTCTACACATGCCATTTTGCCCCAGTGGAGAACAGGAGTGCAGGGTTAGTGGGTTGGGGGTGGGGGACCTCCCCATGTGAGGGCAGCAGGCAACCTGAGGACATCCCACACTGCATTTCAGTGCTGCATCTGCTACACTGGGGAAGGATAAAATTATCCACTGCCCACGTCATGTATCTCCCCATCCGACGGGGACTAGAGATAAAAAATGAATGACACAAAATCCAATCTTGCCTGGTGCAGAAGCTGGTGGGGGTGGGGGTGGAGCTGGTGGCCCAAGCAGCCACTCATTGCACAGCACATCTCATATTTATTGACTCATAATTGAAGGCAGCCTGGAGATGTCCCAGCATTGGCCCCTGACAAGACAGATGAGGGCAAAATGACTGTGGAGGCAGAGAGTCAGGATACAGACTTCCTCACAGGACTGCAGCCACAGAAGGGAGGCAATGGTGGGGAGTGGGGACAGCTAACTGGCTGTTGCACTGGCCCCGGGGTCTGACTCGGGTTCTAGGTCCTGCTCTGCTACCCACTTGTGATTACCTTGAACCAGACCCTCCCCTCTCTAGGCCAGTAATTTTAGCCTTCTTGATTTCATTACCAGGGTTTAGGAAAATCATTCTGGGAGTTGGGAAAATCTGGGCTGCTAACTTGCTCTGTGGCTTTAGGTGAGTTTCTTTACTCTAAGGGCTTTGTGCTTTCTCTTTGTAAAGAGGAAAGGATGCCTCCCTCTTCTATATAAAGATTGAGGGGGTTGGGTTGGCCTAGGAGCAGCCAGTTTGTGCATTTTAGCAACTGGAAAGCTTCTGGTTGGGGGAAGACAAAGAAACAAGAAATGCTGCCAAATATTAAGAACCTGCAATGACTCCTAATTGCTCACAGAAATGGTCCAAATTCCTAGGCTTGGCATTCAAGGCTGTGAAACCTGCATAGTCCTACCTCTAGTATTTGTGTCATTATGGGGAAAGTGTCTGGGGCTGGCAGCCAGGAAGCCTGGGTTCTGGACCAGTCTTACCACTATCTAGCTCTGTGATCTCTGGCAAGTTCTTGATCATCTCCAGGTCTCAGTTTCCCCATCTGTAAAATTTACATAGGTGATCTATGAAGTAATTAGGGTCCCCAAGCCCAGAGCAAGTCAGTTGCCAAGTTCTATCCTCTCTCCCTCTCAGTATTCCCTAAATCCATTCCTCCCTCACCCCCATTCCATTCTAATTATGACCACTGTCTCACCTCAGTACTCCTTTCTCTCTTCCTGACCAGTGCAGTAGCCTCTTGTCTCCCAGCCTCCATCTACCCCCTCCATACTCCAGTCAGAGTGACTCAGAAAGCATGTGACTGACCATGACCCTCGCCTGCGTCAAGCCCTTCCTGTGCTCTCCACACAGCTCTCAGCCGAGCTCCTGAGTGTCACATGGAAGATCCTGCATGATCTGGCCCTATCTTATCTCTTTTCCCACTCCTCCTGTGCCCCGACTATCTGTACCATTCAGGCTGGCCTCTTCACTGCCCTCTCTCCAGCTCAGACTCCAGGATGAGGCTTCCCCAAGCTGGCCAGGAGGAGGCCCTGTGGCCCTGAACACAGTAGTAGGTGGGGTCAGTGTCATGCCTAGACTCCTGTTCTGCCTTTCCAGAAGCTTCTGGAGTTCCAAGCCCCATAGGGGTCCTGCTCCATGGAGTCCCCAGAGCATCAGGTGTGAATGATGCTGCCTGTTCTCCCTCCTGCTGCTGACAACCAGAGAATGTCTGAGCCAAAAGGGCCCCAGAGGTGACCTTGACCTCCTAAAACCCCACATTGTATAGATGGAGAAACTGAGGCCCAGGGAGGAGCAGTGGTCACACAGCAAGTCAGTGTTCATCAGGGCTGGAGCTCTGCCTTGTGCCTGCTCCATGGGGTTGGGGACACAGGGCTGGACTAGGGTAGCCATAAAGAGAACACTCCACGCACTGGGGCAGGAGGGGCCATCAGCCCTCCCTTCAGTGGTGGAGGTGAGATACTCAGCAGGAGACTCAGGGCAGGGAAAGAGGCTTCTGCCAGTCTCATTCCCATCCTCACCGCGCCCCCTGCTGGTTCTGTCCTATTAGGGCTTCCAGGTCTCTGTACTTTACCTCCTCGCCACATGTCCAGCCTTCCTGAGGTGGGATGGGGAAAGGGAGGAATCAAGGTAGCCAGGGCAAGCATTTGTGAGCATTTACAGTCAGAGCTGTGAGGACCTCTACAACATCCTGCCAAGTGCCTATCTAGTATGTTTCATGCACGCCAGTGACAGGGACTCGCTTTCTCCTAGAACGGCACCACCCTTTGGGAGACATTTGGCCCAGGCAAAAGAGACTTCTCAGGAGAAGCTGGGGTTATCTGCAGGGTGTGCTTCTGGGCCCAGCATCAGGAGATGCAGAAAATGATAGAGAGACGGCCCACCTCTAGGATGGCTTTTCTCCAGGCCTAATAAATTATCAGACGTTGTGGTTTCTGGCCCCTTCCCAGGGCACAAGGTCCCTTATCAGAGCTTTTAGTCCACTGAATCCAGTCCTCAGAGAGTGCAGAAGGGGAGACTGAGGCCCAGGGTAGGGGTAGGATTTGCCTAGTTCCCCCAGCATATTAGGGCTGGGCCTGAGACCAGAATCCAAGGCCCCAGCTCCTAGCTGGGAGCCCTCCCAGCATAATATGTTCCCACTCTACGGCACGGAGTGTGGGGTGTGGGGGACTTGCACAGAGACAGAGAGGAGTAACTGCTGAGAAGGGCTTGTGATAGATGAATAGAAGCCTTCCCTGCAGGAGCTCAGAGTCCAGGGAGAGGGCCACAGGCAAAGGAAGGCTTCCTTGTCCCTCCCTATAGGATAGTGCATGCTCCATCTGGGAGGCAGCAACAATTGTGCACAAAGGCCACCATTTAGCCCTTGCTCACCCAGGAATCCCTCTCTGTGTGCATGTGTGTGTGTCTGTCTGTCTATGGACTGCCTCTGCCCTCAATGGACACCATTTCTAATTCATTCACCAGGAAAGTGGGCTTTTTTGCTATCCATCTGCCATGAGGGGATTTCATAAATCCTCTCTTTTTTATTTTGAGATGGAGTCTCACTCTGTCGCCCAGGCTGGAGTGCAGTGGCGCGATCTCGGCTCACTGCAAGCTCTGCCTCCCGGGTTCACACCATTCTCCTGCCTCAGCCTCTCTAGTAGCTGGGACTACAGGCGCCCACCACCACACTCAGCTAATTTTTGTATTTTTAGTAGAGACGGGGTTTCACCATGTTAGCCAGGATGGTCTCGATTTCCTGACCTCGTGATCCGCCCACCTCGGCCTTCCAAAGTGCTGGGATTACAGGCATGAGCCGCTGCACCCGGCCTAAATCCTCTCTTCGGCTGTGGTATAGGATAGTGGTGGCTTGGGCCATGTGAACACCTGCAGATTAGTAGTTTGAAGCCAGGAGAGCCAGGGCGTTGAATGCCAGACCAAGGAGCTTAGACTTTGTCCCACAAAAAATGAGGATGCAATGAAGGTTTTCAAGTACAGAATGTCATGGTCACATGTGTTCTAGGAAGATCTCTGGTGTGTAAAAAAGAAGGTGGGTTGGAGGGAGCCACAAAAGACAGGTGGTCAGGAAGGATGCTGGGGCCATGATGCCAGAGAAGGATAATGAGGTTCAGTGTGGGAAGAGGTCAGGAGGATGGACTTGAGAGATATTCTGACAGTTGAGTCCAGCCCAAGGTGAATAGCAGATGGGGTGAGAGAAGAGGAGTTAAGGTATGGCCTACGTTTGACCTGAGGGATTAGGGTGGTGGCTAGGAGAGTGCTAGAAAGCAGGCTTTCCTATAGGGGAGTGCTCTGGGCCCAACCTTGAGGCCACCCCATTCACCTCTTTACCTATTCATCACTCATCCACCTTCCCACCTACCCACCTACCTACCATCCATCCATATCCCACCAAAGCCTTCCCCTTTGCCAGGCTTCCATGTGCCAAGGACTCAGAAAATAACCAGTGCCGATCTCTGCTCCTGTGGGCCCAGAGAGACAGATTGGCTCTCCTTCACCCTAGTAGTACGTCTGGTTGCTGGCCTCTGCCCGTGGAGAAGGTGATGTAGATAACTTGCTGGCATTTCTTCCCAGAAAGTTATTGCTCATTCAGGCTTGGGGCTGGGGAGAGAGTCTCCATCCTGATGAGATCAGTATTAGACTTGCAAGTGTTAGCCATTAACAGCTTCATGGCATTGTATAGGCACCAGTTCACTAGGAAGAGGCTCAACTCCCTTCCCCATCTTGGGCCTGCCCTTGCTGAAGTTCCCAACCTGATTTCCATCTCTGATGAGGACTTGCCCTGCCAGGTTCAGCCACCCACCCATTCAGAAACATGAGGTCCTCTGCTGGGTATCAGGAACACTTGGTCTTTGACCTCTCATATCTCACAGACCAGGAGATGGGAGATAGAGACCCTTAAGCAGGGAGCAGACGAGGCTAAGTCACTGCAGTGGTGTGGGTAGAGAGGAAGGCAAGGATGCTGTAGAGGTAGAACTGGCAGGAATTCGTGGCCAACTGCAAATAAAGGACATGAGGTATTCAGGCTCCTGGGTACCCACAGGTGAGGGTGGCCAGTTAGGAGCTTTGGATACATCTGACCTCATGGGTTGTTTCTAAGGCCCAGGCCCACAGGACCTTTTAAGAGGATGACTTCTTGGTCAGAAAGACTGGCTTCTGCATGGGGAAGGGTCTATGTGAGTCTCCATAGGTCCCTCTCCACCTCCCAGCCAACCATCAGAACCATGGACTCAGGTATGAAATCACTGCTTCAAGTGAAAGGCTATTTCATGCCTCAGTAGTAAAGAGCAGGCACAATTGAATGGCCACATTAAGTCGCACCATTAGGGAGCTTTTCCAAGTATGAGGTTATTAGTTTCTTAGATGCAATTTCATAGGAGGAATTTGGCCAAAACGGGAACTTGTTCATCTAAGCTAAAGCAGCCTATTTAAAAAGCAAAATTGGCTGGGCGCGGTGGCTCACGCCTGTAATCCCAGCACTTTGGGAGGCCAAGACGGGCAGATCACCTGAGGTCAGGAGTTTGAGATCAGCCTGACCAACATGGAGAAACCCCGTCTTTACTAAAAATAGAAAAAATTTAGCCACGTGTGGTGGCACACGCCTGTAATCCCAGCTACTTGGGAGGCTGAGGGAAGGGAATCACTCGAACCCAGGAGGCGGAGCTTGCAGTGAGCCGAGATTGTGCCATTGCACTCCAGCCTGGGCAACAAGAGTGAAACTCCATCTCAAAAAAAAAAAAAGCAAAAATGAGTGTTACCCACATAGCGTGTCCATCAGTGACATCATAAACCCTGTGCTTATTCCATGAATAATTATCAAGCACTGTGGCAAGTCTCAGTGCCAGGCTTGGGAATCCAAAGGCCCTGCTTACATTTTCCTTTCATTTTTTTGCTCGTTTAGTTTTCATAGTTTCATTTTCACATTTAATTATTTAACTCATGTTGGGTTTGTTCTGGTGTATGGTATGAGGTGAAGCTCTAAATTTTCCCCCAATTGGTCTGGGTATATATGAGTTGTAATCTAGGTCAGAATTTCCCAGAATGATTCCATAGAAAACTGATCCTATAAGATGCTCAGGAATAAAAAAGATTTTATAGTCAAAAAAAGTCTAGGAACTGTTGCATACCCATCACCTTCTTAGAGATTCACAATATATATTAACAAGCAGTAAGGAAACTTTCATGTCTTGGTTCATAATTTTATTTGAGTACAGACCCCATTTAAAAATAACAGCTATGAGCACAGCACAGAACTCTCCACCTTGGAGTAAAGATGGCCCTACAGCAGAACTGACATTGAGGCCTCTGCCTCAGATCTGGCTTCCGCACTCTTATGGGTCTGCGATCTGGCCAGGAAGTGTAATACACACACTGCCAGTTCTGCTCCAGAGCCTGCAGTGCTAAGAACTTTGCCAGGAGCCACAAACCATGGATGCCCTCAGGGAGGGTGAGGCAGCTTGTCTGGCATTTGGCCAAGACTTCAAAGAGGAACAGTTGCCCTGGGCCTTGAAAGATGAGCAGGGTAGGTGAGGTGGCCCCTGTGAGGGCAGAACCCTCTCCAGCAGGGACACTCTGTCACGGCAGTGACCCAGACCATGCCCCCAGAACTGCAGGACATAAAGAGCTGCATGAACAGAGATGCCTGTGAGGAGCTAGGTGAGAGCAGAAATGCCTGTAACATGGGGCAAAGGTGGCTGTGGGTATGCTGCTGGAACTCTCCTGCAGGTGTAAGGGAAGGGCACTCAGCATTCACTTTCAAGTGCTGGGCCCCTGGTAAGGCAGGGCCTCCTGGGGCCTCATTACAACACCCAGCACAGACCATACATGTGGCCCTCTCCTGAGGCCTCTCTTTCCTTGGGGAGTCTACAAAGTTTTTTTCTTGTCTGAAACAAATAACTGGGGAGTTGGGGTGGGGTGAGAGGAGAATGTGTGGACCCAGATTCCTAGGGATTAATTAGGGCCCTTCAATGAAATGTTTCTCTTTTGGAGGCCAATTAAGACAACTGGAAGCTTGGGAGGTGGGAAGGGGGGAGGTAAATATGTGTGTTGTGCTTGAGACAGGCCCATTTTCCTCTGCTGGGCTGGGCCCCTCGGGGATGGGCAGACCTTGGGGGCACCCTGTCCATTTGCAGCAAAAATACTAGTGCAAAGATAATCACAGATTGTTTTTATCATCTAAGAGGAGGATTTTAGTGGTGCAGGACTTTAGTGGTGCATTATGAAGTGTGTTATCTCAGAAATTACCCTCGCCTCTGTAGTAACTGCATTATACTGAGCACTCACTAGGGGCCAGGCCTTAGGCTGGGCCTTTACAGTCATGATTTCATTTTTAAAAACAGCTTTACTGGCCGGGCGCAGTGGCTCACGCCTGTAATCCCAGCATTTTGGGAGGCCGAGGTGGGCGGATCATGAGGTCAAGAGACTGAGACCATCCTGGCTAACACGGTGAAACCCCATCTCTACCAGAAATACAAAAAATTAGCCGGGTGTGGTGGCGGGTGCCTGTAGTCCCAGCTCCTCAAGGCTGAGGCAGGAGAATGGCGTGAACCCGGGAGGCGGAGCTTGCAGTGAGCTGAGATCACACTACTGCACTCCAGCCTGGGCGACAGAGCATTACTCCATCTCAAAAAAAAAAAAAAAGCTTTAATGAAATATAATTCGCATATCATACAATTCATTCATTGAAAGTGTACAGTTCTATGGTTTTTAGTATATTCACAAAATTGCACAACTATTGCCAAAATCACTTTTAGAATGTTTTCATCACCTGTTAGCAGTGACTTTCCTTACCCCCTCCCCAATTCCTCCAAGCCCCAGGAAACTGTGGGTGACAAGCCACCCAGGTGCCAAGGCAAGAGACTGAGGACACAAGCTGTTCCAGTATAATAAAATATAAAATAAGAATAGTTATACCAGATATAGATCCTAGGTTATGATTATAGAGTGAGGATTATTATAATATTGGAATAAAGAGTAATTGCTACCAACTAATGATTAATGATATTCATATATAATCATATCTAAGATCTATATCTGGTATAACTATTCTTATTTTATATTTTATTATACTGGAACAGCTCGTGTCCTCAGTCTCTTGCCTCGGCACCTGGGTGGCTTGCCGCCCACAGGAAACCATTAATATATGTTCTGTCTCTATAGATTTGCCTATTCTGGATATTTCATATAAATGAAATAATATAATATGTGCTCTTTTGTGATTTGCTTATTTTACTTAGCATAATGTTTTCAAGGTTCATCCATGTTGTAGTAAATTCATCAATATGTCATTCCTTTTTAAAAAACGGCTTTATTGAGATATAGTTCACACACACAATTCACCCATTTTAAGTGTAAAATTCAATGGGTTTTGATATATTAAATTATAACTTTTTAAAACTATAGTAAAATCAATATAATATTAGCCATTGTAACCATTTTAAAATGTAGAATTCCATGGCATTAATTACATTCACAATGTTTTGCAATCATCACCACTATCTATTTCCAAAAACTTTTTCATCATTTTAAACAAAAGCTCTATAAACATCAAGCAGTAACTCTCTATCCTGTCTCCCCTTAGCCCCTGGTAATTTCTAATCTAGATGCTGTCTTATGAATTTTCCTCTTCTAGATACCTCACATAAGTGGTATCACACAATATTTGTTCTTTTATGTCTGGATTATTGCAGTAATCATCATGCCTTCAAGGTTCATCCATGTTGTAGCATACATCAAAATTTCATTTCTTTTTATGGCTGAATAGTATTCCATTGTATATATACTCCACATTTTGTTTATCCTTTCATCAATGGATGTACATTTGGGTTGTTTCCACCTTTTGGCTATTGTGAATAGTGCTGCTGTGAACATTCTTGTACACATTTTGTATTTTGGATATATACCCAGCAGTGGATTTGCTGAGTTATATGGTAATCCCATGTTTAATTTATTTGAGGAAATGCCAAACTGTTTTTCTAAAATGGCCACATCTTTGACATTCCCCTCAGCAATGTATAAGGGTTTCAATTTTTCCACATCCTCGCTAACACTTGTTATTTTCCCTTTTCGATTATAGACATTCTAGTGAGTGTGAGGTGGTATCTCATTGTGGTTTTGGCTTGCATTTTCCTAATGGCTAATGATGTAGAGCATCTTTTCATGTGCTAATTGTACATTTGTATATCTTCTTTGGATAAGTGTCTATTCAAGTCCTTTGCCCATTTAAAAATTGAAAGCTGGGCATGGTGGCTCACGCCTGTAATCCCAGCACTTTGGGAGGCTGAGGCGGGTGGATCACCTGAGGTCAGGAGTTTGAGATCAGCATGGCCAACATGATGAAATCTTATCTCTACTAAAAAATACAAAAATTAGCTGGGCATGGTGGCACACGCCTATAATCCCAGCTACTTGGGAGGCTGAAACAGGCGAATCGCTTGAACCTGGGAGGCGCAGGTTGCAGTGAGCTGAGATTGCGCCATTGTACTCCAGCCTGGGCAACAAGAGTGAAACTCCGTCTCAAAAAATATATATAAAATAAAAATAAATAAATAAAAATAAAAATTGAGTTGTTTGTTTTTTGTTGTTGAGTTTAGAAATTCTTCATGTATTCCGGATACTAGTAACTTATTAGATATACAAATTGCAAATATTTTCTCCCATTTTATGGGTTGTCTTTTTACTTTCTTAATAGTGTCTTTTGGAGTATAACATTTTAAAATTTTGATGACGTCCAATTTATTTATTCTTCTTTTGTTGCCTGTGCTTTTTGTGTCATGTCTAAGAAACCATTGCCAAATCCAAGGTTATGAAAATGTACCGCTATGTTTCCTTCTAAGGATTTTATGGTTTTAGCCCTTACACTAGGCCTTTGATCCATTTGGAGTTAATTTTTGTATACAGTGTAAGGTAAGGAGCCAAATTCATTCTTTTGCATGTGATTATTCAGTTGTCCCAACACCATATTTTGAAGAGACTATTCTTTCTTCATTGAATGGTCTTGGCATTCTTGCCAAAAACCAATTGACCATAGATGCATGGGTTTATTTTTTGGAGTCTTAATTCTATTCCATTGACCTATACATTTATATTTATGCCAGTACCTCTCTGTCTCTCTATCTCTCTCTCTTTCTGAGATGGGATCTTGTTCTGTCACCCAGGTGGGAATGCAGTGGCAAAATCATAGCTCACTGCAGCCTCGAGCTCCTGCGCTCAAGCAGTCCTCCTGCCTCAGCCTCCCAAGTAGCTGGGACTACAGGCATGCACCACCACATGGGTTTGGATTGTTCTTGTTTCTCTAAGGGAGGAGACCACCCCTCATATTGTCTTATGCCCAATTTCTGCCTCCAAAGAAAGAAGAAGTAAAAACTAAAAGTCAGAAATGAAATCCACAGGCAGAGAGTCCGGTGTGCACCCTGGGCCTGGTAGTTAAAAATCAACCCCTGACCTAACTGCTTGTGTTATCTACAGATTCCAGACAATGTATGGAAAAGCATTGTGAAAATCCCTGTCCTGTTCCGTTCTAATTACTGGTGCATGCAGCCCCCAGTCACATACTCCCTGCTTGTTCAATTGATCACGACCCTCTCAAGCAGACCCCCTTAGAGTTGTAAGCCCTTAAACGGGACAGGAATTGCTCACTCGGGGAGCTTGGTTTTTGAGACGCAAGTCTGCTGACACTCCCAGCTGAATAAACCTCCTTCATTCTTTAACCCAGTGTCTCAGGAATTTTGTCTGTGGCTCATCCTGTTACATTTCTTGGTTTCCTGACCGGGAAGCGAGGTGATTGGCAGATGATTGAGGCAGCCCCTTAGGCGACTTAGGCCTGTCCTGTAGAGCATCCCTGTGGGGGACTCAGACCAGCCTGGGCAACGCAGATCCAAAGAGTGCTCCCAGGTAGGCAATTGCCCCAGTGGGATGCCTTGCCAGAGCAGCATGGGGCAGGCCCCTGCTGAGGATCAACTCAGTGGCTGAACACTGAGAAGGAACTGACATTTGGAGTCCAGACATCTGAAGTTTGGTAAGACTGGTCTTTGGAACTTGCTCACTCCATTTGAGTGGAAGCGTGGCCCGATCACCCATGGTGTGCCTGTACCGGCACTTTGGTTTTGGTTTTGACTTGGTTTGAATTGCTTGACAGGATTGGTCTTGGGAACTTGCCGACTCTATTTGAGTGGAAGCGTGGCCTGATCACCCATGGTGTGCCTGTACCGGCACTTTGGTTTTTGTTTTTGACTTGACTTGGATTGCTTGATACTTTGGTTTTGGTTTTGACCTGGCTTGGATTTATCGATACTTTGATTTTGGTTTTGATTCTGGTTTGGTGTAAACTGTAAAAGTGTGTGTGTGCCCTTTTTACCCATTCTTTGTTTTGTGGTGTGCATGTGGTGTAAGTATGGTGTTTTGTCTTGAGGAAGCATGGGTCAGGCACAAAGTAAGCCCACCCCACTAGGAACTATGTTGAAAATTTTCAAGAAAGGATTTAAGGGAGATTACAGTGTTACTCTGACACCAGGAAAACTTAGAACTTTGTGTGAAATAGACTGGCCAGCATTAGAGGTGGGTTGGCCATCAGAAGGAAGCCTGGACAGGTCCCTTGTTTCAAAGGTATGGCACAAGGTAACCTGTAAGCCAGGGCACCCAGACCAGTTCCCATACATAGATACTTGGTTACAGCTTGTTTTAGACCCCCCTCAACCTCCCATAGTGGTTGAGAGAACAGCAGCGTAACCTGCTGGCAGAGGCAAGGAAAGACCAGCAGAGAGAGAGAGAGAGGAAAGAGACAGAGAGGAAAAGAGGCAAAGAGAGAGAGGAAGATGCAGAGAGATAAAGAGGGAGTCAAGGGGAGAGAGAGAGAGAGAGAAAGAAAGAGAGAGGCAGAGAGAGAGGAAGAGACAGAGGCGAAAGGAAAGTCAGAGAGAGAGAGAGACAGAAAGTCAAAGAGAGAAAGAGAGATATACAAGTAGTTAAGTTAGTTAAAAACAGTTACCCTATTCCTTTAAAAGCCAAGGTAAATTTAAAACCTATAATTGATAATTAAAGGTATTCTCCATAATCCTTAACCCAGTAACCAATGGATTGCCCAAATGCATTCAATCTGTAGCCTCAACTGTTTTGCTAACTGAAGAAAGTAGAAAAATAACTTTTAGAGGAAACCTCATTGTGAGCACACCTCACCAGTTCAGAAGTATCCTAAGGAAAAAAAAAAAAAAAGGCAAAAAGGTAGCTTACTAACTTAAAAATCTTAAAGTATAGGGCCATTCTGTTAAAAAAAAAAAAAAAAAGAAGATGATTTAACATTAACCACTGCTGAAAATTCCCTTAACCCAGCAGGTTTCCTAACAGGGGATCTAAATCTTAATTACCATACAAAGGTCCGAACAGATGTAGGAGGAACTCCCTTGAGTACAGGATGATAGACGGTTCCTCCCCGGTAATTGAAGGGGGAAAAAAAAAGCTATCTATACCAATTCTTAGTTAATTTGGACTAAACAAGGTCTTATTAATAGCAAAGGATAATGGAAATCTCAAACTTACAAGGTTTTCAACAAAAGTAAAGTTTGCTAAAAGTTAACAGTGTAACATGTATTATAGTAACTTGTAATCTTGTGGCCTTAGACAGTCTAGTCCACAGACATAAAGGAAGTTCGCTTTGGAAAAGAATGGTTATCATCTTTGAAAAAAAGGGGGAGCAGAATTTATGTAAAAAGAATGTTATCTGGTAAATTCTTGTCCTGAAATAAATTAACTGATTGTTTAAAGAAAGAAATGTTTGTAATAAATCAGAAAGTTGAGACATGTTGAAGAATTGTCTGTGAAAGTCGCAAAAAAAAAGTTATAAAAAAAGTATGAAAGAAATGTTGGATAATTTAAAAGTAATTAGGCCTCCTGAATGTAAAAGTATTGAAAAAACAGTTTATGTGCAAGGTGTGTAAGGAAAGTAAAATATACCTCTGGTAAAAGGATTATAAGGAGGCATAAGAATGTGGATTTTTACCTACACTGAAAGGTTAAAAAAAATTGTTTTGAAGGTTTAAGTAAGTTTTAAAATATTAATTATAAAGGAAATTATGTGTGTAAACATATTAGCTAAAGTTAAAGGGGTATCATCCAGTTTTTCTGTGAACTGGACATTAAAGTAAAAACACAATAGGTTTTTCTTAAAGCACTAACCTGCTCTTTAACAAAAATTATAAAAGGTTAGAAAGAGTTTATAAAAATCTTACCTTAGGGTCAGACATTAAAAATTGAATAAACATGTCTACAAAGTTTTATTGAAACTGAGTTTAACATTAATAGCACACTAATATAAAGGTGAAATTTAGCTTAGCTGGTATAAAAATCATACAGGATGCATTGTCAAATATAAAATGGTGTTTGGCTTTCTTTGGTCTAAAAACTAATAAAAATAGGTGCTAAAGGAAATTTCTCAGTAAGAAGGCACCAAGGACTATAAAGTCCACTGCTGATGTCCCCACATTTAAAACAAAAGGTCAATTTCTTAAAAATTATATACTTGGTTTATCTTCCACTTTCCTTTCCCTCAAAACTAAAAGTCTGTTAGCACATGTACCACCCCTAGAATTTCCAGTAAACCAGCACCAGCCTGAAGATCACGTTCTCATCAAAGGGTGGAAAGAAAGAAAACTTGAACCAGCCTGGGAAGGACACTACCTTGTGCTGCTAACCACCAAGACTGCTGTTCGTACAGCAAAAAAGGGATGGACTCATCACACTGAAGTCAAGAAAGCGCCACACCCTCCAGAGTCGTGGGCCATAGTCACAGGGGAAAACCCTACCAAACTAAAGCTAAGAAAAATTTAACTCTTTCGTCTATTCTATTACTCTTTCTTCTTTCCTTGCTCTATTGCTGACTATCTAGTTATTAACATAACTAAGTCAATTTCGCCTCAAACTATTGCATTTAATGCTTGCCTTGTTATACCCTGTGGGGACTTGCCAAGTCAAAGACTGCTCACTTCAGAGAAGTACCTCTGTCCCTCCTGACTCTGCTCAGACTAGGCATTAGTAAATTAGGACCATTTAATCTGAGGAGATTTTGATAAAGGCCCCAGTGTCAACCAGGAGTCTTTTCCCCAATGTAGAGCTTTTATGCTGTAGTTGGTCCAATGTTCTGTGGACCACTAAAGAGCAAGGATGGACTGCCCCAACCAGTTTTTGTAATTTCCTAAAACCATACATTCATTTTACTAGAGGATCATAGAAGTTATAGACTTAAAACAAACCTCGACAATTAAGACAGGATACCAAGATGCAAATGCCTGGTTGGAATAAATCAAATGTTCCATCTGCACGTTAAACAAAAGCAATTGTTATGCTTGTGCACATGGCAGGCCAGAAGCCCAGATTATCCCCTTTCCACTAAGGTGGTCCTCCAGTCAACCAGGCATGGACTGCATGGTGGCTCCTTTCCAGGATTCTACAGCCTGGAATAATAAGTTGTGCCAAGCTCTCTCTCTGCTATATCCTGAAGTTCAATACCCTGCGGGTCAGCCCCCGAGGACCATCCAGCTTCCATCTCCCAACACTAAGTTCACTTCGTGTCTCTCATGACAGGGAGGAAACTTAGCACTCCTTGGAGACCTGAAGGGATGCCGTGAGCTTAAGAATTTTCAAGAGCTTACCAATAAGTCAGCCCTTGTTCATCCCCGAGCGGATGTGTGGTGGTATTGTGGTGGACCTTTACTGGACACTCTGCCTAATAATTACAGTGGCACTTGTGCTTTAGTCCAATTGGCTATCCCTTTCACCCTGGCATTTCATCAACCAGAGGGAGGGCAGGTAATAGAAGAAGGATGGATCCAGTGATCAGATGGAAGAATAGCCGTGCCACAACTGCTAGGAGCCACAGTCATACTGGCTGTGCATGAGACCACCCACCGAGGCCAAGAGTCACTTGAAAAGTTGTTAGGCCGGTACTTCTACATCTCCCATCTGTCAGCCCTTGCCAAAACAGTGGCACAGCAGTGTGTCACCTCCCGGCAGCACAATGCTAGGCAAGGTCCAACTGTCCTGCCTGGCATACAGGCTTATAGAGCAGCCCCCTTTGAAGATCTCCAAGTAGACTTCACTGAGATGCCCAAATGTGGAGATCTCATCCCTAGGTTTGGACTGCCCTTACGAATTGGCTCAGACAATGGGCCGGCATTTGTGGCTGACTTGGTACAGAAGACAGCAAAGGTGATCAGGTGCAGATCAAGGATTAGAACATAGCCCCCTCGTGGCCACGGTGAAAAGGACCCCAGACCATCATCTTGACCACTCCCACAGCTGTAAAAGTAAAAGGAATCCCAGCCTGGATCCACCACAGCCGCGTGAAACCCGCAGCACCTGAGACCTGGGAGGAGAGACTAAGCCTGGATAATCCCTACAAAGTGACTCTGAACAAGATGACAAGCGCTGCTCCAGTCACACCCAGAAGCTGACTGATCCACGCACGGCCAAGGCATGAGGAAACCCACCGTGGGACTTATTTTCCTTAAATTTTGGACTTGTACAGTAGGGACTTCAACTGACCTTCCTCAAACTAAGGACTGTTCCCAGTGTATACATCAGGTCACTAAGGTAGGGCAAAAAGTTAAAACTGTCTTTTTATTCTATAGTTATTATAAATGTGCTGGAACTCTAAGAAGGACTTGTTTGTATAATGCCACCCAGTACAAGGTATGTAGCCCAGGAAGTGACCAGCCTGATGTGTGTTATAACCCATCTGAGCCATTTGTGTTTTGTTTTTTGTTTTTTGGTTTTTGTTGTTGTTGTTGTTGTTTGAGACAAAGCCTCACTCTCACTCTGTCGCCCAGGCTGGAATGCAGTGGCGCGATCTCGGCTCACTGCAAGCTCCGCCTCCCCAGTTCACGCCATTCTCCTGACTCAGCCTCTCGAGTAGCTGGGACTACAGGCACCCGCCAACACGCCTAGCTAATTGTTTTTGTATTTTTAGTAGAGACGGGGTTTCACCATGTTAGCCAGGATGGTTTCGATCTCCTGACTTCGTGATCCGCTGCCTTGGCCTCCCAAAGTGCTGGGATTGCAGGCGTGAGCCACTGTGCCTGGCCAGTCACAGTTTTTAAAATAAAATTAAAAAGAGTCACCTGGTGAGGTCTAAACCATACTAAAAATAATCCATTTAGTACATTCCCAAAGTTGCAAACCTTGTGGGCCCACCCAGAGTCCCACCAGGACTGGACAGCCCCCACTGGAATATACTGGATATGCAGATATAGAGCTTACGCCAAATTACCCATCCAGTGGGCAGGTAGTTGTTGTGTTATTGGCACTATTAAACCATCCTTCTTCCTACTGCCCATAAAAACAGGTGAACTCCTGGGCTTCCCTGTTTATGCTTCCCCCAAAAAGAGAAACATAGCTATAGGTAATTGGAAAGATGATAAATGGCCCCCTAAGAAAGTCATACAATACTATGGGCCTGCTACTTAGGCATAAGATGGCTCGTGGGGATACTGGAACCCCATTTACATGCTCAACCAAATCATATGGTTACAAGCTGTCTTAGAAATAATCACTAATAAAACTGGCAAAGTCTTGACTATTCTGGCCCGGCAAGAAACTCAGATGAGAAATGCTATCTATCAAAATAGTTTGGCTCTCGACTGCTTGCTAGCAGCTGAGGGAGAGGTCTGTGGGAAATTTAACCTTACCAATTGCTGTCTACACATAGACGATCAAGGGTAAGCAGTTGAAGACATAGTTAAAGATATGACAAAACTGGCATATGTGCCCGTGCAAGTGTGGCATGGATTTAATCCTAGGGCCATGTTTAGAAAATGGTTCCCAGCACTAGGAGGATTTAAAACTCTTATAATAGAAATTATAATAGTAATAGGAACCTGCTTACTATTCCCTTGTTTGCTACCTGTACTCCTTCAAATGATAAAAAGCTTCATCGCTACCTTAGTTCACCAAAATGCTTCAGCACACGTATACTATATAAATCACTATTGATCTGTCCTACGAGAAGGCATGGGTAGTGAGGATGAAAGTGAGAACTCCCACTAATGAGTGAAGTTCTCAAAAGTGGGAGAATAAGGGAGGAGAACACCCCTCATATTGTCTTATGCCCAATTTCTGCCTCCAAAGAAAGAAGTAAAAACTAAAAGTCAGAAATGAAATCCGCAGGCAGATAGCCCGATGCAAGCCCTGGGCCTGGTAGTTAAAAATCAACCCCTGACCTAACTGCTTGTGTTATCTATAGATTCCAGACATTGCATGGAAAAGCATTGTGAAAATCTCTGTCCTGTTCTGTTCCATTCTAATTACTGGTGCATGCAGCCCCCAGTCACGTACCCCGTGCTGGCTCAATCGATCACAACCCTCTCACATGGACCCCCTTAGAGTTGTAAGCCCTTAAATGGGACAGGAATTGCTCACTTGGGGAGCTCAGCTTTTGAGATGCAAGTCTGCTGAAGCTCCCAGCCGAATAAAGCTCCTTCGTTCTTTAACCCTGTGTCTAAGGAATTTTGTCTGCAGCTTGTCCTGCTACATCTCCAGTTCCATGAGATGTGACCTTAGATTATCTATTTGTGCTCTCTCAGACTTTTTGATGTGGGCATTTAATGGTATGAACTTTCCTCTTAACACTGCTTTTGCTGTACTCCAGAGGTTTTGATAGGTTATGTCACTGAGGCAGGAAAATAGGGTCTGGAGGTAGGGAACATAAGGCTGATTCACACTTCAGCTATGACAGGAAATATCCTCTCCATAGGGCGTATGCCATAAATGACTTTGTAACTTTACTTCATCCTCTCCATTTACATAGGGTGTACCCAAAGTAACCAATGGAATCCTCTAGCGGGTATTTAAACTCCCCAAAATTCTGTAACGGGGCCTTTGAGCTCCTATGCTTTGGCCCACTCCCACGCTGTGGAGTGTACTTTCATTTTTTCAATAAACCTGTTCATCCCTTCCCTGCTTTGTTTGTGTGTTTTGTCCAGTTCTTTGTTCAAGATGCCAAGAGCCTGGACACTCTCCACTGGTGAAATCACTATTATCATTCAGTTCAAAGAATTTTTAAATTTCCCTCTTGATTTCATTGTTGACCCAGTGATCATTCAAGAGCAGGTTATTTAATTTCTATGTATTTGCCTGGTTTTGAGGGTTCCTTTTGGAGTTGATTTCCAGTTCTAATCTACTGTGGTATGAGAGAGTACTTGATACAATTTCAGTTTTCTTAAATTTACTGAGACTTGTTTTGTGGCCTATCATATGGTCTGTCTTGGAGAATGTGCCATGTGCTGATGAATAGAATGTATATTCTGCAGTTGTTGAGTAGAATGTTCTGTAAATATCTGTTAAGTCCTTTTGTTGTAGAATATAGTTTAAGTCCATTGATTCTTTGTAGACTTTCTGTCTTGATGACCTGTCTAGTGCTGTCAGTGGAGTATTAAAGTCCGCCACTATTATTGTGTTGCTGCCTATCTCCTTAGGTCAAGTAGTAATTGTTTTATAAATTTGAGAGCTCCAGTGTTAGGTGCATCTATATTTAGAATTGTGATATTTTCCTGCTCGACTAGTCCTTTTATCATTATATGATGTCCCTCTTTGTCTTTTATAACTGTTGTTGCTTTAAAGTTTATTTTGTCTGATATAAGAATAGCTCCTCCTGCTCATTTTTAGTGTCCATTTGCATGGAATATCTTTTTCCACCCCTTTACCTTAAGTTTATGTGAATCCGTATGTGTTAGGTGAGTCTCCTGAAGACAGTAGAAACTTGATTGGTGAATTCTTATTCATTCTGCCATTCCGTATCTTTTAAGTGGGGCATTTAGGTCATACACATTCAATGTTAGTGTTGAGATATGAAGAGCTATTCTATTCATAATGCTATTTTTTTGCCTGAATACCTTGGGTTTTTTTTTTCATTGTGTTATTATTATATAGGTCCCATGAGATTTATGCTTTAAGGAGGTTCTGTTTTGGTGTATTTCATGGATTTGTTTCAAGATTTAGAGCTCCTTTTAGCAGTTCTTGTAGTGCTGGCTTGGTAGTGGCGAATTCTCTCAGCATTTGTTTGTCTGGAAAAGAATGTATCTTTCCTTCATGTATGAAGCTTAGTTTCACAAAATTATTGGCTGATACTTGTTTTGTTTAAGGAGGCTAAAAATAGGACCTCAATCCCTTCTAGCTTGTAGGGTTTCTGCTGTTAATCTGATAAGTTTTCCTTTATGGGTTACTTGATGCTTTTGCCTCACAGCTCTTAAGATTCTTTCCTTTGTCTTGACTTTAGATAACCTGATGACTATGTGCCTAGGCGATGATCTTTTTGTGATGAATTTCCCAGATGTTTTTTGAGCTTCTTGTATTTGAATGTCTAGATCTCTAGCAAGGCTGGAGAAGTTTTCCTCTATTATTTCCTCAAATATGTTTTCCATACTTTTAGATTTATCTTCTTCCTTGAGAACACCAATTATTCTTAGGTTTGGACATTTAACATAGTTTCAAACTCCTTGGAGGCTTTGTTCATTTTTAAAAATTCTTTTTTGTCTCTGATGGATTGGGCAGATTCAAAAGCCTTGTCTTTGAGCTCTGAATTTCTTTCTTCTGCTTGTTCAATTTTATTGCTGAGACTTTCCAGTGCATTTTGCATTTCTCTAAGTGTGTCCTTGATTTCCAGAAGTTGTGATTGTTTTTTATTTATGCTATCTATTTCACTGAAGAATGTTCCTTTCATATCCTGTATCATGTTTTTGATTTCTTTAAGTTGGACTTCACTTTACTCTGGTACCTCTGTAGCAGGATGATCCACAGACAAAACCTCTCAGACACCAAGTTGTAGAAGGAAGGGCTTTATTCAGCTGGGATCATCAGCCAGCTACTGTCTCAAAATCCGAGCTCCCCGAGTGCACAATTTCTGTCCCTTTTAAGGGCTCACAACACTAAAGATTTCACATGAAAGGGTCGTGATTGATTTGAGCAAGCAAGGGGTACGTGACAGGGGCTGCATGCACCGGTAGTCAGGGAGGAACAGAACAGGGCAGGGAGTTTCACAATGTTCTTCTATACAATGTAAGGAATCTATGAATAACATCTGCTTCTAAATCATAAGTTGATTTTTAACTACTGGGTTTAGGCCAGGTGGGCCCAGGCCTGGTTTCGGGCCTGGCGCCAGGCTGCCTGTCTTTGGTTTTACTTCCTTGTTGTTTTTACTGAATATGAAACAATATAAAACAATGTGAGAGGGTCTTTCTCTCCTCTCACCTCCTTGATTAACTTAATAATCGACCTTCTGAATTCTTTTTCTGGCAATTCAGAGATTTCATCTTGATTTGGATCCATTGCTGATGTGAAAGGAAAATAAATCTTGGGGCCCCTAAATCACTAAGCTAAAGAGAAAAGTCAAGCTGGGAAATGCTTGGGGCAAACCTGCCTTCCATTCTATTCAAAGTCACCCCTCTGCTCACTGACATGGATGCATATCTGATTGCTTCCTTCGAAGAGGCTGATTAGAAACTCGTAAGAATGCAACTGTTCCTCTCACCTGTCTGTGACCTGGAAGTCCCCTCCCCACTTTGAGTCTTCCTACCTTTGCTTCAAGTTGTCCTGCCTTTCCAGACTGAACCAATGTACTTCTTATGTATATTGATTAATGTCTCATGTCTCCCTAAAATGTATAAAACTAAGCTGTGCCCTGACCACCTTGGGCTCATGTCGTCAGAACTTGCTAAGGCTGTGTCACGGGTGCATCGTCAACCTTGGCAAAATAAACTTTCTAAATTGAGACCTATTTCAGATTTTCTGGGTTCACACTGGTAAGCTGGTATGATCTTTTGGGGGTGTTAAAGAACCTTGCTTTGTCATATTATCAGAATTGTTTTTCTGATTCCTTCTCATTTGGGTAGACTGTCAGAGGGAAGATTTGGGATTCAAGGGCTGCTGTTCAAATTCTTTTGTCCCACCGGGTGCTCCCTTGATGTGGTGTTCTCCCCCTTCCCCTAGGAATGGGGCTTCCTGAGAGCTGAACTGTAGTGTCTGTTTTTGCTCTTCTGAGTCTAGCCACCCTGTGGAACTACTGGGCTCTGGGCTGGTACTAGGAGTGTCTGCAAAGAGTCCTGTGATGTGATCTATCTTGAGGTCTTAGAGCCATGGCTACCAGCACCTGCTCTGGTGGAGGTAGCGGGAGAGTGAAGTGGACTCTGTGAGGATCCTTGGTTGTGTTTTTGTTTGGTGCACCGGTTTTGTGTTGGTTGGCCTCCAGTCGGGAGGTGGCACTTGCAAGATCACATTGGCTGTGGTTTTATAGGAAGGATGCAAACCTGGTTAAGTATTCTGGTTTCTCAGGCGGTGGGCAGGGCCATAGAGATCCCAAGAGATTATAACTTTTGTCTTCAGCTAGCAGGGCAGGTAGAGAAAGACCACCAGGTGGGAGCAGGGATAGGTGTGTCTGAGCTCAGCCTCTCATTTGGCGGGGCTTGCTGTGGCTCCTGTGTCAGGGGGTGTGGTTCCCAGTCCAATGGAGTTATATTCCCAAGGGGATTATGGCTGCCTCTTCTGAGTCACCAAGGAAGTGGGGAAAGTTGGCAGTCTAAGGCCTCACCTTGCTCCCATGCAGCCCGCAGTGCTAAAGGCCAGCGTCACTCCCACTGTGCCCCCACAACAGTACCACGTCTATTTCCAGGCAGCCAGTGACCTGGGCTGAGAACTTGCTCCAGACCACGAGCCTTCCTGTTGAGAAACCAAGCAGACTCACAGTTTTTTGGCATCTCAGGGAGCCTGGATTGGTGATCCAGTTCCTTCAAAGGCTCTGTAGATTCTCTTGGCTTTCCTGGTATGTTCTTGTGGTAGTTCTTGGAGCAAAAGTCTCCACATGCTATTCTATCCATCCGAGTGGGAGCTGCATGCTAGTCCTGCCTCCTATCTGCCATCTTTCCCCACATGAGATATATTTTGATATACTTTCACATTCAAGGTATTTGTCTTTGGATCTAAAATGAGTCTTTTATAGATAGTATATAGCTGGATAATACTTTTTAAAAAATACATTCTTCTAATCTCTGCTTTTTAACTGGAGAATATAATCCATTTTCTTTTAAAGAAATTACTGGTAAAGAAGGGCTTGTTTCTGCCATTTTGCTACTTGTTTTTTATGTCGTATCTTTTTTTGTTCCTTAATTCCTTTACTACTGCCTTCTTTTGTGTTTAGTTGATTTTCTTGTAGTGTGCCATTTTGATTCCCTCCTCATTTTTTTTTCTGGATATCTTAAAGATACTTTCTTAATGGTTACCCTAAGAATTACAACTAACATTCTAAATTCATAATAATCTAGTTTGAATTGATACCTGCTTAGCTTCAATAGCATACAGAAACTCTGTGCCTGTACAGCTGTCTTCTCCTCCTTTATGTTATTGTCACAAATTACATCTTTAGAAATTGTGTTCCTGTTAACATAGATTAATAATTTTTCTTGTATTTATTTGTCTTTTAAATCATATAGGAAAAAGAAGTGATTTATATACCAAACATACAATAATACTAGATTTTTATATTTATCTGTGTAGTTATCTTTACCAGAGATCTTATCTTTTTTCTTTATATGGCATCAATTTATTGTTACTATCCTTTCATTTTAACTGAAAGAACTTTCCTTAGTATTTCTTATAGGGAAGGTCTGCTGGTGATGAGCTTCCTCAACCTTTGTTATCTGAAAATGTCTTAATTTCTATTTCATTTTGAAGAATCATTGTGCCATATATAGAATTATTGGTTGACAGACTTGTTTTTCTTTTATCACTTTAAATATATCAATTCACTGCCCTCTGGTCTTTGTGGTTTCTGATGAGAAATCATCTGTAAGTCTTCCTTAGGATCCCTTGCATGTGACTATTCAGGTCTCTCTTGCTGCTTTCAAGACTCTCTCTTTGTCTTTTGACAATTTGATTATAATGTATATTGGTGTGAATGTCTTTGAGTTTCTCCTACTTGAGGTTTGTTTAGCTTCTTGGATGTGTAGATTGATGTCTTTCAGCAAATTTGGGAACTGTTTGGCCATTATTTCTTCAAATATTCATTTTATACCTTTCTCTCCTCTCCTTCTGGTACTCTCATAATGCATATGTTGTTATGCTTGATGTTGTATCGCAGGTCTTTTAGGCTCTGCTTATTTTTCTTCACCCATTTTTCTCTCTGCTCCTCCAATTGGGTAATCTCAATTGACCTATCTTCAAATTCACTGATTCTTTGTACTGCCTGCTCAAATATGCTGTTGAACCCACCTAGTAAACATTTTCATTTCAGTTATAATTTTTAACTCTAAATTTCTACTTAGTTCCTTTTTATAATTTTTCTTTCTTTATTGATATCCTTTATTTATTGAGACATCTTTTGGTTTTATTTGTTTCTTTGTTCATAGTTTCCTTTAACTCTTTGAACATACTTAAGACAAGTGTTTTAAACTCTTTGTCTAGGAAGCTCAATGTCTGAGCTACCTCAAGGATAGTTTTTGTTAATTAATTAATGTTCTCTGTAAATGGGCGATATTTTCCTGTTTTTTGCATGCCTTATAAATTTTTGGTTAAAAACTGGACATTTTGAATATTCTAATGTGGTAACTCTGGAAATCAGATTCTCCTCACCCTCCCCAGAGTTTGCTGCTATTGTTTGTTATATGCTGCCATCGTCTTTTTCTTTTGTGACTTTTTCAAACTGTTTTTGGCAAAGACTGTATTCTTTGTTGTATATGGTCACTGAATTCTACATCTGTTAGCTCAGTGGTCAGCCAGTGTCTTGAAAGAGATTTTCTTAAATGCTAAAATGTAGCACCTCTTTCTTCATAAAATACTCCATAGTTGTTTTAAGTTTTTTTCTTAATTGGATCCAGGGTTCTAAAAAAGTTTGATTCTGTTAGTTTTTGCCAACTCTATGGTTGCTTCAGTAGAGAAACAAATTCTTGGCACTCTCTATTTCATCATTCTCAGTGATGTTACTTGGTTGATTTTTTTTAAGCAAATTACTTGATTGGACTCAAACTATAAGTTTGGTGTTGCTTGCAGTCAGTTGTAACCAAAATATCAATTAAGTTTTTTTTGTTTTTGTTTTTTTGTTTTTGTTTTTTTTGAGATGGAGTCTTGCTCCGTCACCCAGGCTGGAGTGCAGTGGCGTGACCTCGGCTCACTGCAAGCTCTGCCTCCCGGGTTCACGCCATTCTCCTGCCTCAGCCTCCCGAATAGCTGGGACCACAGGCACCCACCACCGCACCCGGCTAATTTTTTTGGTATTTTTAGTAGAGACGGGGTTTCACCATGTTAGCCAGGATGGTCTTGGTCTCCTGACCTCATGATCCACCCACCTCAGCCTCAAGTTTTTTAAGACTTAGCTACATGCTGCTTTGAGTTTTCCCCAGACACTTGTGGTTCAGGGTCATCCCAGGAATGTAGGAAGAGTTTATAGATAGAACTCAATCTTCTCTCTGGTTCTTTCCTTTCTGGATGCCCTCTGGTCTCTGTGATTTCTAATGAGAAATCAGTTGTAAGTCTTCCTTAGGATCCCCTGCATGTGACTATTCAGGTCTCTCTTGCTGCTTTCAAGATTCTGTCTTTGTCTTTTGACAATTTGATTATAATGTATCTTGGTCTACCCTGACTTCCCTACCCCATCCTACTCCTGACTTTTCAGACATGATGGTTGTTCTCGTCTGTCTTCTGGTTCTTCTGGCTTGAGGGATGCAGATTTTCTATTAAAGTGTTAGTCATTGTGCTTGGCATTATAACTGTAGCCTGTAAAATCAGGAAAATCATCCTGCGCTTATCCTTTCTTTCAAGTTTTTGACATCTCTTTAGGCTTTGTCTGCTTTTTGTTGCTCTCCAGAATCTTCAAGTAGTTAAAAAAAAAAATCCCCCCAGAGTTAATAATTGTTATCTGTGGGGAAGGGTGGAGAGGAGAGGAAGTCTGTTAGGAGCTCTCTCTACCATACCTATAGCAGAATTGATTAGAACAGGTTTGAAATCCAGTTCTGGTGCCTACTTGTTTATATGGCCAACCACAATTAGTGCTTTCCTAAGAGAACAGGAATTTTTTAAAATTTTAATCATTTTCAAGTGTACAATATAGTGACATTAAGTACATTCACATTGTTGTATAATCATTACCACTATCCATCTCCAGAACTTTTACATTTTCCCAAACTGAAACTCTGTACCTATTAAATAACTTTTATTTTACTTAAGAGAAGAAAAAAGAACTGAGGTGAAACTGAAGAAACCAATGAACTTCAAATAAATGTATCTTCAGCTCAAGAGATGTTATCTCATTAAAGAAGCATAAGATTAAGAAATTAAAAGAATTATGAAAAACGCTGAGGTTGGAGTCATTATTTTTTAATTTCTCATTTCAATTTTAGAAGAAACAGTCATGCATGTATAATGTGTCTGTCAGTGATGGACCACATATACAATGATGATCCCATAAGAGTATAATGGAACTGAAAAAGAAATTTTTTTGGAGACAGGGTCTCACTATGTTGCTCAGACTAGAGTGCGGTGGAGAGATCACAGCTCACTACAGCTTCAACCTCCCAGGCTCAAGCAATCCCCCCACCTCACACTCCCAAGTAGCTAGGACCACAGGCACATGCCACCATACCTGGCTGATTTTTAAAAATTTTGTAGAGACTGCATGTCACTATGTTGTTCAAGCTGGCTTCAAGCGATCATTCTGCCTCAGCCTCCAAAAATGCTGGGATTACAGGCATAAACTACTGCACCCAGCCTGTAAAATTCTTATTACCTAATCCCAGCACTTTGGGAGGCTGAGGCAGGTGGATCACCTGAGGTCAGGAGTTCAAGACCAGCCTGGGCAACATGGTGAAAACCCATCTCTACTAAAAATACAAAAATTAGCTGGGTGTGGTGGCAAGTGCCTATAATCCCAGCTACTCGAGAGGATGAGGCAGGAGAATCACTTGAGCCCAGGAGGCGGAGGTTGCAGTGAGCCGGGATTGTGACATTGCACTCCAGCCTGGGCGACAGAGCAAGACTCCATTTCAAAAAAAAAAAAAAAAAAAAAAAATTCTTATTACCTAGTGACATCATAGCCCTCATGGTGCAACGCATTACTCATGTGTTTGTGGTGACGCTGGTATAAACAAAGCTACTGTGCTGCCAGTCATATGAGTATAGCACATACAATTATCTATATTATACAATACTTGATAATAATAAAGGGCTATGTTACTGGTTTATATATTTACTATCCTATGCTTTTTATCATTATTTTACAATGTACTTCTACTTATAAAAGAAAGTTAACTATAAAACAGTCTCAGGCAGGTCCTTTGGGAGGTATTCCAGAAGAAGGACAGCTCAATGCATGTTATTGCCCCCTGAAGATCTTCCAGTGGGACAAGATGTGGAGGTGGAAAACAGTGATATTGATGATCCTGATCCCACATAGGCCCAGGCTAATGTGTGTGTTTCTGTCTTAGTTTCTTTTTTTTTTTTCTGTCTTAGTTTCGAGCAAAAAAATTTAAAGGTAAAATATATATATATGTATATATATTTCTTGAGACAGAGTCCACTTTGTCGCCCAGGCTGGAGTGCAGTGGTGCGATCTCACCTCACTGCAAGCTCTGCCTCCCGGGGACACGTCATTCTCCTGCCTCAGCCTCCTGAGTAGCTGGGACTACAGGTGCCCGCAACCACGCCTGGCTAATTTTTTGTTTTAGTAGAGACGAGGTTTCACTGTGTTAGCTGGGATGGTCTTGATCTCCTGACCTCATGATCCGCCCACCTCGGCCTCCCAAAGTGCTGGGATTACAGGCATGAACCACCGCACCCAGCCAGTAAAAAAATATTTTTTAATAGAAAAAAATTATACAACAAGGATATAAGGATATTTTTGTACATCTGTACAGTATGTTTATGTTTTAAGCCAAGTGTTATTATGAAAGAGTCAAAAAGCTTTTAAACATGTAAAAGTTTATAAAGTTAAAAAGTTATAGTAAGCTAAGGTTAATTTATTATTGAAAAGGAAAATATTTTTAACAAATTTAATGTAGCCTAAGTATATAGTATTTTTAAAGTCTACAGTAGTGTACTGTAATGTCCTAGACCTTCACATTCACTCACCACTTACTCACTGACTCACCCAGAGCAACTTCCAGTATGGCAAGCTCCATTCATGGTAAGTGGCCTATGCAGATGTAGCTTTTTCATCTTTTATATCATATTTTTACTGTACCTTTTTTGTTTAGATACATTTAGACAGACGAATAGTTACCATTGTGTTATAATTGCCTACAGTATTCAATATAGTAACATGCTGTACAGGTTTGTAGCCTGGAAGCAACAGGCTATGCCGTAGAGCCTAGCTGTGTAGTAGGCTATGCCATCCAGGTTTGTGTAAGCACATTATGACATTGCCTAATGATGTTGCCTAATGCATGTCTCAGAAAATATCTCTGACTTTAAGTGATGCATGACTCTGTTGACTTGGTACACTTATTCTCACTTTCCGTTGATCCTCAGAAATGTTAGTTATATCATTAATTTTATTTGGTCAAGGTTTAAAACATTGATTTCTACTGTGTAGTTATAATTCCCAAAGTTCTTTAGTCTTAGTTCTACATTTAAACAGATTTTGTAGTGCTCATAATCATTCATTTGTCACTGCTTCTCTATTCCATAATGCTTTATTTTGACTTAACCATTGGTTTTCTGAATTTCTTTTATGTAGCAGGTTTTTTAATGAAAAGCTCATGGGTGCTGTACTTTCTGAGTTCCTGAGAATATTTGCCTGTTGCCTTTGGGCTTGAATGACTTCAGAGACATTGTTCCACAATGTTGTGACATTGAATAATGCTAAGGAGAAGACTTTTCCTTCTTAAGTGCTTGAAATATTTTATCTTTATCCTTGAAGTTTGATAACTTAATCATGGTATGTGTAGGTATTGATCTTCCTGCACCAATTATTCTTGAAATAAGAATAGGTTACCTAGAGTGCTGCAGAATTAGTTCTTTATTTCATGGAACTTTCCTGCTGTTTATCTTTGAATATGCTTTCCATTGCATTCACTGGGATTTCTACTTCAAGGACACCAAATAATCTTCTGGTAAACAATTTTCTTTTATACTTTTTATCTTCCCTCCATTTAGGTATTGGGAAGAGGGAGAGCCTCTCTCTTTTTTGTAACCTGGAAGTCATCAGTAAATTAATCCAAGAAACATCTCTATTAAATGAGTACATTTGTAAAACCAATCAACCAACATCCACTGATGACCTGCTATTCACCATACAATTCATTCAGTCACAAGATTTAGCCCCTGTTCTGTGCCAGACTCTGTGCTGAGTCCCAGGGACTGAGATGACTTACACCTGGTTTATTAGGCTGTTCTTGCATTGCTATAAAGAAATATGTGAGACTGGGTAATTTGTAAGAGAAGAGGTTTAATTGGCTTAGGGTTCTGCAGTCTGTACAGGAAGCATGGCACTGGCAGCTGCTTCTGGGGAGGCCTTAGGAAGCTTACAATCATAGTGGAAGGTGAAGAGGGAGCAGGCATTGCACATGGCAGGAGCAGGAGCAAGGGAGGTAGGAGGTGCCACACACTTTTAAACAACCAGATGTCATGAGAACTCATTTACTATGGTAAGGACAGCACCACCATAAGGGATCCACCCCCATGACCCAAACACCACCCCCCTTGACTCCCCACCTCCAATATTGGGGATTACATTTCAACATGAGATTTGGACAGGGAGAAATATCCAAACCATTTCACCTGGTCTCCACCTCCAGCCTTGCGGGGTAATGAGGACACAGGTATAATCAGAAGGTGAAGCAGAATTGAGATGAGCAAGAGGCCCAAGAGCAAAGTAGGGGCCATACTCAAATAAGGCAGTTGATACAGATCTGAAGCATCAGATCTGTAGGGGAAACACAAGACCATCTGTGGGAAAGAAAATGAGGAGTCAGTACTTCAGAATACTGGAATCATGTTGGGAGTACAAGATGGGTTGGGACGAAGGCCTCAGGATGGTGGTGGTGAATGAGGTGATGGTGCTGGCTGTGTGGCCATGGGGCAGAGAAGCCACTTTACAGGTACTTAGACTAAATTGTAGGTCTGAGTCTCCTGAGCCCTTCCCTTGTCCTCCCTCCACATCGCTCTTGGGTGCATTTCTTCCTCCTGAGCTTTTCTCCATCAGCTGCTTTTCCTAGCAGCCTTGTCCTCGCAGCTGGTTCTGATTTTGTCCCCAGGTCCACCAGTCTAGGCAGCCTTGGAGGCACCTTTCTTAGACTTTCCTGTGGGAGAAAGTCTATGGTGCTTGTGGGTGGGAGAAGGAAACAAACAAAATAATTTTTCTTTGCACCCCACCTTCTAAAGATGATGTCAGAAGGAAAGTCCTGAGTAAAGAAGAGGCTGGAGTCTGGGAGAAAAAGGACAAAAGCATTAAGGAATCTTGAAATCACACTGACTTTTCAAGCTGTGCTCTATAGCTATTCTGGTCCCTGTGATCCTTTCCTGGGTAGGACTCACCCTGACCTATCCTTTCTCCAGGGACAAAGCAGCTGGGCTGTTGGGAAGATACAATAATTGATTGGCTCTGCTGTGTATTAGTCAAAACATTTTTGGTTGCACAGGGTAGAAGTTCAGCTCAAACTAGCTGTACTAGTCTGGCAAATAGCAGAAAACAACTCTGGCTGGTTTAATCAACAGATAATTTTACCAAAGGATATTAGGTATCTCACAAAATCTCTATAGGGCCAGAGATCTGGGTCATATGTCTGAGCTCTACTTGCAAGGGAGACTGGAAAGCAAGTAAAGGCTTTTTCTTCTTCAGTGGGAGGAGAAGGTGGGAAACTCTTCAAACATAGGAAGCTTCTGGGCAGCCAAGATAATGACAATGTCCAACACACCAGCTTGAGTAAACACAAAATTCATTTGTTCACTTAACTGGGATGTCCATGGGGATAGTTTGGCTTCTAATGTGGCTGACCCAAGATATCAACTGATCATTCTGTTCTTGCTCCATCTCTCAAAGATATTTTCCCCATATTGGTTTCATTCTCAGATAAGTCCTTTCCAGAGTCACATTATAACTTTCATGGGCCCTTGGTACTTTTGCTTTTTGGGTTCCTCCCTCCATACAACAATATTAAAAATTATATTTTTATAATTGCATGGGTATAAAGTTGAATACAATCCAGGCTAGACTGTATTCCTTTTCTTCTGATTTTAAAAGAGTTAAAACATTTTCATGGGCTCCTGAAAGTATAGTGGGCCCTAGGCACTTTCCTACTGTTCCTAATGAATAACTCAGTCCTGGCTCTTTTTCCTGAATGGAGGAGTTGGCCAGTAGCAAATCCTGACTCACAGAGCTTACTCCATCCTTGCAGCTCCTGATCCCAAGTGATGAAAGTGCACAATACTCTCTCTCGCATTGTATGTAGTATTGGCTCATTTGTAGAAGAATTGTTGTGTTCAGGACATGGGGATTTTCTAGTTAGACCGGGTCATGTGCCCATCCTTGAGGTGGAGAGTGTGGTGCTGTGTGGTCACCAGCCCCACTAGAATCGCACGGAGTTGGGGGAGTTGCAGTTCCTAAAAACAAGAGCTACTGGGCACACAGGAAAGTAATAGGTATCCACTCCAGCACCACAGTGAAGATGTTGCAGGTGGAGAAGAGGTTCACATCATAAATGATCTGGCCTTACCAGGAAGTGACTGAACCATTTGGCAGCTTTGACCTTCATGTAAGTTTGCCCCTGAGTATCATCTTGGGAGGTGCCAAGCACTTCCTGGCAGGTGGGCTGGAAAGTTTATTTATTTGTTCAGGTACCATCAGTGAATAGGTATAAAATCATAGAGCCAAAGTTCCCAGATTGTTAGACTCTTAGACTTAAAATTTTAAGAATTTGGAATCATTGAAACTTAGATTCTAAAGATTTTAGCACATTAGTCTCCAAAAATCTAAAATATCTAAAATCATGGAATTTTAGATTTTTACATTCTTCCCCTTAGAATCTTTGTGAACTCAAATTTACAAGAAAAAAACAAACAACCCCATCAACAAGTGGGCGAAGGACATGAACAGACACTTCTCAAAAGAAGACATTTATGCAGCCAAAAAACACATGAAAAAATGCTCACCATCACTGGCTATCAGAGAAATGCAAATCAAAACCACAATGAGATACCATCTCACACCAGTTAGAATGGCAATCATTAAAAAGTCAGGAAACAACAGGTGCTGGAGAGGATGTGGAGAAATAGGAACACTTTTACACTGTTGGTGGGACTGTAAACTAGTTCAACCATCGTGGAAGACAGCGTGGCGATTCCTCAGGGATCTAGAACTAGAAATAGCCTTTGACCCAGCCATCCCATTACTGGGTATATACCCAAAGGACTATAAATCATGCTGCTATAAAGACACATGCACACGTATGTTTATTGCAGCACTATTCACAATAGCAAAGACTTGGAACCAACCCAAATGTCCAACAATGATAGACTGGATTAAGAAAATGTGGCACATATACACCATGGAATACTATGCAGCCATAAAAAATGATGAGTTCATGTCCTTTGTAGGGACATGGATGAAATTGGAAATCATCATTCTCAGTAAACTATCACAAGAACAAAAAACCAAACACTGCATATTCTCACTCATAGGTGGGAACTGAACAATGAGAACACATGGACACAGGAAGGGGAACATCACATGTGGGGACAGTTGTGGGGTGGGGGGAGGGGGGAGTGATAGCTTTAGGAGATATACCTAATGCTAAATGACGAGTTAATGGGTGCAGCACACCAGCATGGCACATGTATACATATGTAACTAACCTGCACATTGTGCACATGTACCCTAAAACTTAAAGTATAATAATAATAAAATAAAAAATAAAAAATAAAAAAAGAATCTTTGTTTCTAAATTTTAAAACTTTACAATCTCAAACCATAGACCTCAAATCTGAGAACTTTAGAATCTTATACTCTAAGAATGGTTTCAACATGATAGAATATTAGGATATTTGAGGGAAAATCTTGAATCTCAGAATCTTGCCTTGGGAGTCATGAGTCTTCCAAATCAGAGAAGCTTGGGCTCAGACCCCTGGTCTCCTGACCCTAGGATCTCTGAGCTGTCAGGGACTTAAAGTCAGGAAAGAACCATATTTGGCAACTCAGACCTTTATAAAGAGGCACTGGGGTGGATGGTGAATTTAGAGTCCCAGGGGTCAGTTTCTGTTCTGACTGCCCCATCTTGAACCTGACCTGATCCTTGCCCAGGTACCTCCCAGTCTCCTTCAGAGCCTAGAACCCGAATCTTCCACACCCCCAACCCATGCCACCCCAACCCATGCCACCCCATCTTCTTGGGGCTGTTTCTTTTCTTCTTGTGCCTAGGGTGCCCAAGCCTTCCCTGGTAACCACTCACATGAATAGGATCCCAAACTGGGCAGATGAGCCCATTGGAGAGGGCAATAGGTTCCTTCCCCAGACCTTTTCCTAGGGCTCTCTGAGCCTTCTGGAGGCTAGGACTCCTTCTCTGAATATTATGTCTCTGGAACCTAGAGGAGTCATCCAGTAAGATACAGATATGCCAGTGGAATCTCACAAGGCTCTTACAAGGTGCCATAGAGCAACTGTTGGCTTTGTCTAGGTTCTGATATTCAGTAGCACCCTAATGTTTCCTTCATACTACTCGGGTCTGATAGCCACCTCTCCATGAGGAGCCTTAATTAAGCAGCTGAGGGACAGGAAAATTTCCTGAAACTAGAGATTATTCAAGACAATCTACTGAGAATAAAAGGTAACACAAAATAATATTTACTCCTTGATGTGGTTTGGATCTGTGTCCCTGCCCAAATCTCGTGTCAAATTATAATCCCCAATGTTGAACGTGGGGCTTGGTGGGAGGTGATCGGATCATGGTGGTGGATTTCTCAGGAATGGTTGAGCACCATCCCCTTGGTGCTGTTCTCATCACAGTTGGTGAGTTCCTGTGAGATCTGGTTGTTTAAAAGTGTGTGGCACCTCCTGCCTTGCTCTCTCTCTTGCTCCTGCTCTGGCCATGTAAAGTGCCTGCTCCCTCTTGGCCTTCTGCAGTGATTGTAATTTTCCTGCAGCCTCCCGAGAAGCCAAGCAGATGCCAGCATCATGCTTCCTATGCAGCCTGTAGAACCATGAGACAAACCCCTTTTCTTTATAAAGTACCCAACCTCAAGTATTTCTTTATAGCATTACGAGAATGGACTTAATACACTCCTGAAGTTTTTTTCTGGTGGTCATTAATTTGTTTTAAGCAGAAGTCTTCATAATTATATCTATGCATTTATATATAATATATATTTATATTCTGTGTATCAGAAGGTTTTGAGATAGCTTTAGAAACTATAGACAAAGTTTTTAAAAAAGGAAAAAACATAACAAAAAATAAGTTAGCAGGAGAGAGAATAACAATTGATATTTTTAGGCACTTGAATAAGAGAGGTGCAAAAGATGAGGAAGCGGCTGAGTTCCTGTCAGCTAAGGCAAAAAAGAATCTGGCTGGGTACAAAGCATTTCATTACCCAGCAAAAAAAGGAAAATAGTTTGCTTTTATGTAAAACATTTTTCTTCCACTATCTTTAAGGAGAAAGTTATTGGGCAAAACTGAGTAATATTATGGGGATGACATTAAATTAATCAATTCTGCACAATAATATTAAAAGCTAATGCTTACTGAGTGCTTACTATGTGCTTTCTTGTGTTAGAAATGCAAATCCAGCTGAGTGCAGTGGCTCACGCCTGTAATCCCAGCATTTTGGGAGGCCAAGGTGGATGGATCACCTGAGGTCAGGAGTTCGAGACCAGCCTAGCCAAATGGTGAAACCCTGTCTCTACTAAAAATACAAAAATTATTCAGGTGTAGTGGCGTGTGCCTGTAATCCCAGCTACTTGGGAGGCTGAGGCAGGAGAATCGCTTGAACCCAGGAGGCGGAGGTTGCAGTGAGCCGAGATCGCACCACTGCACTCCAGCCTGGGTGACACAGCAAGACTCTGTCTCAAAAAAAAAAAAAAAAAAAGAAATGCAAATCCTTCAGCATCACCCAAGATCTATGTGATTAAAAAAATCAGGTTACAGCCCAGGCACCTGTGTTTTCATGAGCTGTCACTATGATTTCTATGCACACTAAAGTTTGAGAACCCCTGGTGTAGAGGATCAGGCACTGAGAGAAGGGGCACCCTGGAATTCTGTGTCGCCATGAATCACCCTCCAGATCCTCAAGCCTCTTGAGGAGAATGGACCTTTGACTTTGTTTTTACTCATTCTTCTTATAAGGCTAAGGGGAGGGGCACTTAATGAGCAAAGACAGCTTAATGGAAATGAAATGGACCTCAGCCAGGAAACCGGGGCCATAGCTCCAGTTTTTCTTTAATTTCTCTGATCCTCTCTGTCTGGACGTGAGTCTATCCATCCATGCAATGTAGGAGCTGATGAAATGATTGTTCAGAGAGAGGGAGGGAACTAATTGTGAGTGACACCATGGGCCAAGGGCTGAACTAATTAAGCCACTCTGTGTCCCAGGCCCTCTGAGAGGTGCTGTGGATACAGAGATGAAAAAGAGGCCCAGTTTCCATCCTCACATGGCTTCATTCTTCTCATAAAAAACACATACAAGTAACAACAAGGTAATTATAATTCAGTGTGATAAGGGCAGTTGTTGGTAACCAACATACTAGCTAGAAACTGGTTTTCTTTCTCTAGCATAACAATTAGAAAAAAGTTTAAATTTTTTCACAATAGTAACATAAATAATAAAGTTTATCCTACCAAAAATGACTACCAAGTTTGTTGAAAAAAATTAAAAACTAAAAGAAGATTCAAATAAATGGGGAGCTATATCCCCATTTATAGTGGGAGGGGTAGCATAATGCAACCCCCTGAAAATTATTGCTGAATTTTTGAGAGAGCTTGCAAACTTACTGCAAAATTTATTTATTTATTTAGAGACAGAGTTTTGCTCTTGTCACCCAGGCTGGAGGGCAATGGCATGATCTTGGCTCATTGCAAACTCTGCCTCCTGGGTTCAAGCAATTCTCCTGCTTCAGCCTCCCAAGCAGATGGGATTACAGGCACCCGCCACCACACCTAGCTAATTTTTGTATTTTTAGTAGAGACAGGGTTTCACCATGTTGGCCAGGCTAGTCTCAAACTCCTGACCTCAGGTGATCCATCTGCCTTGGCCTCCCAAAGTGCTGGGATTACAGGCATGAGCCACTGCACCTGGCCCAAAATTTAAATGAAAGAATAAAGACAAACAAATAGCTAAGTCAATTTTAAAAAACATGAAGGGGCTTCCATTATCAGCTAGGATAAAAGCTAGGATAAAAGACATACTTCAAAGCTATAATAATAAAATAGTATTGTTCTGGCATAACAATAGACAAAATAATAATGGAATATAATAGATAGCTCAGAGGTAGATGAGGTGTGTAGGAATTTGATATTGATAAAGATGGTACTACAAAACAATGAGGAAGGACAGATTTTTTTTAAAAGATAGATTTAAGAAAAAAATGGCTTCTGATATGAAGAAAAAGAAAGAGGAATTTCTTCCTTATACCCTAAACAGAGAGGAACTCCACATGATTTTAAGATATAAGTTTGAAAAATAAAACTAGGAAGCTAATGAAAAAACTGCTGGGAAATACCTTTATGATATAAAAAGAAGAAAAGACTAAAACTCCACAGGCCATAAGGTTTAAATGTGATGGATTTGACTACATCAAATTAGATATTTCTGCTCAATGGAGAATAGATTATAAACTGGGAAAACATATTTGCAAGTTAAAGTTGACACGGCATGAACATGTGGAAGTCCTGCAAAGCAATACAATAAGATAGAAGATCCAAAGAAATGAGCAAAATTTCTCAATAAGATTTGCAAAGGGGGCATGCTAAGTGCTAACAAGTATTTAAAGAGTGTTTCTATTTATTAGTAATCAGAAAGGTGCATATTAGGCAGAACGAAGTAGCTCTTTAGCCTGATAAGAATGGCAAAAATTAGAAAGCTGGATAATAGCAAGTCTTGATGAAGATGTGGAAAGATGGGAACTGTTTAGTCCATTATTGCTGGGAGTGTAAATGGCACAGCCATTCTAGGAAACAATCTCAAAGTACAGTCAACTGTCATTATTTACAGTAGTTATGTTTTATAAAGTTGCCGCAAACACTGAATTAGTGAATACTGAATCATTTCTCTAGGGGAAATACAGGATTAGGTTTCTGCAAGCCTCTGGTTACAACATTTTTATCAATCAAACAATGCATAACCTGGTTTTACATATGCTTCTATTTAAATACATTGTATTTAACATGTATTATTGATTTGTTGACATTGAAGTCATGGCCAACAGCACTAGAACTCATGCCTGAACACAGCTTATCTAACACATATTTTTTTTCCACAAGCCTTCTTGCAGTAGAAACACTAGACAGCACTTCAGCACCATGCTTGGAAATATTTTAAACAGTGAAATCACCAACAAAAAGAGCATAAAAATGTGAAAAACATGGCTCTAAATAGCCCGCCAAAAGGGCACTTATTTACAGAGCTGAACCACAAAGGCAGAACGTCATCTTGTTCGATCTCAGCTAGGAACGTGCTCATAGGGTGACTCAGATTTTTGGCCACTGTGTGCATGTTCGAGAACGACCCTGCAAGTTCTGTGAGTGCTGGGGTTAGCAAGCAGGCAAATTTGCAATCTTCAAACGATGGGGATGGACTGTATTTAGCTAAAGGTTATGCATACCCTATGACTAATGTATTTCACTCCTTGATATATATTTCAGGAAAATCCTCCATGGGTCTGTAAAGGGATATAACACAAGGACATTCATGAAGACATAAAGGTAGCAAAGAGTTAGAGGCAATTTAGGTGCCCTCCACTAGGAGAAAAGTAAAAAGTGATCCAATCATACTATGGAATATTATGTATCAGTTGAAACCAATGAAACTAGATGTATAAATAACAACATAAATATATCTTTAAAAAGTAGAATGAGTAAAAAACGTAAGAAATACATTGAGCCATGAAACAATGCTTTTATTGTAAATTAAAATTACACATACATACACAAAGCAGCACTATGCCTTGTGCTTATGTGAGAAAGAGATTGAAGGGGAAAATAAGTAAAACAAGCAAGGGGCCTGCAGAAACTAATGAGTATACCATGCTCTGAGCTCTTTTCTGCTAAGGTCCAAAAAAAAAAAAAAAAAGTGCCATAATGGTGGAATTATAAAGTGCTACAGGGCACCAGCAGGGTGTGGTGGCTCACACCTGCAATCCTATCACTTTGCAGGGCTGAGGTGGGAGGATTGCTTGAGGCCAGGAGCTGGAGACCAGCCTGGGCAACATAGCGAGACTCTCTCTCTCGCTCATAGGGTGACTGGGATTTTTGGCCACTCTGTGCATATATATATGTATGTATTCATACACACACACACACACACACACACACACACACACACACACACACCCTAAAGAATGACATCTACCTCACATTTCAGAATTAGGAGCCAGGGAGGCTTCTAATTCTCTAATTTCCTGGATAATTCCCTGGAGGAGCCTGAGTAAAATGTAAGCAAGTGAGATGGACAAGGAGGAAAAGTGCTTCAGGAAGAGAGAAGAGTTTGCTAGAGTTTGAAGAGAGAATGAGAACTTGATGTGTTTGAGAAACTGAAAAGAAATTCAGAATTGCCATGCAAGAGACAATGGTGAGACTTGAGGCCAAACAGATCGTTCAGGGCTGGATCAGAGAGAGTCTTTAAGTCGCATGGATAGTGGTAATGTGACCAGATCTGTGTGTCAGAAAACCTGCTCTGGCCACTTTCTGTATGGGAACACGGGCACACAAGCAGAGAGATCCGTGAAGAGAATGCTGTGCTCATCCAGAAGAGATCAGATGGTGACACCTGCACCCGGGTCAAGGTTGTGGGGATGGAGAGGAGCCAAGGTGTCTAGGGACACCTTCACAACCAGCAACTCAGGTTCACAGGGGTGAAAAGACTCCACCAAGTGTATAGGGCTTCAAATTCCCTCCCTCTCACCCTTCTTTTTAAGACAAACTGCTCCACTGATTCTTTTTGTAGGTTATTTATTTATTTTAATCAATAAACAAAAACTGTATATATTGGCTGGGCGTGGTGGTTCATGCCTGGAATCCTAGTGCTTTGGGGGGCTGAGGCGGGCAGATCACTTGAGCCCAGGAGTTAGAGACCAGCCTGGGCAACATGGCAAAACCCCATCTGTTTTTATTAACAAAAATAAAATATGAAAAATATTTTAAAACTCTGTATATTTATGGTGTACAACATGATGTCTTGAAATATCAACACGTTGCAGAATGGCTAAATCAAACTAATTAACATGTATATGACTTTAAATACTTATCTTTTTGTAGTGAGAACACAAAATCTATTCTTTTTCAATTTTCAAGTATATAATACATTGTTATTAATTATAGTCATCATGTTGTACAATAGATCTCTTGAACTTATTCCTCCTGCTTAGCTGAAATTTTGTACTCTTTGATTGATATCTTCCCAATCCACCCACCCTCTCTCCCTGAGCTGCTTCCACTGATTAGGTGCCCCTGTTAAATCATATGATTGAACTCATACACTGCCCTCTGGCCACAGCTAATTTGGTCCAGAGCTGGCATCTGACAAAAAGCAGCCAACTCCCAGGCTATCCGTGACCTGTGATCTATGGCCTGGCTTGAAACTATTTAACTTTAAAAAATTGTGGTAAATATACATAACACAATACTTACCATGTAACCATTCTTAAGTGTAGAGTTTGATGGCATTAAGTACATTTACAATACTGTCCAACCATCACTACTAACCATTTCCAGAACCTTGTAATCATCCCAAACAGAAACTCTGTATTTATAAAACAATAACTTCCCATTCTCCTCTCCCCTCAGCTCCTAGTAACCATTGCTCTACTGTCTGTCCCTGTGAATTTGACTATTCTAAGCACCTCATGTAAGTGGAATAATATAATAATTACCCTTTTGTGTCTGGCTTATTTCTTTTAGCATAATGTCTTTAAGGTTCATCCATGTTGGAGCATGTATCAGAATTTCATTCCTTTTCAAGGCTGAATAATATTCCATTTAATGTATATACCACATTTTGTTTTTCCATTCATCTGTCATTGGACATTCAGGTTGTTTCTACCTCTTGATTATTGTGAATAATGCTGCTGTGAACATAAGGATAAAAATATCTCTTCAGGACTCTGCTTTCAATTCTTTTGGATATATAACCAGAAGTGGAATTAATGGGTCATGTGGTATTTATATGTTTAATTTCTTGAGGAACTGCCATATTGTTTTCCATAGCAGCTGCACCATTTACATTCCTACTAATAATGCACAAGGGTTCCAATTTCTCCACATCCTTATCAACACATCATTTTCTGGTTTGCTTATTTTATTAATAATAATTTTATTATTAAATATTTTATTATCATTATAAATTTTTATTAGCTATAATATAATATTAATATTATATAATATACCATATAATAATATATGCTAATATAATAAAGTTATCATATAATTTATCAATATAATATAATAATTAATTATTGATTATTTTAATAATAATTATTAATTTATTATCAGATAAGTGATTGGCAAATACTTTCCCCCATTCTGTGGGTTGTCTTTTCACTCTCTTGATAGTGTCCTTTGATGTACAAAAGTTGAAGCAATTTTTTCTTAGTTGGGAAATACTGAGAGACTACCAATTAGCAGGTATAGCTACAAGTGAAAAACATTGTTGTTGCTATGATTTCATGTCTACTCATGACAAATGTTTAGGAGAAACCACAGGAAAATATTGAGTGAGGGTAGAACTAGCCTGAGATTCCATATCCCTACCATTCACTTAACATGTGTTTCATTCTTTGTTCATCTAGAAGGGGAGCTAAAGATGAAAAGATGTCATGATCTGGGGACACAGCAAACCAAAGCCCTGACCTGAAACTGAAATCGATACCAGAAGGGAAGTTCTGAACAGATAAACCCCAAACAGAACTTTGGTAGTAACACAGGAGTACTCTGGGAATTGTTTATTGGGTGGTAGTGGAGTCGACAGTAAAAAAAAATTTCCCCTCTACGCCCTTAGGTTAATTCTGATAGTGCATGCAACTCAGGGGCAAGGCGACTTATTAGGCTATCTCCTTTAGACTTTGAGGATGTGTTCCCACTGACATTTAGACATAAGTTTCAAGGAATGAGAAATAAATGTCTTGCAGAATTAGTAATGTTTAGATAAAAGTACATAAATCCCAATCCCAGCTGCCCAGGGTCAGTAAACAAGGAAACTCAGAGCCTTCATATCACCCTGTTTTGGGAAGCCATTTCTGACCATAGCAGGATCTCTGAGATCACTGAAAGCTGAGTTCAGGAACAAATCATATCCTTTGTTGAATTGCACCCATTGAGTTCCCATTTACATTGGGTCTTATGCAATGGGAAAATGGTTAACAGTATTGCCTTGATTGACAAAAACTGGGACTCTTATCTGTAAAGAGCCAAAGATGAGGATATTTTTTTCACCTGGGTTCCCCCTTAACACTTTTCACTGTTTTACATGTCCCTCAGTGGACAAACCTGACAGGTCTTCAAGAGGAAATTTGCCATAGGAGAAGGGAAAAAGGAGCCTGGGCTTGCCACTTGGGGCAGAAAGAGGAATATCTAGGACCATATTTTGAGAAAGGGTGGTGGCCCCAGGAACAGCATACTTCTGATAAGGAGAAACTTCTCCACTCAGCCACCCAGTGTCTCTACTTAGCCACCATGGGGAAACTATGGTGTGCTGATAATTAAAATAACTAATGTTTTTTACCCAAACAGGTGTGCTAAGGGACACTGCTTGCCTGAGCATAAGCTGGGTGAGGGGCATGCTCTGCTTCTAGGGCATCATGCGGGTCTAGATAGCAGAGGCAAATTTCCTGTGTGTCTGGCATTGAAAATCAGTGGTGGCAGTGAATTTTCAAGCAACAAGGATTGAGATGGGAGCAGTTTCAGAGTTTTTCCATTGAGGAATATTTCTATCTAAGTTGCTATTTCAACAAAAAGGGCAAGAATAATTCATATCTAATAGCTGGCAATGCAAGGGATTTTCAGAAACATTGAAAGAAAAGATCCAAGGGAAAAGACAGAGTTTCTTCCTAATCAAATACTTGGAAACTGCAAGAATCAAAACTGTTTGAATTAATGGTAATGTGACCTCAATTATATTCACAGTCTTGTGAAATTTGGGGTTCACACCTTAAAATTGAATTTAAAAATCCTACTCTTTTTTCTATGAATTAAGAAAAAAATTATCATTTTATTATAATGGAGGACTACCTAGGACAATATTTTGAGAATGAGTGTTCTAACTACTGGGCTTTCTAAATTTTCCACTTTTCCCTCTATGTTATTGATGTTTATGAGAGAAGATGAAGTTATTTCTTTGAATCAGGGTTTCCTAGCATTCTTTGGCTCCTGGGGACATGCAATCTTGGTGATGGCTGCTTTGACATCCTTGTTCCTCAGTTTGTAGATGACAGGGTTGAGAACAGGTGTGAGAATGGCATATACCACATTGCCCATGACGTGGAAGTCTAGGGGCAGGTCAGCCCTGTAGGCCACATAGGCTATGGCAATGGATGAATAGTAGGTGCCCACCACCAGGAGGTGGGAGCTGCAGGTGGAGAAGGCTTTGGAGCGTCCTTCTTGGCAGTTGATGCAAAGCACTGAGGTCAAGATGTGGGCATAGGAGAGAAGCACCAGCAGAAGGGGGAGGAAGGACACCACCATGGCGATGCAGAAGCCCATGAAGGTCTGGGGGTGGTGTCAGAGCAGGAGGCCTGGACCACAGCCAGGTGGTCACAGAAGCAGTGGTAGATGTGGACAATGATGTCAAATGCCATCTGGGAGGTCTGTACCACTGCTGGAATGGGCAGGAGGAGGGCAGTGAGCCAGGCACTGGTTGTCAAGACAGTGTTGGTCTGAGGGGTCATGAGGACAGGGTAGTGCAGTGGGCGGCAGATAGCCACATAGCGGTCATAGGCCATGACCACCAGGATGAAGGCTTCTGAGCAGGAGAAGCTGTGGAACAGGTACATCTGCAGGAAGCAGGCAGGGAAGCTGAGGAAGCTGTCCCCAAACAAGAACAGGGACAGCATCTTGGGGACAGTGGTTGTGGTAACAAGAATGTCCAAGGTGGAGAGGTTTATCAGGAAGAAGTACATGGGCTTGTGGAGGCTGGGCTTGGCCACCACAGCCACCAGGATAAAGGTATTACCCATCAGGATGAGCACGTAGAGGAGGAGAAAGACAAAGAAAATAGGAAGGAAAAGGGATTTTGGCAGAGAGGGGATGCCCATAAGGTAGAAGGTGGTTGAGGAGTCCCCTGATCCATTACAGGTGATTGTTTCCATAGTGGGTTAAAGCTGGAGGCTCCGAAGTTGAGTACTGGGAACACCTGGGAACCAGGCCCATCTGGAAGCCAAAACAACCAGAGATTCTGTAAGGAGAATTACTTAATGATCACTGTATAATAAATAGATAATGGGCTCTATCTTATCTAAAAATTCTTCATCCTATCCCAGAATTCTCTCTTTCCTTTTTAAATCAAGTATGGAAAAAGTACCTACAATATATAAATCGTGTTATTTGCTGGATATATAGTAGACAAGTTGGTGGGGCTGAAGAAAGACATTAAGCAATGAATCACATAATTATTTAATTGCAATTGTGTTAAGTGCTTTGGAAGAACTTCTAGTCCACTTTTCCATGTTCCATATGATTATTTTGGGGATATCAGATCTCTTAAACCAGAACACCGAGTTCCTTTTTCTGTTGGCATTTGCTTTAAGTTTTTTAAAAATGGCATCTTTGTTACCACATTGAATAGGGAGGGCTGATTTCTCCCAGGTTCACTGCAACATGCTGTCTTTCCATCATAATTATTAACTAGGGAATGGCTCCTTTCTGTCTTGTTTGCTTGGTGCAGTGGTTCTGCTATTTCCATCTAAGCTGAGTTCTCTGTATCCTGTCTCTGACTATGGGGCTCTTTGTTATGTTATAGGGAAGGGAGTGACACTGAAATGCTCTTGAAAGGACGAGTCATTCCTGACCGGGTTCCTGATAATGGCTTCTTCCACAGCTGGGCAACAACAGAGAATCCAAGACAGTCTCTGTAACTCCTTTGAGCTTCCCTCCCTGCTGGCTGCTGCAGCTCAGCTGTGCTCCTGTTTGACCACTGCATTCCCACTACCCAGTAGGCTTCTCTGCTTCTTTGCTAGTCAGAAAGTGTCATGGTAACCTGGGAAAACTTGGGAGGCATGATTGATAGAAAAGAACTAACTGGAGATCTGTTCGTAGTAGCTGCTCCGAGTCAAAAGAACCCCTTTCAGAACCAGGAATGAGTGCTTCAACCCACAGACGCAGGGATTTTGAGCTGAAGGAAAGTACTGATTCACCCTCTACTTTAGGCTTGTCTCTTGCGCTAAAGGACCCCCGGCACAGGTCTTTGTTGACATTTGTATCACTGCCTCGTTAATCCCAATGATTCCAGGAGCAGTTTCCACTAATTTTTCCCGAGTCACTTCTAATTTCCCATTCTTCTAACGAAACATCTCTCATGGATAAAACCACTAATGTGAAAAATGGAAAAGATGTTTATTTTCAAGTCCAACTAATTTACCCCCCATAGTCCAGAGACCGATCACGGAAAGACCAGGGGCTTTCCCGGGTGCCACGGCCAGCTGGCTGCGGAGCCAGAAACACTGTGCCAGGACAGGGTTCTTTCTTTTATACGTGTTTCCTAAAGAATACAGAAGTCCAAGTTTCCAAGAGAAAATAATTTAAGACAAAGCTTTCTATTTCCCTTTTTTGTTTTCTAGTTGCTAACATCAAACAAAACTAAATTTCAAATTTTCCTCTAGGTTTCTACATGGTAGGTACTAAATCACTGTCTAGCAATGCAAATGCTTCTTTAAAATAATGTCGCAAGACCTGGCAAGAGTGAACTTGCTTTGTCCCAAGTTGAGAAGGTTATCCCTCAGTTAACCAGAACCCCATCCCAACAGATTCAGTAGCTAGGTTTTCCTCATACCCAAAGGGGGCAAACTGCACTTCCCTGGACATTGCTGCACTCAGAGAGTGAGTCATGGGCTGACTGTCCCCATGTTAGACAGAGTTGGGGGTCTGAGGGACAGAAACTCAGAAGGTCAAAGCCAGAGGGGCCCTTGGAGGCCATCCAGTCCAGCTGCCCCTCTTCCTCTCTCCTCTATCCACTGCTTTGCAGAAGGAGACATGGATGCTGAGACCCCCTGGTGGAGAGACAGCCTGAGGCTTTTCACAGCCAGGTGGTGCCGGACTACCCAACAGGCAGACCAGGCTTGGGTCACCAGCAAAGCAGAGGCACCAAAACTACTTCCTGAGAGAATTTAATATGTATTATTTCAAAGCACCATTCAACTAGCCCATCATAGGAAATATCAGAATTTGGCTGGACTTTCTGTACAATTTAGAGTTATTTTATTTTGAATTACATGCTATCTCTAAGTAATGCAGCCCTGTGCTTAGGGCTAAAAGGACACTGTTTCCCAGGGCACAGAACTTGCCCAGCAGATCTTTCCAGTTAGGTTTGTCTATGAGCCAGTTACAGTGCTGGTTGGGGAAAGAGAAGGACAGAAAAACTGATCATCCAAATGTCATCCTGCACTTTCTGTACATCATCTCTCCCCATCAGACAGCTCTGCCAGGAAGTGCTTATGCCCCTTCCACTAATGAAGAAACTGAGGGTCAGAGAAGGCCAGGCCCTCCTTCAGGGTCACAGCTGGTGAGGTGTGAGAGCAGAGGCTGCTCCTGGAGCCTGGCAACCCACAGTCCTGCCTCCTGGGCCAGCTCTGACACTCTCTTGCTGTGACTATGGGTCTTTGCTCATCCGTACAGTGAAGGGTTTGAGGAAATCATCTCTGAGAGGTTTCCAAATCAATGAGCTATTTTCTGAGTGTCCCTCTGCATTTTGCAGAGTGGGGGTTCAGATACAGATGTCACATGACCCACACCTCTAAGGGTGAGGGCTCTCGCACTGAGGGAGCACTGCAGCAGAGCCAGGTTCTTGACCTTCATTATGTCATGTGCACCTTAGCGGTTACGTGTGCAGACTCGGGAGTCAACCCTTGCTCCTAACTCCAACTGTGTGACATTGAGCAAGTCACTTTCCCCTCTCTGAGCCTTTTGGCCCTGATCTGTGACCTCATGGGATTTTCTTTAGGTAGAGAACACTTAGGTATGCTTACAAAGAGCCCGGAACATGGAAGAGCGCAAAGGTTGCTAATGTTTCCATTGGTTCCTGCTGTCATCAGCCTTTTCTCCCTGTGGGAAGGCCTTGGCCAAGAAGATTTGAATCTCATTTGTGAGTGCATCCATTGCCCAGGCCTGCCAGGATATCTGGCCAAAGGCCTCACAGTCCACACATGCACCTGGATCCCGGGCACCTTCCAACCTGGATCCTGGGTGCCTGCTCTGTGCATACCAAATGTGTCTTCCTGACCTCTGGCCCAGGTTTGTAGTCCCTGGACACCCTGGCCCTGTCTTCCCATCCCAGATTTCTCTGCCTATCTCTGGGCACTCCGTCTCCAGCAATGTTCACCTGTTGAGCCTGATCCACACTGGTGTCTCCTGTGTTCCTCCATGTGAGGCCTTGGAGGAGGTGGCAGGCTGGGGCTGAGCCATGGCCCATTAAAGCCTCAGGCCCCTCTTTTCTGGCAGGCCTCCTGGGGTACTTTCTCTCAATGGTGCTTCCATGGGGTGCCACACTTACCAACCCTCAGGGATCAACTCTCTGGCATCTCCTTCAGCTTGTATGTGATAGAAGTGGTATTTGTCTCTAGGCTTTGCAAATAATAACAAGATCATTACTAACAGCCCTCAAGGGTCCAAAACTTTACACGAATGGTGTAGCCTTTATCCTCATTATCCTCTCTGGTCCTCACAACAGCAGAGAAGACAGGAATTAACAATAGGGTATACAGGAAGTCCAAGAGAAAGAAAATGAGGTCTAGGATGTGAAACAGCTTGTCCATATTAACACTGGTGGCTAGAGGAAGAACTAGAATTTAGACCTAGGGCTTTATTCCCTGCCTAGTGCCTTGACAGCTTCAACAGAAGTATATAATGATCAAGAAGATGGGGCCTGGAGCTATTACATATTAAAGATCCTCCTTTATTGGTTTGCTGGGTTTCCACTTACTTTTCTAATTGTACACAGAAGTACTAATATGCACTTCAGAGAAGTGCTTTATTCCAGAAATACCTCCTCTTCCTCCCATTATGTAGTCACAACCCTCCTTTCTCTTTCTAATCAGATGTATTCATTGTACCCTTCTTTGCCAGTTAATTCAGTGGCATGGGGAGCCCCAAAAGTTCAGGTGGCAATCTCCGCTTCCAGTTCAATGAAATGATTATTTCACTCCTGGTAGACTTATTCCATGCTTAGGAACTAAAATGCATAAACTGGCAGAATCCAAAGTTAGGGAGGAGGAAGCATGTACTTTGATTCTCCTTTTTTCCCCCCCCCAATTCCCTTTCAGGTTCTATGTATTTTAGAACTGGGTTCTTAGGGGTAATAAGAGGAAGCACTCCCACCTCCTACCTTGGTTCTCAGACCTGTGTATTCTGGCTAGACAGGAAACTGCTCTATATATTGGATACTGGTTACAAGTATGTATTTCAGCTTATAAGACAGCACCCAAGCCCTTTGAGATATTATCACCCAGCCAACACCCAAAACTAAGTCTCAATAAGTTATTCCTCTAGTCTAGCAGGCCACCTGCTTCTGAGTGATGGGGTGCATTGTAAGATCAGTGATTCCATGGGCATGAGACTTACTGCTTCACTTATTTTGCCATAAAATTGATTTTTTTTGTCAAAAGCATGGTCATATGGGATAGTATCATGATGATAAGGCATTTATTAAATCTATAGAAAGTGATAATAGAAGAAACATTGTAAGTAAGAAAGGCAAATTCATATCCAGAATAGGTTTCTATTCCAATAAAGATAAACCACTGCCCTGTCAATAATGGAAGGGATCCAGTGTGTTCATCCTGTCACCCATAGCTGGCCAGTTTCCTTGGCCAATGGTTCATATCATAGGCTCAGTGTTGGTCTTTTGTTGCTGACACATTGGATACTTAGCAGAAGCTAAGCCAGACCAGCCTTTATGAATCCATGCACAACTTCCTTCCTTGTCACTGTGCCTTTTATTCATGAATCTATTGAGCAAACACTGAAGCATCTAGGAAAGAGAGTCTAACTGATTTTCATGAATGGATCATCTTATCTACCTGATTTTGCCTACTCTTGTTGATTTTGGAGATCTTTTTCTGCCATGATATCCTCTGGTAAATAGTCACATGGCATACAAATATCTTCACAATTTGTACCCATTCTTAGAGGTCTACCACCTTAAACCTTCTCCATACCTCCTCTCCACCAATCTTCTTCTTTCCAAGTACTTGAATATCCCAGCAAAACCATTAGCTTTTGCCCATACTCTGGTATGGATCCATACCTCTTTCCATTTCACTTTTCAGGTGAGATGAACTTACCAGGGTGAAAAAACAGATGCACTGCCAAAGGTTCTGCCTACTGGCAGGATTTACCTTGTTGGCGATCCTTCAGGGCCCTCCTAAATGGGGCTGCAATGCAGCAGCAGTCCACTCAGGTGGCCCAGCATATTTTGAAGAAACATTTGTAAACCAGGCTTGAATGTTTTTATTCGTCAGGGAATTGGTTATAGGGAACTTCCCATGAGATCATATGTTAGAGTTGATGGAAAGTTGCCAACACAGCAAGACTGGGTGTCATGGGAGCGTGAGCTGCCTACTCACTCAATTTAATCGCTCCTTCGAGATCTGCTTGAGCGTAATAAAATAACATTTATTACTTACATTTGAAGAAGGGATGTTTCTGTACATGTTCAATTTTATATTTGGTTTGTTCAAATTAATATCCAACTCATAAGGAACAGCGTGGGACTCATATTTATTCAGTGTTCCCTGGTCAGCCATTCAGTCTGCTCCAGGACCAGGCACTATTTTTCAGAAGGAGAATAGTTAACTACAGAAAAAAGCATGAATTTGCTCTAAAATCCAAGTGGGCTGTGCTGTGATTCAATAGTGCATGTTACCTCAAAAATTCAAAGGGGGCCAGGTGCAGTGGTTCATGCCTGTAATCCCAGCACTTTGGGAGGCTGAGGCAGATGGATCACTTGAGGTCAGGAGTTCGAGACCAGCCTGACCAACATGGTGAAACCCCCATCTCTGCTAAAAAAAATACAAAATTAGCCAGGTGTGGTGGCACACACCTGTAATCCCAGCTACTTGGGAGGCTGAGGCAGGAGAATCACTTGAATCCGGGAGGTGGAGGTTGCAGTGAGCCAAGATTGTGCCATTGTACTCCAGCCTGAGCAACAAGAGTGAAACTCTGTCTAAAAAAAAAAAATTTAAAGGGGACTTTTAAGTTTTGTCTATGACAGTGTGGCTTCTCTGGGACTAAACTTTCTGCCAAAAACAACTGTAAAAGCTGGACATATGTAAAACAATGGTCTGAAGACCTCAGAGAGCAACCAATGGCAGGTCTTGAAGGACTGCAGTCCTTGAGAGAGGAGTCACATGAGGCTAGTTCCACCTGACTCCAGCTTTTTATCCTAAGGTATTTCCCAGCTTGCAGGATGGGAAAGTAGAACCCAATTAGGAAACACAAGCCCCACTGTTTGGAGTTTAGGTTACCAAAGTGACTGGAACTTAAGAGGCAAATTCTAGGAGAGGATGACACTGCAGAGAAGGAATGCCAAAACCTGTGTGTCAGGAATTTTATAAAATCATTATTTAGTAAAGAAAACAGAAATATGGCTGGGCACGATGACTCATGCCTGTAATCCCAGTACTTTTGGAGGCCGAGGTGGGTGGATCATCTGAAGTTGGGAGTTCAAGACCAGCCCGGCTAACATGGCAAAACCTCATCTCTACTAAAAATACAAAAATTAGCCAGGTGTGGTGGCATGGCCTGTAGTCCCAGCTACCCGGAAGGCTGAGACATGAGAACTGCTTAAACCCAGGAGGCAGAGATTGCAGCGAGCAGAGATCTCGCCACTGCACTCCAGTCTGGGCAACCATGTGAGACTCTGTCTCGAAAGAAAAAAAAAGAAAAGAAGAGAAGAGAAATATAATTCAGCTGTTCCTATCAGCATGGTTGCTTGATAAGTATTATTTTTTAATTAAAATACTCAGTTTCATTCCACATGTATAGTTTTGTCTCCCCATCATTTCCATGTCTGATCACTGCTACTACTATGTCCTATCATAACATTCCAGATATACTTAAAACCAAGCAAAGGGTGGAGTTCCATCTTTAAAAACTAAACAGGCATTTTGGACAACACATTGTTGGCAATGGAACCTGGACAACATTTATCAAACACAGCAGGGAAAATTCTCATTCTGCATCATAAAAAGGACAGCCAGATATCAACTGTTACAGAAATGAAATAAGACAAAAAATTTTTAACAAATTGCTTAAACTATTTTCTTAAAGAGACTTCCTCCACTGCCAGAGATCTTGAATAGCCTCCTGGTCAGTCATCTGGAAGCAATTCTTCACATAACTGATGAACTTGGCTTCCACTTTGGGAAGAGAACCACCTTTTCCTATACTTGCTTGCATTTTTGCTTTAATGTCGTCTACAAAACTAGGTCCTTTTGGTGTTTTAGGAGTTTTTTCCTGTTTTTTTTTTTTTGAAGGATTCTTGTCCTTTTGATCTTGGTGTTGATGGTTTTGAGTCTTTTCCATTCTGATTTGACTTTTGTGCATTTTTGGCTGGAGTATCTCGTATAGATTTCTTCACTGGTGCTTTTTCTTCAGTTTCCTCATCATCGAAATCATCCTCCTCCTCCTCTTCATCATCATCATCCTCTTCATTGTTGTCATCATCTTCATCTGCAGCAAGTTTTTCTTTTTTCTGTGGAACCTTGCTACCACCTTCAGGAGCAGACTGCTTTCTAGATATACTCAAGAGTTTCACATCCTCCTCTTCATCTTCTGACTCTACATCTTCCTCCACAACTACTAAGTGCTGCCCACTAATATGCACTGGCCCTGAAGCACACTTCAACCGTAAGGTGGTGTTATTTCAAAGCCCCACAGGGTAACTGTTGGCTGTACAGACATTTTCAAAGTTGCCAGTGTTACCTTAATTGACTGCCTTCGCAATTCATGGCCTCTGCTTCAACAACGTGCAATCCTTTGCACCAGCCTCTAAACTGACCGTTCTTAAAGATAACTGGTCTCATTTTCATCACTATCCACCTTAAAGTGATCATCTTTGTCGGCCTTTAGTTCACAACTGAAAAGATAGTTCTGGGGCCTCAGGGGGCTCATGTCCAGGTCCATCGAATCTTTGAATGGGTGGTGGCACACCCTTAGGTGGGAGAGAAGGCGGACAGAGATAAACAACCACTGCTCAAGAGAACAGCTGTGCAGGATGGACTCACACCAGGGCAATAATTATTATTGATAGTTGGGATGAGAAACACATGGGATTTCTGTGTTTTTTTTTTTTTAATTTCCAACTTTTAAGTTCAGGGGTACTTGTGCAGACGTGGAGGTTTGTTACATAGGTAAACAGGTGCCATGGTGGTTTGCTGCACAAATCATCCCATCACCTAGGTATTAAGTCCAGCATCTGTTAGTTATTCTTCCCAATGCTCTCCCTCCTCCTACTGCCCCCACCTCTTACAGGCCTCAGTGTGTGTTGTTCCCCACCATGGGTCCATGAGTTCTCATCATTCAGCTCCCACTTATAAGTGAGAACATGCGGTATTTGGTTTTCTGTTCCTGCATTAGTTTCCTGAGGATAAGGGCTTCCAGTTCCATCCATATCCCTGCAAATGACATGATCTCATTCCTTTTTATGGCTGCATAGTATTCCATGGTGTATATGTACCACACTTTCTTTATCCAGTCTATCATTGATGGGCATTTAGGTTGATTCACTGTATTTGCTATTGTGAATAATGCTGCAATGAACATACACATGCATATACCTTTATAAGAGAATGATTTATATTCCTTTGGGTATATTCCAAGTAATGGGATTGCTGGGTCAAATGGTGCTATTATGCCTCTAGGTCTTTGAGGAATCACCACACTGTCTTCCACACTGGTTGAACTAATCTACACTCTGATCAACAGTGGAAAAGTGTTTCTTTTTCTCTACCACCTTGCCAGCATCTGTTGTTTTTTGACTTTTTAATAATAGCCATTCTGATTGGTGTGAGATAATATCTCATTGTGGTTTTGATTTGCATTCCTTTAAGGATCAGTGATGTTGAACTTTTTTTCATATGTTTGTTGGCCACATGTATGTATTCTTTTGAGAAGTATCTGTTCATGTCCTTTGCCCACTTTTTTCTTTTTTTTTTTTTTTTTGAGACAGAGTCTCACATTGTCGCCCAGGCTAGAGTGCAGTGGCATGATCTTGGCTCACTGCAGCCTCCGCCTCCCAGGTTCAAGTGATTCTCCTGCCTCAGCCTCCCGAGTAGCTGGGACTACAGGTGCCCACCACCACACCCAGCTAATTTTTTGTATTTTTAGTAGAGACGGGTTTCACCATGTTGGTCAGGCTGGCCTCGAACTCCTGCTTTGTCCACTTTTTAATGGGGTTATGATTTTCTTCAATGTATGCTATAATAAAATAAATAATTTTAATATTCTTTCATTTCCATGGTTACCTGACCTAGATTAGACAAATAGTAGGGCTTTAACTTTCTTTTTGTTGTCAAAATCTGGTGTTGGCATACCTTTTCTCTAATTTGAACTGGTATTGCTTATGTTTGATACAGCATTAAGGAATTTGATGATTTTTGTTTTCAAAAAAATGAAATTAAATTCACAAAAATGAAATTAATTAGTCATTTTTCAGAGAAATGACATTAAGTGCAATAATTTTATTTATCATAAAGATTTTGTACATCATTACAACATCATGTTGTAATGTTATAACATGTATAAACATTGAAAATCAACTTTAAATACACAATCCCATTTATAATAGCCACACACAAGCACAAGAAACCTAGGAATACACCTAACCAAAGAGGTGAAAGATCTCTACAAGAAGAACTCAAAACATTGCTGAAAAAACTATAGATGAAACAAAGAAATGGACAAACATTCCATGCTCATGAATTGGAAGAATCAACAACACTAAAATGACCATACTGCCCACAGCAATATACAGATTGAATGCTATTCCTCTCAAACTACCAACATCATTTTTTTCACAGAATTAGAAAAAAAGCTATTCTTAAATTCACATGGAACCAAAAAAGAGCCCAAATAGCCAAAGCAATCCTAAGCAAAAAGAACAAAGCTGGAGGCATCACATTACCTGACTTGAAACTCTAAGGCTACAGTAATCAAAACAGCATGATATTGGCATAAGAACAGACACATAGACCAATGGAACAGAATACAGAACCCAGAAATAAAGCTGCATACCTACAGCCATATGATCTTCAAAAAAGTCAGCAAAAATAAGTATGGGAAAAGGACTCCCTCTTCAATAAATAGTGCTGGGGTGGGGGAGTGGGGAGGGATAGCATTAGGAGATATATCTAATGTAAATGATGAGTTAGTGGGTGCAGCACACCAACATGGCACACGTATACATATGTAACAAACCTGCACGTTTTGCACATGTACCCTAAAACTTAAAGTATAATAAAATAAATAAATAAATAAATAAATAGTGCTAGGATAGCTGGCTAGCCATATGCAGAAGAATGAAACTGCACCCCTACCTTTCACCATAAACAAAAATTAACTCAAGATAGATTAAAGATTTAAATGTAAAGATCTCAAAGTATAAGAATCCTAGAAGAAAACCTAGGAAACACCATTCTAAATATTGGCCTTGGGAAAGAATTTATGACTAAGTCCTGAAAAACAACTGCAACAAAAACGAAAATTGACAAGTGGAACCTAATTAAACTAAACAGTTTCTGCACAGCGAAAGAAACTATCAAAAGAGTAAACAGACAACCTACAGAATGGGAGAAAATATTTGTAAACTGCCGGGTGCAGTGACTCACGCCTGTAATCCCAGAACTTTGGGAGGCGGAGGTGGAAGGATCCCTTGAGCTCAGGAGTTTGAGACACTTGGGCAACATAGAGAGAACCTGTCTCTACAGAAATTTAAAAATTAGCCAGGTGTGGTGGCACATGCCTGTAGCTCCAGCTACTCGGGAGGCTGGGGTGGGAAGATTGCTTAGGCCCAGGAGGTCAAGGTTGCAGTGAACTGAGATCACGCCACTGCCTTCCAGCCTGGGCGACAGAATAAGACTGTCTCAAAAAAGGAGGGTGGGGGAGGGGTGGGGAGAGAGAAGGAAAAGAAAGAAAAGAAAGAGAATATTTGCAAACTATGTATCTGACAAAGGTCTAGTATTCAGAATCTATAAGGAACTTAATTCAATAAGCAAAAACCAAATAATACCATTAAAAAGTGGGCAAAACACATAAACAGACACTTCTAAAAAGAAGACATATAAGCAGCCAACAGACATGAAAAAATGCTCAACATCACTAATCATCAGAGAAGTGCAAATCAAAACCATGAGATATTATCTCATACCAGTCAGAATGGCTATCATTAAAGTCAAAGAAGAACAGGTGCTGACCAGGCTGTAGAGAAAATGGAATGCTTATACACTGTTGGTGAGAATGTAAATTAGTTCAGCCACTGTGGAAAGTGGTTTGGCAATTTCTCAAAGAACATAAAATAGAGCTATCATTTGACCCAGCAATCTCATTACTGGGTATATATCCAAAAGAAAATACGTTATTCTATCAAAAGACACATGCACTCATATGTTCATTGCATTAGTATTCACAATAGTAAAAACATGGATTCAACCTAGGTGCCCATCAGCGGTGGGCTGGGTAAAGAAAATTGGTCCAAATATGGCCAGGCGCAGTGTCTCACGCCTGTAATCCCAGCACTTTGGGAGGCCGAGGCTGGTGGATCACCTGAGTTCAGGAGTTCGAGACCAGCCTGACCAACACAGAGAAACCCCGTCTTTACTAAAACTACAAAATTAGCTGGGCATGGTGGCACATGCCTGTAATCCCAGCTACTTGGGAGGCTGAGGCAGGAGAATCACTTGAACCTGGGAGGCGGAGGCTGTGGTGAGCTGAGATCGTGCCATTGCACTCCAGCCTGGGCAACAAGGCGAAACTCCGTCTCAAAAAAAAAAAAAGAAAAAAAAAGGAGAAAATTGGTCCATATACAGCATGAAATGCTACATAGCCATAAAAAAGAATGAAATCATGGATGCAGCTGGAGCCCATTATCCTAAGCGAATTAACACAGGATCAGAAAACCATGTACTGCATGTTCTCACTTATAAGTGGGAGCTAAACATTGGGTACTTATGCTCATAAAGATGGCAACAATAGACACTGGGGACTAATAGAGGGTGGAGGGAGGGTAGCGAGGTTTGTAAAACTACCTGCTGCGTACTATGCTCACTATCTGGGTGACGGGATCATTCATATCCCAAACCTCAGCATCATGAAATGTACCCATGTCACAAACCTGCATGTGTACCCCCTGAATCTAAAAAGTGGAAATTTTCTTACAAACTGGTGAAATTGAAGGGAGAAATGGACAAATCCATAATTATTGTTAGAAACTTTAATATTTCCCTTTCAGGAATTGATCAAGCAGATAGAAAATCAGTTAAGATATAGAAGGTCTAAACAGCACTATCAAACAACTAGACCTAATTGACATTTATAGAACACTCCACATAATAGCAGAATACACTTCCAAGGGTGCACAGAACATTCACCAAGGTAGGTCATATTTTAGGCCACTAAAAAATTTAAAAGAATAGGCCATTAAAAAAATTTAAAAGAATAGAAAAGCTTTTTAAACAATAGTAATCATACAAAGCATATTCTTGAACCATAAGGGAATTAAACTAGACAGGAGTAACAGAAAGTGATTGGGAAAATCTTCCAAATATTCTGAAATTAAATAAAAACACTTTGAAATAAGCATGGGTCAATTAGGATGTTTTAGGGGAAATTTAAAATACATTTGGAATAAAATGAAAATAAAAATGCAACATATTAAAATTCGTGTGAAGTTGCTAATGCAGGAGCTATTGGGAAATGTACAGACTTCAATGCTTACATTGAAAAATAAAAGTCTCGTATCAATGATCTAATCTCCCATGTCAGGAAATTAGAAAAATGATCAAATTAAACCCAAAGTATGTAGAAGGAAAAAAAATATAAAGATTAGAGGAAGAATCAATAAAATTGAAAACAGGAAAATGAGAAGAAACAAACTAAATGCTGATTCTTTGAAAAATCAGTAAATTGGTAAACCTATAGCTAAACTGACCAAGAAAAAATCACAGAAAACACAAATTGCCAATATTAGGAATGAAAGAGGAGACATCACAGACATTAAAAGGATAATAAGGGAACAGTACAAACAACTCTATGTTTATAAATTCTAAAATTTGGACAAAATGGACAAATTTCTTAAAAGGCAGAAATTATAAAGTTCATTCAAAAAGAAATAGATAATGGAAAAATTTCTATATCTATTAAATAGTTAATTTTGTAGTTAAAAACTTCCTGAAAGAAAATTCCAGGCCCTGGAAATTTTACAGGCAAATTCTACCAAATATTTAAGGAAGAAATAGCACCAATTCTATACAATGTTTTTGAGAATGTAGAAGAGACGGGAAAGCTTCCTAATTCATTTTATGAGGCCAGCATTTATCTAATACCAAACCAGACAAAGAAATTACAAGAAAACTACACTCTGGTATCTCTCATAAATATTGATGCAAAAATCCTGAACAAAATATTCACAAGTCAAATCTAGTAATATATAAAGGGCAAAACATGTCACAACCAAATGGGGTTCATCCCAGGAATGCAGTTTGTAATGAATAAAATTAAAGAGCTAAGTAAATGGAGAGATATATTATATTCATGGAATGGAAGACTCGACATTGTTAAAATGACAACTGTCCCAAATTTAATCTATAGATTTAACATAGTCCCTCCCCTCCCCAAATCCCAGTAACTTGGTTCTAAAATTTATATCAAAAAGCAAAGGAACTAGAATAACCAAACAACTGCAAAAAAATTAATAAAGTCAGAGGAGTCACATTATGGAATTTCAACATTGACTATAAAGCTACAGTATTCAAGACCGTGTGGTATCGGTAAAGGATAGACATATATATCAGTGGAACAGAATAGAGAGCCCACAAATAGATACACACAAATATAATCAACTGATATTTGACAAAAGTGTAAAGGCAATTTGATAGATAAAGAATGGTTTATAACAAATGGTGCTGGAATGATTGTATGTTCATATGCACACAAAAAAAGAATCTCAACCTAAACCTCACACCTTACCCAAGAATTAACTCAAAATTGTTCATAGAATGAAATCAAAAATAGAAAACTTCTAGAAACTTCGTTTTCTATAGGGCAAAATCTGCATGACCTTTGGTTTGGTGATGAGTATTTAGATATGTTATCAAACAGCATAATCCATAAGGGAAAAATGATAAGTTAGGCTTTATCAAAATTGAAAACCTCTGCTCTGCAAAAGACACTGTAAGCGAATTCAAAGGCTAGTCATTGACTGGGGAAACTACTTGTATATCAAATATCTAATAATGAATTTGTACCTAGAATATACAAAGAACACTTGAAATTCAATGGTATGAAAACAAACAACCTGGATTAAAAAGCAGGCAAAAGATCTGGACAGACTTCACCAAAAAAGATATATGGATAGAAAATGAGCACATGAAAGATGGTCAACACAATTAGTCATAGGGAAATGTAATTAAATTAAATTACAACCACAATAAGATACCACTACATACCTGTTAGAATGACATCCCCCACCAGAGTGGTTACATTTGTTACATTCAAGCCTACATTGACACATCATTATGACCCAAAGCCCATAGTATACACTTGGTGTAGTACATTCTATGAGTCTTGACAAATATATAACATGTATCCACCATTATAGTATCATACAGAATAGTTTCACTGTCCTAAAAGCCCTCCGTGTTCTGCCTATTAATCCCTCCCTTCTCCTAGTCTCCCTGGCAGCCCCTGAGCTCTTTACTGTCTTCATAGTTTTGCCTTTTCCAGAATGTCATACAGTTAAAATCATACATTATGTAACCTTTTTAGATTGGCTTCTTTCACTTAGCCATATGCATTTAAATTTACTATTGACTCTTCAAAAGTGTCAAGGTCATGAAAGATAAGGAAAGACCAATAAAATGTCAGGCAACTAAGAAGATATAATAAAATGCAATGTGGCATTCTGATTGGATCCTGGAATGGAAAGAAGACATTACTGGAAAAACTGGAGAAATTTGAATAAAGTCTCTAGTATAATTAATAGTACGTATTTTACAAATGTTAACTTCTTACTTTTGATAAATGTATCATGGTTATGTAAGATGTTGACACAGAGGAAGTTAGGTGAAGGATATATGGGAACTCTCATACTATCTTTGAAACTCTCTGTAAATATAAAACCATGCATGGTAAAATAAAATGATAAAAATGGTTTTGGTTATACGAACATATAATTTATCTAATATATATTAAAGAAGTAAAACTATAATATTCATGTTTTTAAAACTACTCTAGCTGGGGGTAGTGGTGCATGTGCCTGTGGTCCCAGCTACTCAGGGAGCTGAGGTGGGAGGATCACTTGAGCCCTAGCGGTCAAGGCTGCAATGAGCCGAGATAGCGCCACTGCACTCCAGCCTGGGTGACAGAGCAAGGCCTCTTCTCAGAACAGACAAACAACAACAACAACAAAAACTCCTCAATGTAGTTTAAGATGTGATTTTTCTTGTCCTTTTAATACATCCCTTTTAGGATGTATAGTCAAAACATTGTGTAAAAGTCACTTACAGTAATTTTCTTTGTGGTCATGCCACTAACTTGAGAGACAGCCAGGGTCAAGTGCTTCTGTTTATTTTAAATTGAGGGAATTGTGGGGTTTTTCTTTCTGATTTCTTTGAACTATGTAAAAATAATTACATATGTCTAGACTTGCTTCCATTCTGGTCCTCTCCTTCCTGTTCCTTGCCTCTCCTTATAGATAACCATCTTTATGAGTTCACATTTTCCCTCTAGTTTTTTCCTGAAATTTTAAGCAAACTATCTCCTTTCTTACAAAAACACTTTTCTGCAGCTTGCTTTTTTTCACTTAACACATATCCTAGAGATGATATCATATCAGTAGAGAGCTTCCTTATTTCCTTTTTATTACTGCATCATGCATTTTTATGGTTTATTCAATCAGTTCCCTGTATAGTGATGAATACGTAACCTAATGAATGATTGATGGTGACTCCTCGGGATAGATCCCTAGAAGTGATACTGCTGAGTCAAAGGGTAAATGCATATGTAATTTTGGTAGGTATTGCGGTAGTGTTATACCAGTTTGCATCCTCACAAGCAAGTTATAAAAGTTCTGTTTTTCTACATGCATATTGTCAAAATATTGGATTTTTGCTAATCTGCTAATCTGATTAAGTGAAAAATAACATTTCAGCACAATTTAAATTCGTATTCTTTTTATATAGTAAATACTCATTATTTAAAGGCCACTGCATTTTTTTTTATTTGTCTACACATATATTTTGCCCATGTTTTTATTGAAATGTTTATTTCAATCTTCTACATTCTTTGTATAATATGAATATTTGCCTTTCCCTGTGATACGTTTTTTATTTGTTTTTTGACTTTGCTTTTAAGAATTTTTTGCCATGAAGATTTTTTTTTTATTTTAGTAAAGGTTTCTTGAATTACTAAGTAGTAAAATTTTATACAACAACTTAAGATTCCAATAAAAATTAACATTATTTCATTATCATGTATTGAGTCCTTTCTCTGTGCTAAGCACTGTTATTTGGTGTCCTGGAAGCAGAGTTAGCTGCATTTAAAGGTCAAATGCTCCTGTCACAGCCTGGGTCTTGAGACATGATTTTGGTGATGGCTGCCTTTACATCCCTGTTTCTCAGCGTGTAAATGAGGGGGTTGAGAATTGGTGTGAGAATGGCATATACCACATTGCCCATGATATGGAAGTCAAGGGGCAGGTCAGCCCTGTAGGCCACGTAGGCTATGGCAATAGATGAGTAGTAGGTGCCCACGACCAGAAGGTGGGAGCTGCAGGTGGAGAAGGCTTTTGCCCGTCCTTCTAGGGAACTGATGCGAAGCACTGAGGCCAGGATGTGGACATAGGAGAGAAGCACCAGGAGAAGGGGGAGGAAGGACACCACCATGGCGATGCAGAAGCCCATGAGGGTCTGGGGGGTGGTGTCAGAGCAGGAGGCCTGGACCACAGCCAGATGATCACAGAAGCAGTGGTAGATGTAGGCAATGCTGTTATATGCCATCTGGGAGGTCCTTACTACTGCTGGGATGGGCAGGAGGAGGGCAGTTAGCCAGGCACTGGCTGCCAAGGTAGCATTGGTCTGTGGGTTCATGAGGACAGGGTAGTGCAGTGGGTGGCAGATAGCCACATAGCGGTCATAGGCCATGACCACCAGGATGAAGGCTTCTGAACATGTAAAACTTTGGAAGAGGTACATCTGCAGTAAGCAGGAAGAAAAGCTGAGGAAGCGGTCCCCAAGCAAGAATAAGGACAGCATCTTGGGGACAGTGGTTGTGGTGAAAAGGATGTCCAAGGTGGAGAGATTGATCAGAAAGAAGTACATGGGCTTGTGGAGGCTGGGCTCTGCCACCACGGCCACCAGGATCAGGGCATTACCCATCAGGATGAGAAGGTAGAAGAGGAGGAAAATAAAAAACACAGGGAGGAAGAAGGTCTCTGGCAGAGAGGGGATGCCCAATAGATAGAAGACGGGTGAGCCATCCACTGATTCATTACAGGCTGTGGCATCCATTGTGAGACACAGCTGGATTTCTCAGAGATGGGCAGCTGGAACATCTAGACATTGGAAACATCTGGAAACCATAGAAACAAAGGATTCTGGAGTGATAATGCTATAATGTTTACTCTGTAGGTAATATAAGCAGAATTATTTACAACCAACTGTAGAGGACTGATGAGGGGCTATGGTATTGACTTTTGCCATGTGAACGCAAAATTTGTCAAATATTGATTATTAATTAATTAATAACCAACCAAATAGAAGTCTGTATGCTTTGTTTAGGTGATGAAGTGATCAAATTGAAGAAGGCAGGCAAAGTTCCTGTCTTCCCAGAGTTTATATTTTACTGGGAAAATCAGATCTAAACAGTTGATTGTTGAATTATAATTGTGAAAGTGCTTTGGAAAGGCTTCTTCTGGTCTTCATCTTAGTTTCCATGCTGTGTGGTTTAAGTTGATGTCAGATCTCATAAATCAAGTCCTTAAGCTCATGTCTCTACTTTTGTACTCACTCAAAGTTCCATCATGTTCCATTGAGGGGCTTCTTTCTCCAAGGCTGTGTGTACTATGCAGCTGCTCACACTCTTATTAAGTTTCTTTCTTGTATGCCTTGACTAGTGGTTCTTTCTGACTCCATTTAAGCTAGGTGTCTGGACTTCTGCTCCTGTATTGGATATAATAGACCATGATAGCCCAACACTTTCACTGCAATGATTAGGGAAACCTGGATAAATTACACAAATCACATTTTTAAACAAATTGAGGAATATGGGTGCCATAAGGATGAGATGAAGGCAAACTCCAATGGGTGGGGACCCTCCAAAGTTAACTAATAATCACCAGCTCTTTTGTTCTCTGGGAATATTTGATTTGGGGACCATGATGTGGCTTAGACTTGGACCAGGCAGAGAGTCATAGATGAGAGAAAGAGAAACCAGTAAGACTTGTGATAGTCAAAAAAGGCTTACAAAACATACTGGAAATTTGAGGCACTCTAAATGCATAACAAGTTTTCCCTGTGGGACATCTTCTGAATTCTGGCTATGCAAGGGAGGCTAGAAAGCTGTGCTGAGGGCCTCTAAAAGACAAAACAAAATCTCCCATGATCCCATGATGCTTAAGAGAATAGAGGAAGAGGGATTTCCTCACACACACACTGGTATTTCCTCTCAAAACATTTTACAAAGATTTGAAGCTATGTGTGTATGTAGTGGGCGGGGGGAAAGGAGGGATGGGGAATGCGGCTAACGAATTAAGCTCCAAACCACCAAAGGGTAGATGCAAATCTCCCACACTCCTTCCGGGGTGAGGAGATAAGGATCAACCAGACTATCAGCCCACAACTCAGGAGGGTCATACCTTAAGAACAAGAACAAACCAAAGTTGGACTAAATTTTACTAGAACTGAAACTCAGCCCTAACCTAACTCAAGCCTTAACTGGCTTTAGGTAGCCAGCCTACCTTACTCTACCTGCCTAACAAAGAGAAGGGAGGAATCTGTCTGATGAGAGACATCATCTGGGGCCTCTGTGAATCTAATATAAATAATATTCGGTGCACAACACGAATTATTGCAAAAGGCAGGAAAATGTGACCAACAATCAAGAGGGAAAATACACAATAAAAGTTGACATACAGATGATCCCATTACCTGAGTTAGCAAACAAGGACTCTAGTATAACTATGTTTATATATTAAAGAAAATAGAGGAAATGTTGACAAAATGGATTTTAAAATGGGCAATTTCAATAGAAAATTGGAATCTATTTTAAAAAGAACCAAGCAAATATTCTAGAACAGAAATATCCAATATTTGAAATTAAGAACTCACTGGATAGGTATAATAGCAAACTGGACACAATAGAAGACAGGATTAGAGACCTGCAAAATAGATCAGTAGAAAATGTCTAAAATTAAGCCCAGAGATAGAAGAGTATATCTTCTGTATACTTATTTGATATTTGATACGGTATGACTTAATTGATATTAAGTGACAGGCAAAACTAATCTATGATATTATAAATCAGTACAGTGATTGTCTATGGGTGTGAGGACTGACAAGAAGCAGGCAAGAGCATACTTTCTGGGGTGATAGAAATGTTCTATGTATTGAGTTGAGTTTTGGTTACATGTATGTTTACGAAAGTTTATTGAATTGTATACATAAGATCTGCTCATTATCTTCTGAGTAAATTTTACTTCGCTCAAAAAAGACAATAATAAATACAATACAAAGAGAATAAGAAAAGGCAGGAACCAGACTAGGAGAAGATATTTTCCTATTTTCAATACATTTATCAAAGGCCATGTATCCAGTATATATAAAAACCTTGACAAGTAAGAAAAAGACAGATGACCTAATGGACAAATGGGTGAAAGACTTGAATAGGTGGGCACTTTACAAAAGAGAACATCCAAATGGCCAATAAGCATATGAAAAAATTAGCCATCTAGAGATGTAAATTAAAATACAGGATGTTAATAATACATACTCACTAAAATGGCTAAACTTAAAAGGACCGCAAGTGTTGGTAAGATATGTAGTAACTGGTACCTTCATACATTGATGGTAACTAGTACAACCACTTCGGATAACAGTGTGGCAACATCTTCTTAAACTTATGACTTAGCAATTTCACATCAGGATATATAACCAAGAGGTAAGACAAGGTATTCAGCTATTTTTGTTTGTTCATTTGTTTAAGGTACTCACGTGCAATAAAGCCCAAAAATATTTGGGATAGATAATATATAGATATCTATAGATATAAATATAAATCTATGTAGAGATATAGATCAGCTAGTGATGCAGCTAAAGATATAGCACATTTCCAGCAACCCAGAAAGCTCCCTTGCACCTGATCCAATAAATTCTGCTACCCCCAATGTAGCTATTGTTGTGACTTCTGTCACCATGGATTAAATTTTTCTGTTTCTGATGTTCATCTAAATGGCTTTTGTTAGGCTGGGCATGGTGGCTCACACCTGTAATCCTAATACTTTGGGAGGCTGAGGCAGGCAGATCACAGGAGTTTGAGACCAGCCTGGGCAACATGGCAAAACCCTGTCTCTACAAAAAAATTTAAAAATGAAAAATAAGATTAAAAAAAAAAAGATAAGGTCAGGTGCAGTGGCTCATGCCTGCAATCCCAGCACTTTGGCAGGCTGAGGCGGGCGGATCATGAGGTCAGGAGTTTGAGACCAGCCTGACCAACATGGTGAAACCTCGTCCGTACTAAAAATAGAAAAATTAGCTGGGCATGGTAGCACACGCCTGTAATCCCAGCTACTCAGGAGGCTGAAGCAGGAGAATCGCTTGAACCTGGGAGGTGGAGGTTGCAGTGAGCCGAGATCACGTCATTGCACTCCAGCCTGGCAACAGAGCAAGACTCTGTCTCAAAAATAAATAAATAAATGTTTTTTGTCATATTACAATAAAAGGAATGGCAAAAGATGCCTTTTGTGAGAGGACTTGCTTCCAGGTTGGAATCTAAGTTAAAGGTGTATTCTACCCAATAGCAGAAACAGAGATTGGAGGATGTCCCTCTGTAAGAGCATGACTTTTCATCTCTCCTATCAGCTACGCTGTTCAGCAGGTGTTTCTGATTAACCATTTCATTATCACTATCCTGTAGTCTTCCCTAGCCCCAGATAAGACAGTACTACAGGAGTCTGAAAACTTGGGAGTCTTGGGAGCCATTGTTGCTAGAGAACAAGTCGTCTTGTGACAAGTGCCCAAAGGCAGAAGACCCCATTCTAGAGGTTGTTCTCCCCCTGTCAAGGAAGAAGAGATGTGTGCTTTTGTCCTCCCACAGAACCGGAGATCTTTAACTGAGGGAGAATATTGACTGCTCTACTCTGTTGGGGATGTCTCTCTGAATAAACAATCCAGGAGGAAGTTCACGTTTATGTTTACATCATTGTCTCTTGACCCTGATGATTCCAAGATGATTACCTGATGATCTGATGATTACCTTCTCTCTGATTTTCCCTATTTTTCTTACCTCTAATAAAATATCTCTCATGCCATTGAATCATAAAAAATTCCAAACCTGGAAATATCCAGGCGGCTTTTCCTTTTCTCTTTTCTTTTTTTTCTTTTTCTTTTTCTTTTTTTTTTTTTTTTTTTTTTTTTTTTTGAGACAGAGTCTTGCTCTGCCACCCAGGCTGGAGTGCAGTGGTACAAGCTCGGCTCACTGCAACCTCTGCCCTCCCGGGTTCAAGTGATTCGTGTGCCTCAGCCTCCTGAGTAGCTGGGATTACAGGCATGTGCCATCATGCCCAGCTAGTTTTTGTATTTTTAGCAGAGACGGGGTTTCACCATGTTGGCTGGGCTTGTCTCGAACTCCTGACCTCAAGTGATCCACCTGCCTCAGCCTCCCAAAGAGCTGGGATTACAGGCGTGAACCACCGCACCCAGCCAGCTTTTTCTTTTAATATAGAAAGGGCAAAAGACAAAAAGATCCAGGGCTTTCCCATACTGTCATGGCCGGCGAGCCACAGAGATAGGACTGGAGCCCAGGCTCTAACCCCCAGAGCAGCATTCTTCTATCGTCGGTTCCCTGGAGAATCTGGAAGCTCAAATTTTCATGAGGGGAGAGACTGGGGCAAAGGTTTTCTCTTTCCTTCTCCATATATTTGGCTGATATTGTCAGCAGCAAACTACAAATTTCAGAGTTTGTTCTTTAGTTTCCTAAGTGTGGGGTGGGCTGGTTTTCTGTCAGAGAGTGAAGGCAGGTATAATGTCTTTCTAAAAGACATATGAGGCAGGGCACAGGGGTTCACACCTGTAATCCCAGAACTTTGGGAGACCAAGGTGGGAGAATTGCTTGAGACCAGGAGTTTGAGGCCAGCCTGGGCAACATAGCAAGACCCTGTCTCTACAAAAAAATTTTAAAACTAGCCAAGTACAGTGGCTTGTGCCTGTGGTCTCACTACTCAGAAGGCTGAGGCAGGAGGATCACTTGAGCCCAGGAGTTCAAGACTGCAGTGAGCTATAATCATGCCACTGCACCCCAGCCTGGGCAACAGAGGGAGACCCTGTCTTTTAAACAAAACAAATAAACAAAAAGACACATGGGACAGACCACTCCATTGTGAATGCTCCCTTGAAAGAGTATTCTACAGTTCGGCCCCAATTACACAAGCAGGAAAGCAAAACTGCTGCACCTCCACTTAAGAGATAACCCTCAGTTAACAGACCCAACCTGCCTAAGCAAATCACCAGGTTTTTCTAATACCCAAAGAGATGCAAACTACCTTATTCTGAACGTTGTTACAGCTCAGAGAAGTCAATTATGGATTGAATGCCACCGAGTTAGGCTGAATTGGGGTTTGAGGGGAGAAATTCAGAGCCGTCAAGCCTGACTGAGCCTCTCTTCCCACCTCCTCCCTCACTTCTATTAAACAGCAGGGAGACAGATGCTGAGTCTGAAGTCCAGAAATAGTGTCTTTTCAAGGTCAACCAACAAATTCATAGCAGAAGTAGGTTTTAAAGCCGGTGTCCTGGCTCCCACCCAGTCTTTGTAGGATGTTTCATGAGAGAGGATGATTCCTTAGCCTGCTATTCAAAGCCTGTCTTCTTGCAGCCTTGTTTCTCCTTATTCTAGTCAAATGGCAACTCCTTGCTCTTGCCTTGTGCTTCTGCCAAATTCAGCTCAAATATTACTTCCTCCAAGAGATCTTCTATGGTCCTGGCTGGCTCAGGAGCCTCTTTCCTGGGCTCTTGAAGTTCCTGTGCTTCTGTTTGTCATTATTATGATTACACCAGGTTGTCTCTGTCTATTTATGTGTCCACCACACCAGGAGCACTTTCAGAGCAGTAATGGGGTCTGATCGTTTCTATTTGATACTGCACCATCCTTCCCAGGAGCTTAGTGCTCTGGAATGCAGCTTTCCAACTTGCCTTGTTTTGCTGATAAATCATCAAATAGGAATGAAGGGGCCATTAGTGATTAAATAGTTTTCACCTAACCTCTTTTTTTTTTTTTTTTTTGAGATTGAGTCTTGCTCTATCACCCAGGCTGGAGTGCAGTGGCACGATCTCGGCTCACTGCAACCTCTGCCTCCCGGGTTCAAGCGATTCTCATGCCTCAACCTCCCGAGTAGCTGGGATTACAGGCGCTTGCCACCATGTCCGGCTAATTTTTGTATTTTTAGTAGAGATGGTGTTTCACCATGTTGGCCAGGCTGGTCTTGAAGTCCTGATCTCAAGTGATCTGCCCGCCTCGGCCTCCCAAAGTGCTGGCATTTCACCTAACCTCTTTATTATATAGATGGGGACAGAAAAGGGAGTCCCAGAAATGGGCTGTGACTTTCCCAAGGTCACACAGTAAGTGGGTGATAGAACTAGAACTAGACTGTCAACAGAGCTAGATTATCAACTCACCTTGAGCTCTCCTGGACCAGCTCTGCCACTCTCTTGCTGTGATGCTGGGTCTCTGAGCCTCAGTTTTCCCATCTATAAAATGAGGACTTTGGAAGCAATGATCTCCAGCTTGATAAATATTTTGAGTATCTACTCTGTGTTTAGATAAATGAGAGATTCGAAGACAGATGTGTCATGGCCTCAGCCTCTTAGGAAGGAGAGCAAGGGCGCTCTCATTTGTTAAGCTTCTGTTGCCTGCTTGATTCTTTACAGTCATTACACATCATTACGACGCCCAAACTCATGCAGTTCTCTCATGATATTCTCACCATCCTGCACTGTTTCCATAGAAAAGGAGCAGGATATACGTGAAGCACAGAATCTAGGTCTATTAACTTTGCAGTTAGAAAGGCCTGAGTTTCCTTCCTGGCTCCACCACTTTGTGCTTTCCTCCAATGGACTGCAATTCCCTCACAAATTATTCCCATTTCTCTTATCGTCATCAGCTTTGCCTCCTTGTGAGGAATTCTCTTCCAAGATCATTAGCCTCTTGCTTGTGACTGCACAGCCCTGCCCCTGCCTGCGAGGGTGTCTGGTCTACACTCACCCAGGCTGACTGCGTGGTTGACTTGGATCCTGGGACCCTGACATTCCCAGGATCTTTACTGTGGTTGTACATGCCCCCAACCTCCCTGAGCCTATCTCCCCATCCCAGTCTCTGCCTGCTCTGCGCACTCCATCCCCAGCCCAGCTCACCTACCAATCCTGGTCCGCCTTGATGTCTTGTGTAGAGTCGTCACAGTTGGCCTTGGTTGGGAAGAGCCAGGTAGAAACTCAACCATGGCCCTTTAAACCCTCGGGCCCCTCTCTGCAACCAGGCCTGCTGGGGCTCTCTCCCCACAAGAAGGCTCACCCGTGGGACCAGATAACTGCCAGTCAGCTGAGAACAACTTCCGAGGGTGGAGTGGGGGACTTTGTTCTGGGCTTTGCTGATAATGAAAACAACATCATTAACAACCCTCATGGGTCCCAGAACTTTATCACCAGTATTATTCCTGTTTTCCCATCTGGTCCTCACAATAGCCAGGGAAGACAGGCAGAGTCAGGATTATTTCCACTATTTTACATTTGAGGAAACTGAGATCTAGAGAAGTGAGGTGACTTGCCCAAGGTCATATGAGTGGCTGGTGGCAGAGCTGGGATTTGTACCCAAGGCTCCAATTCTGGTTCAGTGGTTCAGCAACATGTTATCTAATGACTAAGACCCGAGTTATTCCCAGTAATATGACTTTGAACAAATCCCTTAACCTCACTGGGTCTTCATTTTGTCATCTGTGGAATGGGTATAACGACACTAACTCTCTCACAGGATAACTGGGCAGGTTGAGGTGCTTCACCCAGTTCCTGCCACTTATTAGGCATTCAATAAGTGGGAGCTATTATTTTAATGGACCAAAGCAGTAAAGCCTTGTTCAATGAGTATGTGATACTTCCGCTGCTGTGCAATGAGAACTTGCAAAGGTTTTGTGGAAAGAATGTGAGGGTGGAAGTCTCTGCCCCAACCCCATACAGGACAAAGTCAAGAGTCACAGACTCTTCCTGCCTCAATCTTTCTGATTCTCTCCTTTGGCTCCAGTGTTCTGTTTCTGACTTGACTGACTTGGTCACTCCTACTAATACTCATAAAATTTTAATTTTTTTTTAATTTCACAAGTAATAAACAGAACCTCATTGTAGAACATTTTAATCAATACAGAGCTTTACTGAGTCAAAAGTGAAAGTTCTAGGCCGGGTGTGGTGGCTCACGCCTGTAATCCCAGCACTTTGCCGGGCCGAAGGGGGAGGATCTCTTGAGTCCAGGAGTAAGAGAGCAGCTTGGACAACTGGCAAAACTCTATCTCTACTGAAAAATACAAAAAAATTAGCTGGGCATGGTGGCATGCACCTGTAGTCTCAGTGAGAGGTGACAGCGTGCTGGCAGTCCTCACAGCCCTCGCTCGCTCTCGGTGCCTCCTCTGCCTGGGCTCCCACTTTGGCGGCACTTGAGGAGCCCTTCAGCCCACCGCTGCACTGTGGGAGCCCCTTTCTGGGCTGGCCAAGGCCGGAGCCGGCTCCCTCAGCTTGCAGGGAGGTGTGGAGAGAGAGGCGCGAGTGGGAACCAGGGCTGCGCCTGCGCTTGCAGGCCAGCTGGAGTTCTGGGTGGGCGTGGGCTTGGCGGACCCCACACTCAGAGCAGCCGGCCGGCCCTGCTGTCCCCAGGCAATAAGAGGCTTAGCACCCGGGCCAGCGGCTGTGGAGGGTGTACTGGGTCCCCCAGCAGTGCCAGCCCACTGGCGCTGTGCTCGATTTCTCTCTGGGCCTTAGCTGCCTTCCCGCGGGGCAGGGCTCGGGACCTGCAGCCCGCCATGCCTGAGTCTCCCACCCCCTCCCTGGGCTCCTGTGCGGCCCCCGCCTCCCCGATGAGTGCTGCCCCGTGCTCCACAGCACCCAGTCCCATCGACCACCCAAGGGCCGAGGAGTGTGGGCGCATGGCTCCGGGACTGGCAGGCAGCTCCACCTGCAGCCCCGGTGCGGGACCCACTGGGTGAAGCCAGCTGGGCTCCTGAGTCTGGTGGGGACGTGGAGAACCTTTATGTCTAGCTCAGGGATTGTAAATACACCAATCGGCACTCTGTATCTAACTCAAGGTTTGTAAACACACCAATCAGCACCCTGTGTCTAGCTCAGGGTTTGCGAATGCACCAATGGACACTCTGTATCTAGCTGCTCTGGTGGGGCCTTGGAGAATCTTTGTGTCTAGCTCAGGGATTGTAAACGCACCAATCAGCGCCCTGTCAAAACAGACCACTGGGCTCTACCAATCAGCAGGATGTGGGTGGAGCCAGGTAAGAGAATAAAAGCAGGCTGCGCGAGCCAGCAGTGGCAACCCGCTCAGGTCCCCTTCCACACTATGGAAGCTTTGATCTTTCGCTCTTTGCAATAAACCTTGCTACTGCTCACTCTTTGGGTCCACACTGCTTTTATGAGCTGTAACACTCACCGCGAAGGTCTGCAGCTTCACTCCTGAAGCCAGCGAGACCACAAGCCCACCAGGAGGAACGAACAACTCCAGATGCGCTGCCTTAAGAGATGTAACACCACGAAGGTCTGCAGCTTCACTCCTGAAGCCAGTGAGACCACTAGCCCACCGGGAGAAACGAACAACTCCAGATGCGCCGCCTTAAGAACTGTAACACTCCCCGCGAAGGTCTGCAGCTTCACTCCTGAGCCAGTGAGACCACCAACCCACCAGAAGGAAGAAACTCCCAACACATCCGAACGTCAGAAGGAACAAACTCCAGACGCGCCACCTTAAGAGCTGTAACACTCACCGCGAGGGTCCGTGGCTTCATTCTTGAAGTCAGTGAGACCAAGAACCCACCAATTCCGGACCCATCAGCTACCAGGGAAGCTGAGGCAGGAGAAACACCTGAGCCTGGGAAGTTCAGGCTGCAGTGAGCCACAGCTGTGCCTCTGCACTCTAGCCTTAGCAATGGAGTGAGACCCAGGAAGGAAGGGAGTGGTGGAAGGGGGGAAGGGGGGAAGGGAGGGAAGGGAGTGGGGGAAGGGAGGGAGGGAGGGAAGGGAGTGGGGGAAGGGAGGGAGGGAAGGGAGGAAGGGAGGGAAGGGAGTGGGGGAAGGGAGGGAGGGAGGGAAGGGAGGAAGGGAGGGAAGGGAAGGGAGGGAGGGGAGGGAGAGAAAGAGAGAGAAAGTTTTTTTTCACACCAATTCTTACCCATATTTTTCCTCCAGTCTTAACAATGGAGTGAGATCCTGTCAGAAAGAAAGGAAGGAAGAAAGAAAAGAAAGAAGAGTTAGTTAGTCTTCTTCACACCAATTCTTACCCACATTTTTCCTCCATGCTCCAGAAGTAAACATTATTACTGATTTGGTGTGTTTCTTCCAGACTTTTCTAAGCGCATGTGTTTGTGTATGTGTGTATGGTTTTGCTTTTCTTTTAATGTAAATTGAATCATTCTGTATTTATTGTATAGCATATTTTAATTTAATAAGTCTAGGAATTTTTCTGTGTCTGATCTACTTCATTTTTTTGTATCTGATATTTGGCATTTTGTAGTACAGATACAACATAGTTTGTCTAATAACTCATCTGTTGATGAACATTTAAGTTCTATCTCATTCTTGCTATTATGAAAACTATTATAATTAATTTCCTTTTAACATGCATTTGGGGTCACATGTGCTCAAATATTTCTCGGAGATAGACAGATCCTTAGAAGTAGAACTTCTGGGCCAAGCAGTCAGCACATTTTCAAATGGAATGGGGTGTGCATGTGCAGGGACTATCCCAGCTTCAAACCCAGAAGCTTTGAGGATGCTGAGTCACAGTGATGACTGAGATGACCCTGTTACACCCGGCCTGATGCTTCTGCCCAGGACCAGGGGAAAACCCATGCATGAAGGGTTCATTTCAGCCTGCAGAAGAGACTTCCCTATTAGACCTCTGCAGACTGTAGACTTTCAACTGCAGACTGGGAGGTTACTAAGTCCTTAGCAGCTGAGTACAGAACACGATGGAAATGAAAACATGGTACAACAGAGGTTACAGCCCTCTCCTGACCTGATAAACTTCATGATGGAGCTAAAGATGGTTTGGGAAGTTTCTTTGAATCACAAGCAGAACTGTATGTGCTGTCTCCTCCTGTCTGGATCTACTCACTACTTGCTAAAGAGAAGAATTTTGGTTTGGGATAAATTTATGTGGATCTTCGCTTTGGTGCCATAAAGGTAAGTGCTAAAGATGTTTCTGGGGGAGAAGACTAAGCTCTCTTAAGTTAAAGGCAAAGAATCCTGCAAAATCACCAGGTGGTTAGGTGGATTCTTTTGTTCTGTTTTCCATTTCTTAGACGTGATGAGATCCCTAATAAGCCTTAAAAAGCCATCTTTTGGCGGCATAAGAATGACTTAAGGCTTTCGAGATGTTATGTATGAAAGTAACTAAAAGACTTGGGCACTTGGGCTGAAATAACCCATATGGAGTGCAACAGTTAAGAGAATTGCAATAAGTAGGAGAAAACAAACAAAAACTAAAATTTAGAATCCTTTTGGATTTCCTATTTTGTTTTACTAAAGAGAATGAACCAAAATAGAGAGTAAAACTGTTGGCTGAGATTTCTTTGTATAAAAAGCCAACATTCTAAGACTTACTTTTATAACATTATGGGATAAAATAGGATTTCTTTTATTACCTCTAAGAATAAAACTCTCCTCATCCTGCTAGGAAATGACTGGCTTTTCTATAGCCATAGTAACAATGATCAGAACTTGTTTAAAACATGCTTAACTGGCTGGGCATGGTGGCTCACACCCGTAATCTCAGCACTTTGGGAGGCCAACGTGGGTGGATTGCCTGAGCTCAGGAGTTTGAGAACAGCCTGGGCAACATAGCTGAAACCCCGTCTCTACGAAAATACAAAAAAAAAAAAAAAAAATTAGCTGGGCGTGGTGGTGTGCACCCGTGGTCCCAGCTACTCAGGAGGCTGAGGCATGAGAATTGCTTGAACTCAAGAGGTGGAGGTTGCAGTGAGCCGAGATTACACCACTGCGCTCCAGCCTGGGCAACAGAGTGAGACTCTGTTTCCCAAAAACCTCAAAAAACAAACAAAGAAACATACTTAATTGTTTAATCACAGCTTTGAGCCAGTACCCACACTTCTGAAAGTCAGGGAATCTAAAAGCCACTCAGCAATGGTTTAACTCCAGTAACCACACTTCCATAGCTAAAAGCAAACTAATCCCTAAACACTCCCACCTTTGAAAGTCCACCAACCCCAGATCTCCACATTTTCCACAGCCCTGTGTAAGATCAGCTCCCTGTGTTTCTCAAAAACAGACTATATCATAAACCATAGCATCCTGTGCTTACACTAGTGATACATTCAGCCTTTTGTTTCTGATATTGAGTGGTGATCTGTTCCTTTAACATTTCTTATTTATTTCCATATGGTCTATAGTAATGTCCCCTCTTTCACTTCTGATTTTAGTAATGGGAGTCTTATCTCTTTTTATATTGGTAGGCTAAAGTTTTAACAGTTTTATTGATATAGTCAAGGAACCAACTTTGGTTTTGTTGATTTTCTTTATTTTTCTATTCTCTATTTCATTTATTTCTGTTCTAATCTTTGTTATTTTATGCCCACTTCTTGTTTGAGTTGAGTTTGCTTTTCTTTTTTAATTTCTAAAGATAAACAGTTAGGGTACTGACTTGAGATTTGTTTTCTTTTTAATATAGGTGTTTACAGCTATAAATTTCCCTCTCTGTACTGCTTTAGCTGTATCCCATAAATTTGGGCATGTTGTGTGTTCATTTTCATTCATCTCAAATTATTTTCTAATTTCCCTTGTTATTCTTTTACCCATTGGTTATTTAGAAGTCTCTTGTTTAATTTCCACATATATGTGGAAGTAGCATTCAGTGATAGAGGTTTTATTATTTTAAAGATAGCACAGAAAAAGTGGACAGGTTATTTAAAACAAATATTGCTTAGAACCAAAAAAAAAATTTTTAGCAAGTTTACAAAAAAATGAAGCCCTCAAAGTTGAAATTAGACAAAGTTATGCAGATCATTCAGGAAATAAAAGGAGGATAAAAGGAATTAAATTGAATCATGCTATTTGAAATATAAACAGAAAGCACAAAATAAGAATTTAGTGTAAGTATTTTATTTTATTTACCATTAAGAATATATTAAATTGGCCGGGCATGGTGGATCACACCTGTAATCCCAGCAGTTTGGGAGGCCGAGGCGGGTAGATTGCCTGAGGTCAGGAGTTTGAGACCAGCCTGACCAATATGGTGAAACCCCATCTTTACTAAAAATACAAAAATTAGCCAGGCATGGAGGCCTGCGCCTGTAGTCCCAGCTACTTGGGAGGCTGAGGCAGGAGAATTGCTTGAACCTAGGAGGCGGAGGTTGCAGTGAGCCGAGATCGTGTCACTGCACTCCAGCCTGGGTGAAAGAGTGCCACTCCGTCTGAAATATATATATATATATATATATATATATATATATATATATATATATATATATAAAATTAATGCAGAAGAAATGGCATTTCAATAAATATTATTCTAGTAATGGAATCATTGTCTCATGACTGCAAAATGACTAAGTATTTTTACTACATGTGATAATTGAAGTCAGGTTTTGAGCTCAATGTTTTATTTGATTTTAGAAATATTTTAAACTAGCTTTTGATATATTAGAATTTATCTTTTTATCTTTATTCTTTCTCCCTCTCCCAGCTACATCAAGATATAAAATATAGCACATAGTAGGTTCATGATATATGTACTTACTATGTGAATGACAGCTATGTCATTTAGCTGACAGTTTTAATTTTCTTGCGAAGCGGTTTAGGTAGCCACTTTTGAGGACAGATAAATGATTAGGTTTAAAAAATTCAGATCATTGCCACATGTAAAACACATTAGTTTATGTAAGCATCCCAATGTTTGGTTAAAAAACCAAACCTCTACTGGAGAGAATCAGTAAAATTAGGACCATTAGTCAGACACACTATGACTCAGAATGAGCACTGCACTCTGAGATAAAAATGAGATCAATTTTAAGACAGTGTTTTCCGGATGTAAGTGTGCCTCATGTGAGTTTAGTGTGAGGAGGCTCCTCAGATAACAAACCTAACTCAAGTGGGACTTTGATACTGCCAGACCCTCATCCTATATGTCTCTGTTCTTTTCTCTCATCTCCTCTTCTCAATGACTTTTCCACACCTTCTCTTCACTCCTCAGTCCACCAATACCTCTTCCCATCGCCACTCCAGCAATCAAGTGATAACTCCCACAGACTGTCATCCCACAACCACCCACCTACCAGCCTCTGCACCCACACACTGCGCTTTCCTACCTGTGACCACAGATGAACTCCTCATGCCCTTATGTAAAGTCAGTCACAGCCTGGGCAACATGCAAAACCCCATTCCTAAAAATAAAAAATTAGCTGGGCATCTTGGTGTATGCCTGTAGTCCCAGCTACATAGGAGGCTGAGGTGGGAGGATTGCTTGAGCCCAGGAGGTCAAGGCTGCAGTGAGCCATGATTGTGCCACTGCCCTCCAGCCTGGGCAATAGAAGGAGACCCTGTCTCAAAAAATAAAAATAAAGCCATTCACTTCAAATCTCCCCTCTCTCCTCCATCACCAATTTTTCTCTCTACTGAATCATTCCCACCAGTGTACAAATACATTGTAATTTTTCCCACCTTAAACAAAAATTTTATCTCTATAAACTGCTGATTACATTTTAAAAATCAAGGGGCACAACACCTTGTATAGTAGTAGACTATAGTAGACTACTATTCATTCAGAAGGAGTGGAAATATAACTCTATAGTCATATTTATGTATCACATAGCAATATTTATAAATTATATATATGTGTAAACATGTGAAAATATCTTCTATTAAAAATAGAAAGAAAAATGTTTTAATGAATAAAAATGGTTTCTTTAAAGGGGATGCAATAGGTGGAAGGAGCAGGAATGGAAGCTAGAATTCACCAAAAATGCCTTATTTTATAATACTGACTTTAAAAATTGTTATAATTATGACTTTAAAAATTATAAGGGTGGTGGCTCACGCCTGTAATCCCAGCACTTTGGGAGGCCAAGGTGGGTGGATCATGAGGTCAGTAGATCGAGACCATCCTGGCTAACGTAGTGAAACCCCGTCTCTACTAAAGATACAAAAAAATTAGCCGGGCGTGGTGGTGGGCCCCTGTAGTCCCAGCTACTCGGGAGGCTGAGGCACAAGAATGGCGTGAACCTGGGAGGCGGAGCTTGCAGTGAACCGAGATCGCCAACAGAGCGAGACTCCGTCTCAAAAAAATAAAATAAAATAAAATCATGTACTCTGCTGGCCATGGTGGCTCATGCCTATAATCCCAGCACTTTGGGAGTCCAAGGCAGGAGGATTATTTGAGGTCAGGAGTTTGAGACCAGCCTGGCCAACATGGTGAAACCCTGTCTCTACTAAAAATACAAAAATTAGCCAGCTGTGGTGGTGCAAGCCTATAGTCCCAGCTACTTGGGAGGCTGAGGCAGGAGAATCACTTGAACCCAAGAGGTGGAGGTTGCAGCGAGCTGAGATTGCGCCACTGCACTCCAGCCTGGATAAGACAATGAGACTCCGTCTCAAAAATAATAATAATAAATCGTGTACTCTGCTGAGCTCTCTAGGTCCCCCGTCTCTCTGTGTGGGGGCCTCTCAGGCTTTTGTGACAGGAGGGGCAAATGCCTTCTCTTGGAGAACTCACTCCTGATAGAGCCTAAACCAAAGGTAGACCTTTCCATTATTGTTCCCAAGCAGAGACTCCAGGCACATCCCGGGTCGCTTTTGTCTTCCTTTCTCCCGGTTGCTGCAGCCCAGCAGGTGTTCTGTCTAGTCACTGTCTGCCCACTCTGCTGTTGGCTCCGCCTCCTCAAAGCCAAAAGGAGCAGTCACGAGGGCCATTGTTGCTAGAAGGGACCCAGATAACTGAAAGCTGTAGCTGTCCAAAGAGAAGCCTGTCTCAAAGTTTTCAGGGATTGTTCTGAAAACTTTGACATGTGCGCACTACATATGTGCTTGGGTCAAGCCCTGGACTGGTGCATTGGAGCTGAGGAAATACTGGCTTAGCCTACTTCAGGAGAAGCCTCTGATGGGCGGTCCTGCCAGCTTCAGGTCCACATCCACATTGCTGCTCTTTGACCTCCACTGATTCCATGAGCAGTTTGTCTTTGATTTTCTTGGAACTACGTCTACATTCTTTTCTAGAACAAAAGCATTCGTGATGTGTAAAGAAATCACGATTCATACTGTACAATCTCAATCTCATAAAACTGGATGTTATACCTATATTCACAGAGGACCTAGAAACTGTAAACTGCTTGTGATTGTAGGTGACTTTGTTCTTTACTTCTTGTGTTTTTAAGTTTCCTAAAATGCACATATTAACTTAAAAAATAAGGGTTATGTCACTAATCATTAGAGAAATGTAAACTAAAACCACAATGAGATACCATCTCACACTAGTCAGAATGGCTATTATTAAAAACTCAAAAAATAACTCATGCTGGCAAGGTTGTGGAGAAAAGGGAATGCTTATACACTGCTGGTGGGAATGTAAATTAGTTTAGCCACTGTGGGAGGCAGTTTGGTGATTTCTCAGAGAATTAAAAACAGAACTAACATTAGACCAGCAATTCCATTATTGGGTATATATCCAAAGGAATAATCACTCTACCATAAAGGCACATGCACATACGTGTTCATCACAGCACTATTCACAATAGCAAAGACATGAAATCAATCTAAATGCCCATCAACAGTAGACTGGATAAAGAAAATGTGGAACATATACACCATGGAATACTATGCAGCCATGAAAAGGAATGAGATAATGTCCTTTGCAGCAACATGGATGGAGCTGGAGGCCATTATTCTAAGTGAACTAATGCAGAACAGGAAACCAAATACTGCACGTTTTCACTTTAAGTGGGAGCTAAACATTGAGTACACATGGACACAAAGAAGGAAACAACAGACACCAGAGCCCACTTGAGGGTGAAGGGTGGGAGGAAAGTGAGGATCACAAAACTACCTATCAGGGCCAAGCACAGTCACTCATGCCCATAATCCCAGCACTTTGGGAAGCCGAGGTGGACGGGATCACTTGAGGCCAGGAGTTCAATACCAGGCTTGGCAATATGGCGAAACCTTGTCTCTACCAAAAATACAAAAATTAGCCGGGTGTACGTAGTAGCACATACCTGTAATCCCAGCTACTCAGGAGGTTGAGGCAGAAGAATCACTTGAACCCGGGAGGTGGAGGTTGCAGTGAGCCAAGATTGTACAACTGCACTCCAGTCTGGTAACAGAACGAGACTCTGTCTCCAAAAAAAAAAAAAAAAAAAAAAAGACAGTCCTGGGTTGCTCATTGCTCTATGATTGATTGTGAAGCCTAGCTCCCAGATTTTGAAGTGGTGACTGGAAAATGCTTTGTCTAAAATGAACATGGGACAAATGACCCTCCTGTGTGAGAGCTCCCTAATAAAGAATCTCAGAGGTCACCCCCATGAGCAGTACAGGAGTTGAACATGGACTATCATCATTCTAAAGGGTTAATGCTCAGTTAACTAGAGCCCCATCCCAGCAGATCCAATAGAAAGGTTTTCAATGCACCCAAAACGATGCAAACTGCACTTCCCTGGACATTGCTGCAGTCAGAGTGTGAGTCATGGGCTGACTGTCTCCACGTTAGGCTGAGTTGGGGGGTTTGAGTGACAGAAACTAAGAAGGTCATAGCCAGAGGAGCCGTAAGAGGCCATCCAGTCCAGCTGCCCTTTCTCCTCCCCATTCCTCCTTTCACTGCTTTGCTGACACCCCAGCGAAGAGGTGGTCCAAGGCTTTTCACTGCCAGGACTATCCAAGGGTCATATCAGGCTTGAGTCACCAGCAAAGCAGGGTCACCAAAAATACTTCCTGAGAGAATGTAACATTTGATATTTCAAAACATCATTCAAATAGTCCATCATAGGAAATATCAGAATTTGGCTGGACTGTCTCAACACTTATTTTATAGGTTAGGGTTCTTATTTTATTTTGAATTATATACTACATCTAAGTAATACAGCCCTGTGCTTAGGGCCAAAAGACATTTTCCCAGGGCACAGAACTTGCCCAAGCAGATCTTTCCTGTTGGGTTTTTACAGTGCTGGTGGGGAAGAGGGGTCAGAAAAACCAACCACCTGAATGTCCATCCTGCACTTTCTGTACGTCATCTCTCCCCATCAGACAGCTCTGCCAGGAAGTGCTTATGCCCCTTCAACTAATGAAGAAAACTGAGGTCAGAGAAGGCCAGGCCCTCCTTCAAGGTCACAGTTGGTGAGTGAGAGCAGAGGCTACTCCTGGAGCCTGGCAACCCACAGTCCTGCCTCCTGGGCCAGCTCTAACACTCTTGCTGTGACTGTGGGTCTCTGAGTCTTGATTTTCTCATCCGTACAGTGAGGGGTTTGAGGAAATCATCTCTGAGATGTTTCCAAATCAATGAGCTATTTTCTGAGTGTCCCTCTGCGTTTTGCAGAGTGGGGGTTCAGAGACAGATGTCACATGACCCACACCCCTAAGGGTGAGGGCTCTCGCACTGAGGGAGCACTGCAGCAGAGCCAGGTTCTTGACCTTCATTATGTCATGTGCACCTTAGTGGTTACGTGTGCAGACTCGGGAGTCAACCCCTGCTCCTAACTCCAGCTGTGTGACATTGAGCAAGTCACATTCACCTCTCTGAGCCTTTTGGCCCTGATCTGTGACCTCATGGGATTTTCTTTATGTAGAGAATGCTTAGGTATGCTTACAAAGAGCCTGGAAAATGAAAGAGCTCAAAGTTTTCTAGTGTTTCCAGTGGTTCCTGCTGTCATCAGCCTTTTCTCCCTGTGGGAAGGCCTTGGCCAAGAAGATTTGAATCCCATCTGTGAGTGCATCCATTGCCCAGACTTGCCAGGATATCTGGCCAAAGGCCTCACAGCCCAGGCATGCACCTGGATCCTGGGCACCTGCCTATGTGCACACCCCATCTGTCTTTCTGGATTCCTGGCCCACGCTCCACATTCCCCCATCTCTCTACCCCTGTCTTCCTATCCTAGTCTTTGCTGAACTCTGGGCACTTTACCCCCAGTTCACTCATCTGCCAAGCCCGTCCCCTTTGTGTCTCCAAATCTGGCCCCAGAGGGAAGAGCCAGGTAGGTGTTGAGCTGTGTCCCATTAAACCCTCTGGCCCTTCCCTTCAGCTAGGCCTGCTGGAGCCTCTCCCTCAAGATGGTGCTCCTTTGGGCACTGTGCCCCCAGGCACCCAGGACTAACTTTTTGGGCCCTTGTGGAGCAGATGTTGGGAGGAGACTTGCCCCTGGAATTTGCCAATAATGAGAAAAACATCATTAACAGCCCTCATGGGTTCCAGAACTTTACAACCAATGGGGCAACTTTTAACTACCTTATTCCATCTGGTCCTCAGAAGAGCCAGGGGAGATAGACAGCCAAGAGGAGAAAACTGAGGCCCAGAGAGGTGAAATGATGTACCAATACTAACACAGATGTATCATATTAGGGCTGCAATTCAGACCCAGGGATTCATTCCCAGGCCTGTGCGCTATCGTATTCCATAGAGATTAAGGGCACAGCGTCCAGAATTAGAAAGCCCTGGGTTTGAATATCAGTTATAATACATTTTAGCTATGTCACCTTAGGTAAGTTAGCCTCTCTGAGTCTGAGTTTTCCTTCTGTAAAATGGGGAGGACCTTCTGGGGCAAGTCTTATGTGCTAGAAAACAGTGTCTTTTTGTCCATATGCACCACATTGCGTTACTTAGGATCCATTATATAATTTCAAATAAAACAAGAACCCTACTCTGTAAAATAAGTGTAAGAGAGTCCAGCCAAATTCTGGTATTTCCTGTGATGGACTAATTGAAAGGTGCTTTGAAATATCAAAGGTCAAATTATCTTAAGAAGTATTTTTGATGCCCCTGATTTGCTGGTTACCCATGCATGTGCCTGGCCAAGTCATCCTCTCCACTTGGTTGTTTCATGCCTCTTTTGCTGTGGATGCTCTGAGAATTGAGATTTCTCCAAAGTTCTAACACTTCTGTGATTAAGCCCTTTGCTTAGTCTTCAGCTCGTCTGCCCTCTGCAGAGGATGCTGTCAAGGAGAGCCTCTGACTCTCACACTTTGCACTGGGGATTAATACATCTGAGTCTGTTGTTTTCTCTCTACCCTTCAATACATCATTGTCCTTTTAGCAACATCCTCCAATCCCACAGTTCTTAAGGTTTTTACTTCTGCCACACCTCTAAAACACTAGAGATGATGCACAAGCTTTTGCAGCTGCTTTATCTAGGTCCCAGCCAGCTTGCAGCAGGTAAAAGTCTTAGCAATCACATTCCTGTAGCATAGGCCGCAATCTCTTGTTTACCATCAGTGACAGGGCCCTCATTGCCATTCAGATAGTGAGCGATCCACTTACAGAATCTCATCCTCAGAATCTGTCTTCAAGAACTACTCCTGGCACCAACTTTCTTGGGCTCGGCTTCCCAGAAGCAGAGCCAGAGAAAGGGATTCTTGTGCAAGTGATTTATTGAGGGAGTATTCTCAGATGAGACCTGTAAGGGAGTGAGGGAGGTGGGATAGTGCAGGAGAAGTTAGGCAAATATGAGTTTCAACTGAAATTGTACCTCATTCCACAGGTGCTCTGGAGTGTGAAAGGCACTATAGCATTGTTCTACCTTGGAGTGGAGGGATACCTTTTATATCCCCTCATCAGTTAGTCATCACTATAGGTTATCCCTGGGGAAAAGGTGTAAACTACAAGACATTTTTCCTGGCAGGAAAAATTAGTTGAAGGCAACTCTCTAGAGAATAACATAGCTGTGAGCTGTTAGCAGCTAATATTCATAGCAGATACATGGATTACCAACAGTGACTTCTACATATGGTATTTACCCTTCTGTGTCTGGTTTTTTTTTCAGTATTGTGTTTATAATATTGTTGAGTTTGTTTTATAATGTATAGTATACATTATAAAATGGTGCGAATATACAATCTATTTAGCCATTATATTATTAATGAACATTTAGCTGGATATAAAACTGTAAATTAAAGTTATTTTTCTTCAGTACTTTAAAATTATTGCTTCTATGTGTTTTTGTATCCAGTGCTCCTATTAGGAAATCTGGTATCAATCTGAATCTTATTTCTTTGTAGATGATCTGCTTTTTCTTTCTGGAAGTGTTCAGAGTTTTTAAAAATTTGTCAGTAATTGATCCAGAAGAGATGTTCATAGTGATGAACTTCAAAAAAAAACTTTAAAAACAGAAAAGATAAAATTAAGCAATGTAGACTTCTGCTTTCATGAAGATGGAGTAGATGTACTTTTCTCTGTTCCTCCTGCTAAGTACAACCTAAAATCCTGAATATTATGTATAAATCAAACAAAAGAAGACTATGAAAGGGAGAAAGAAGAAGGCAGAATGGCTTAGGACCTTGGGACACAAAGAACAGCATGGTACTGGGTTCCAGGAATTTTCCTTTTGCTTCATAAATCTCAGACTTAGAGCTGAAGAAGCTAGCAACCTGGAAATGTCAACAGGTTCAAACAAACAAAAAAAAGCCAATGAAAGGGTAGTCTGTTTAACCCCAAAAGGCCAGAACAGGGGCAATTAGCGAGACAGGAAACTTTTAGTAAACAACTTTTGTATACTTGCCAAATACCACAGAGAAAACTGTGGCTCAACTTCCACCTCCACCAGCAAAAGCCAAATGGGGAGCCTAAACTTCCACCAGTTCCAGGCTGATATTAGGTACTTCAAGCTCCCCTACAGCCCCTTCACCATTGTGTCAGAGAATTATCTGATGAAGATTTTAAGGCAGTCATTATAAAAATGCCTCAATGAGCAATAACAAAGGCACTGGAAACAAATTAAAAAATCGAATTTTTTTTTTTGAGGCAGAGTCTCACTCTGTCACCCAGACTGGAGTGCAGTGGTGCAATCTTGACTCATGGCAACCTCTGCCTTTCGAGTCCAAGTGATTCTCCTGCCTCAGCCTGCCAAGTAGCTGGGACTACAGGCATGTGCCATCACACCCAGCTAATTTTTGTTTTAGTAAAGATGGGGTTTCACCATGTTGGCCAGGCTGGCCTTGAACTCCTGACCTCAAGTGATCTGCCCACCTCAGCCTCCCAAAGTCCTGGTATTACAGGCATGAGCCACCATGTCCAGCCAAAAATTAGAAAATTTCAACGAAGAAATAGAAGATGTAAAAAAGAACCAAATGGAAATTTTAGAACTGAAAATTATTATAAAATAAAAAAATCAATGGATGGGCTCAACAGAAGAATAAACAGAGGAAGAATCAATAAAGAGAAAGATAGAATAAAAGAAATCACCAGTCTGAACAGTGATAAACAGACTGAAATAATAAAGCTTTGGAGACCTGTGGAAGGATAGCAAAAGATCTAGTGTCATTGAAGTTACAGAAGAATAGGAGAAATAGGTAGAACTGAAAAAAAAACCTACATAAATCATGGCTAAAGACTTCCCGAGTTGGGTAAAGAACATAAACCTACAGCTTTAAGAAACTAAGTGAACCCCAAATAGAGAACCCCAAGGAAATACACCCTAACATACATCATAGTCAAACTTCAGAAAACTAAAGACAAAGAAGAAATCTTGAAAGCGCATGAGGGAAATGACACCTTAGCTGTAGGGAAAAAACAATTTAAATGACAGTAGGTTTATCATCAGAAACTATGGGGGCCAGAAAGAAGTGGAACATTTTTGAAGTTCTGAAAGAAAAGAACTGTATAACCAAGAGTCCTTTATCCAGCAAGAACATTCTTTGGTAATATAGAAGAAGTTAAGATATTCTCAGAAGAGAGAAAACTAAGAGAATTTGTTACCTGAAGACCTATTCTAAAAGAATGGCTAAAGAAAATTCTCTAAGCAGAAAGGAAATGATAAAAGAAGGGCTCTTGGGACATCAGGAAGGAAGAAAGAAAAATGAAAATAGTAAAGATATTGGTAGATAGATTTTTCTTTTCCTCTTGAGCTTTCCAAGTTATGTTTGACAATAGAAGCAAAAATTATAAACACCGCTGATATGGTCTTAAGTGTATATAGAGGAAAGATTTAGGACGATTATATTATAAAAGAAGGAGTGTAAAGGAAAGGAAATTTAGGTAAGATTTTGTGAGACAAAGTAACAAACATAAGAAGCCACGTTTGCCCATTTCTGCTTGCCTGCATAATTTCACAAAGCCCTGACTCTATGACAAGTGCAGCTCTCCAGAGAGATGCTTTGAAAACAAGACGGGATAGAGCACATGGCCCCTCATGTCTCTTGCCTGAGTGACTACATTCCTTAAAAGACAAATGACTGCAGTAGTCTGTTTTCATGCTGCTATGAAGAAATACCCAAGACTGGGTAATTTATAAAAGAAAAGATGTTTAATTGACTCACAGTTCCCTGTGGCTGGGAAGGCCTTAGGATACTTACAATCATGGCAGAAGGCAAAGGGGAAGACAGGCACATTCCTCACAGGGCAGCAGGAAGGAGAAGTGCCAAACAAAGTGGGAAAAGCCCCTTATTAAACCATCAGATCTCGTGAGCACTCACTCACTATCACAATAACAGCATGGGGGTAACTGCCCCCATGATTCAATAACCCCCCACTGGGTCCCTCCCACAACATATGGGGAATATGGGAACTACAATTCAAGATGAGATTTCAGTGGGGACAGAGCCAAACCATATCAATGACTTTAGTCCTTGCCTTTTCCTACACATAAGATAACATCTGACAGGGTTAGTGATTATGCGTCTATAATCTATAACCAGATGTACTTTGGTAATCTATAACCAGATGTACTCTTGCCCCCAAACTTTGATGTGATTTTACATGTACTGAATCCCCTACTTTCTGTAGGGGATCAGAAGCACACTCTTCTGTAGTGTAGATTAGAGCACACTCTGAGCTAAAACACTTTCAGACCAGCCTAACAGAATCTCTCTGAACAACTCCTCTCAGGCTGTAGTCCTCATTCTACAGTCCTCAGTAAGAGTTCTGAATAAAACTAACTTTAAAGGCTTGATTTTTTTTCTTTAGTCAACAGTTTCTCTACTTCACTCAAAGTGATAAAATGTCAACAGCAATAAATTGTGATAAGTTATATATATATATATATATAATGTAATACTTGGAGCTACCATTAAAAATGCTACATGCAGAGATAACACTCAAAAACATTATAGATAAATCAAAATGGAATGCTTAGAAAATGTTCAGGTAACTCACAGGGAGACAGGATAAAGAACACAAAGAATTGAAAAAAAGAATAAACAGAAAGCAAAACATAAAATGGCAGACTTAAGGCCTACCATATCAACAATTACATTAAATGTGAATAGTCTAAATAGACCAATTAAAAGACACAGATTGGCAGAGTGGATTTTTTTAAATGACCTAACTATATGCTGCCTACAAGAAACCCACTTCAACTATGATAATAATGTTGGTTGAAAGTGAAAGGATAGAGAAAGATGTATAATACAAACATTAACTAGAAGAAAACAGGAGGCCAGGCATGGTGGCTCACACCTGTAATCCTAGTGGTTTGGGAGGCCAAAGTGGGAGGATCTCTGGAGGTCAGGAGTTCGAGACCAGCCTGGGTAACATAGTGAGACCTTGTCTCCACACACACACACACACACACACACACAAAGCCAGGTATGGTAGTGTACACCTGTAGTCCTAGCTACAGGGGAGGCTGAGATGGGAGGATCTTGAGCCCAGGAGTTTGAGGCTGCAGGGAGCCATGATTGCATCACTGCACTCCAGCCTAAGCAACAGAATGAGACCCCATCTCCTTAAAAAAGAAGGAAAGAAAAAAAAGAGTGGCTATACCAACATAGATAAAGTAGACTTCAGAGCAAAGAAATAATCAGAGACAGAGAGGGAAATTACATAGTGATAAAAGGGCCAATCTACTAAGAACACAAAGCAATCCTAAATGTGTATGCACAAAACAACAGAACTGCAAAAACTGATAAAACTGAAAGGAAAGGACAGATCCATAATTATAGTTACGTACTTCAACACTCTTCTCTCAGCAATTGATAGGACAACTAGACAGAAAATGAGTACAAATATAGAACTCCACATCACCGAAAGGGTCAACTGTGACATTTACAGAATGCTCCACTCAACAAGAAAAGAGTACACATTTTTTTCAGGCCAGGTGTGGTGTTTCACGCCTGTAATCCCAGCACTTTGGGAGGCCGAGGCGGGCAGATTGCCTGAGGTCAGGAGTTTGAGACCAGCCAGATCAATATGGTGAAACCGATCTCTACTAAAATAAAAAAATTAGCCAGGCATGGTGGCATGCACCTGTAGTCCCAGCTACTCAGGAAGCTGAGACGGGAGAATCACTTGAACCTCGGAGGTGGAGGTTGCAGTGAGCTGAGATCGTGCCACTGCACTCCAGCCTGGGCAACAGAGTGAGACTCCATCTCAAAAAAAAAAAAAAATACACATTTTTTAAGTGCCCACAGAACGTATATGAAGATAAGCCATACCATGAGCCATAGAACAAATCTCAACAAATATAAAAGAATTGCAGTCATACAGAATATGTTCTCTGACCACGACGGAATTAAACTAAAAATCAATAACAGAAACGTAACAAGAGAGCCTTCAAACACTGAAAATTAAACAACATATTCCTAAATAATTCATGGGTCAAAGAGAAAATCCCAAGGGAAATCTTAAAAAAAAAAATAATTTAAACCTGGTTTCAATACACTGTACCAAGGGTAATTTAAAAATACATTGAACTGGCTGGGTGCAGTGGCTCATGCCTGTAATCCCAGCACTTTGGGAGGCCAAGGGGGTGAATCACTTGATCCCAGGAGCTCAAGACCAGCCTGGGCAACATGGCAAAACCCCATCTCTACAAAAAATACAAAAATTAGCCAGACTGAGGTGGTAAGATTACTTAAGCCTGGGAGGTGGAGGTTGCAATGAGTTGAGATCGCACCACTGTATTCCAGCCTGGGCTTGAAAGATATTTTCACTGGGCTAGAATTCTGGCAGTTATTATTTTTTCAGCATTTTATAATTATTTCTGGAAGAAATAATTCCAAAGGCTCTGGCTTCCATTGTCACTATTGAGCAGTCTTTTTTTATCTGGCTACTTCTAAGTTTTCTCTTAGTTTTGTTTGTTTGTTTTCTACTACGTCATTATTATGTACCTAGGTAATATATTTCTTTTTATTTATCTTGCTTGGGTTTTCTTTTTTGAGCTCCTTAAATCTGTTGTTTGGTGTCTTTATACTTATGAACATTCTTAGCCATTTGCTCTTCAAATAATATCTCTACCCATTTGTGATGGTTAATATTAGGCGTTAACCTGATTGGATTGAAGGATGCCTAAATAGCTGGTAAGTATTGTTCCTGGGTGTGTCTGTGAGGGTGTTGCCAGAGGAGATTGACATTTGAGTCAGTGGACTGGGAGAGGAAGACCCACCCTCAATGTGGGTGGGCACCATCCAATGGGCTGCCAACTGGCTAGAACAAAGCAGGCAGAAGGTGGGTGGGATAAGCTGGTTTCCTGAGTCTTCCGGCTTTCATCTTTCTCCTATGCTGGATGTTTCCTCCTGTTCCTTCTTCCCTTGGACATCAGATGCCAAGTTCTTCAGCCTTTGGATTCTTGGACTTACACCAATGGTTTGGTGGGGGTTCTCAGGCCTTTGGCCACAGACTGAAGGCTGCACTGTCGGCTTCCCTGTTTTTGAGGCTTTTGGACTCAGGCTGAGCCACTGCTGGCTTCTTTCTCCCTCAGCTTGCAGATGGCCTATCATGGGACTTCACCTTGTGATCATGTGAGTCAATACTCCTTAATAAACTCCCCTTCATATGTACATATATCCTATTAGTTCTGTCCCTCTGGAGAACCCTAATACACCACTTATTTCTCTCTTTCTGGGAATAGGATTAACATATATCAGACCTTTTTACTTGAGTCTTAGGTTCATACTCTCTCTTTTGTGCTTTTTATAGTTTTTGTCTTTCTAAGCTTCATTTTGACCTGTCTTCCAGTTCACTAACTCTTTTTTCAATTGTATCAAACTTACTATTAAAGTTGTTCATTGAGTTTTGAGTCTCAGCTGTTTTATTAGTTATTTCTAAAAGTTCTATTTCATTCTTTTTTCAAAAGTTTTAGGTCACTTTTTATATTTTCTTGTTTTATTCAAATATTTTTAATCATCTTTTATCTATTTAAACATAATAAGAATAGTTTTGTATGTGACTGTTTATTCCAATACTCATTTATGTTTTTCTGCCTAGTCTCACTCTGGTGCTTTTATTTATTTCCTTGTGGGCCTGGTGGATCCTTTGAGCCCAGTAGTTTGAGACCAGCCTGGACAACATGGTGAAGCCCTGTCTCTACAAAAAAATAAATAAATAAGCTGGGCATGGTGACATGCACCTGTAGTCCCAGGTGTTCCTCAAGAAGCTGGAGTGGCAGGATCTCTTGAACCCAGGAAGGTGGAGGTTGCAGTGAGTCAAGATCACAGCACTGCACTCCAGCCTGGGCAAGAGAGGGACACCCTGAAAAAAAAATGAAAGGTAGAAAGAAAGAAAAAGAGAGAAAGAAAGAAGGAAGGAAGGAAGGAAGGAAGGAAGGAAGGAAAGAAGAAAGAAAGAAAGAAAGAAAGAAAGAAAGAAAGAAAGAAAGAAAGAAAGAAAGAAAGAAAGAAGAAAGAGAGAAAGAAAGAAGAAAGAAAGAAAGAAAGAAAGAAAGAAAGAAAGAAAGAAAGAAAGAAAGAAAGAAAGAAAAGGAAAGAAGGAAAGAAGAAAGAAAGAAGAAAAATAATTTAAATCTAGGGATGAATCAAATTTCTTCTAGCAGAAAAATAATTTAAATCTAGGGATGAATCAAATTTCTTCTAGGAGGATTTATGTTTGTTTTTATCAGGCACTTGAGGACACTCCAGGACCACCTTAAGCAAAGGTAAGTTATGAGGTTCCTTAGACTACCCAGGAGATATGATCCTGGGATCCAGATCTTCAGAAGGTCTATCATAATTCTGGCTCACTGATTAAAGGATGTAGCCCATTGAAGTTCAAGGTTATTGTGGTGAAGTAACTCTTCATTAAATTCTCCACCTTAAGCATCTTTGGTCTTTTATTTCTGTCCCCTCCCACTTCCCCATCCCATGAGGCAAACAAGTAAAAATCTGAATTTTCAAGGTTAGAAATGTTTGTTACTTTGTCTCACAAAATTCCCTCAGAGAAAATTCCGCTTCTTTTCTTTGCCTGTCTGTATTCCTTCCAATTTTGGCCTCGTTGTTCCATAGTATCTTATCAACTCTATAATGTAACTTTTACATTTAAATATGCAATCTAGAATTTTTCATTCTTTTCACTGGGAAGTTTAATCTGAATAACCTAATCCACCAGAACCCACCACTGAACAATTTCAAAAGAATAAAAAACTCAAGGATCAAACTGAGTTAGTTTACTTTTTACAGGCTTAAGTGAAGTACATTTAAAAGGCAGGGAGGGGGCCGGGTTGGGTGGCTCACTCCTGTAATTCCAGCACTTTGGAAGGCCAAGGCAGGCGGATCACCCAAGGTCAGGAGTTCGAGACCAGCCTGGCCAACACAGTAAAACCCTGTCTCTACTAAAAATACAAAATTAGCTGGGCATGGTGGTGTGTGCCTGTAATCCCAGCTACTCAGGAGGCTGAGGCAGGAGAATCACTTGAACCCAAGAGACAGAGGTTGCAGTGAGCTGAGATTGTACCATTGCATGATCTCAGCTTGGAGAATGAAAATCCGTCTCAAATAAAAAAAAAAGAAAAAAGAAAAGAAAAGAAAAAAAAGAGGCAGGGAGTACAGCTAGAAGTAGATAAGAAAGTATATAGCTGTCATGCAAACCTACAACTATATGATTGCTAATGCCCAAATTAGAAATTCATCACATGCATTGTAAAAACTGCAGCTTAATCAAATACTGCAAATACCCAAATACAGTCTGTTTTATGGTCAGTGTTGCTCTGATTCGCAAAGAGTGAGACTGTGGCAACTGGATGAGGATATATGGGAAGAGCCAGAGGAGCTGAGGATGCTTGACTCTCCAGCCTCCTCTGAAACACATCCTACCCTATCCTTCACACTTTCACACTTGATAAAGGTGGCAGAGCCTTTAATTATGAAGCCAGCCCAATGTTTAATGTTGAAATCCCAGAGTTTGCAGTGGAAGTGGCAATATGCAATGACAGATTAGGAAAGACAGGGATCTGCTCCCCCATTATCTTGTTCCCCTACCCACATTAGTCTATTCTGCAACAGGGCCTGAGGCTCAGTCATTAAGGAAAGGATAACAGGTATGGAAGGAGCAAGGGTTTAGTTAAGGGGGTTGACACTAAGTAAAAGTAATCTTGGGGGTTCTCCACTGTAGACCAAGAACAGCTCTGAAAAATCAGCATTATTCCTGATAGTCCAACTGTCCCCTCTACCAAATTATACTTCTAGATATGGGCAATGCAAATTATATGTTAGCCTTTTTAGATTATGGTTTTAAGGACTTGAAGGTTCAAAATATGACCTTTTCAGCTCGGAAGCCAAGATGGCCAAATAGGAACAGCTCCAGTCTACAGCTCCCAGCATGAGTGACACAGAAGATGAATGATTTCTGCATTTCCAACTGAGGTACTGGGTTCATCTCACTGGGGATTGTTGGACAGTGGGTGCAGGACAGTGGGTGCAGTGCACCGAGCGTGAGCCAAAGCAGGGCGAGGCATCGCCTCACCCAGGAAGCACAAGGGGTCAGGGAATTCCCTTTCCTAGCCAAGGAAAGGGGTGACAGATGGCACCTGGAAAATCAGGTCACTCCCACCCTAATACTGCGCTTTTCCAACAGTCTTCACAAACGGCACACCAAGAGATTATATCCCGGGCCTGGCTCAGAGGGTCCTACACCCACGGAGCCTTGCTCATTGCTAGCACAGCAGTCTGAGATCAAACTGCAAGGCGGCAGTGAGGCTGGGGGAGGGTTGCCCGCCATTGCCGAGGCTTGAGTAGGTAAACAAAGCAGCTGGGAAGCTTGAACTGGGTGGAGCCCACCACAGCTCATGGAGGCCTGCCTGCCTCTGTAGACTCCACCTCTGGGGGCAGGGCATAGCCAAACAAAAGGCAGCAGAAACCTCTGCAGACTTCAATGTCCCTGTCTGACAGCTTTGAAGAGAGTAGTGGTTCTCCCAGCACGCAGCTTGAGATCTGAGAACGGACAGACTGCCTCCTCAAGTGGGTCCCTGACCCCCGAGTAGCCTAACTGGGAGGCACCCGGCAGACTGACACCTCATACGGCCGGGTACTCCTCTGAGACAAAACTTCCAGAGGAACAATCAGGCAGCAACATTTGCTGTTCACCAATATACGCTGTTCTGCAGCCTCTGCTGCTGATACCCAGGCAAACAGGGTCTGGAGTGGACCTCCAGCAAACTCCAACAGACCTGCAGCTGAGGGTCTTGACTGTTAGAAGGAAAACTAACAAACAGAAAGGACATCCACACCAAAACCCCATCTGTACGTCACCATCATCAAAGACCAAAGGTAGATAAAACCACAAAAATGGGGAAAAAACAGCAGAAAAACTGAAAATTCTAAAAATCAGAGCACCTCTCCTCCTCCAAAGGAATGCAGCTCCTCACCAGCAACGGAACAAAGCTGGATGGAGAATGACTTTGACGAGTGGAGAGAAGAAGGCTTCAGGCGATCAAACTACTCCGAGCTAAAGGAGGAAGTTGGAACCCATGGCAAAGAAGTTAAAAACCTTGAAAAAAGATTAGATCAATGGCAACTAGAATAACCAATGCAGAGAAGTCCTTAAAGGACCTGATGGAGCTGAAAACCATGGCACAAGAACTACGTGACGAATGCACAAGCTTCAGTAGCCGATTCGATCAACTGGAAGAAATGGTATCAGCGGTGGAAGATCAAATGAATGAAATGAAGTGAGAAGAGAAGTTTAGAGAAAAAAGAGTAAAAAGAAATGAACATAGCCTCCCAGAAATATGGGACTATGTGAAAAGACCAAATCTACGTCTGATTGGTGTACCTGAAAGTCACGGGGAGAATGGAACCAAGCTAGAAAACACTCTTCAGGATATTATCCAAGAGGTCTTCCCCAATCTAGAAAGGCAGGCCAACATTCAAACTCAGGAAATACAGACAATGCCATAAAGATACTCCTCGAGAAGAGCAACCCCCAGACACATAATTGTCAGATTCACCAAGGTTGAAATTAAGGAAAAAATGTTAAGGGCAGCCAGAGAGAAAGGTTGGGTTACCCACAAAGGGAAGCCCATCAGACTAATAGTGGCTCTCTTGGCAGAAACCCTACAAGCCAGAAGAGAGTGGGGGCCAATATTCAACATTCTTAAAGAATGTTAAAATTTAAAAAATTAAAGAATGTTAAAAATTCTTAGAGAAAAGCATTTTCAACCCAGAATTTCATATCCAGCCAAACTAAGCTTCATAAGTGAAGGAGAAATAAAATACTTTACAGACAAGCAAATGCTGGAGATTTTGTCACCACCAGGCCTGCCCTAAAAGAGCTCCTGAAGGAAGCACTAAACATGGAAAGGAACAACCAGTACCAGCCACTGCAAAAACATGCCAAATTGTAAAGACGATTGATGCTAGGAAGAAACTGCATCAACTAACGAGCAAAATAATCAGCTAACATCATAATGACAGGATCAAATTCACACATAACAATATTAACCTTAAATGTCAATGGGCTAAATGCTCCAATTAAAAGACACAGACTGGCAAATTCGATAAAGAGTCAAGACCCATCAGTGTGCTGTATTTAGGAAACCCATCTCACGTGCACAGACACACACAGACTGAAAATAAAGGGATGGAGGAAGATCTACCAAGCAAATGGAAAACAAAAAAAGGCAGGGGTTCCAATCCTAGTCTCTGATAAAACAGACTTTAAACCAACAACGATCAAAGAGACAAAGAAGGCCATTACATAACGGTAAAGGGATCAATTCAACAAGAAGAACTAACTATCGTAAATATATATGCACTCAATACAGGAGCATCCAGATTCATAAAGCAAGTCCTTAGAGACCTACAAAGAGACTTAGACTCCCACACAATAATAATAAGAGACTTTAACACCCCACTGTCAACATTAGACAGATCAATGAGACAGAAAGTCAACAAGATATCCAGGAATTGAACTCAGCTCTGCACCAAGCGGACCTAATAGACATCTACAGAACTCTCCACCCCAAGTCAACAGAATATACATTCTTTTCAGCACCACACCACACTTATTCCAAAATTGACCACATAGTTGGAAGTAAAGCACTCCTCAGCAAATGTAAAAGAACAGAAATTATAACAAACTGTCTCTCAGACCACAGTGCAATCAAACTAGAACTCAGGATTAAGAAACTCACTCAAACCCGCTCAACTACATGGAAACTGAACAACCTGCTCCTGAATGACTACTGGGTACATAACGAAATGAAGGCAGAAATAAAGATGTTCTTTGAAACCAACGAGAACAAAGACACAACATACCAGAATCTCTGGGACACATTCAAAGCAGTGTGTAGAGGGAAATTTATAGCACTAAATGCCCACAAGAGAAAGCAGGAAAGATCTAAAATTGACACCCTAACATCGCAATTAAAAGAACTAGAGAAGCAAGAGCAAACACATTCAAAAGCTAGCAGAAGGCAAGAAATAACTAAGATCAGAGCAGAACTGAAGGAAATAGAGACACAAAAAACCCTTCAAAAAAATCAATGAATCCAGGAGCTGGTTTTTTGAAAGGATCAACAAAATTGCTAGACCGCTAGCAAGACTAATAAGAAGAAAAGAGAGAAGAATCAAATCGATGCAATAAAAATGATAAAGGGGATATCACCACCAATCCCACAGAAATACAAACTACCATCAGAGAATACTATAAACACCTCTACGCAAATAAACTAGAAAATCTAGAAGAAATGGATAAATTCCTCGATACATACACCCTCCCAAAACTAAGCCAGGAAGAAGTTGAATCTCTGAATAGACCAATAACAGGCTCTGAAATTGAGGCAATAATTAATAGCTTACCAACCAAAAAAAGTCCAGGACCAGATGGATTCACAGCCGAATTCTACCAGAGGTACAAGGAGGAGCTGGTACCATTCCTTCTGAAACTATTCCAATCAATAGAAAAAGAGGGAATCCTCCCTAATTCATTTTATGAGGCCAGCATCATCCTGATACCAAAGGCGGGCAGAGACTCAACAAAAAAAGAGAATTCTAGACCAATATCCCTGATGAACATCGATGCAAAAATCCTCAATAAAATACTGGCAAACCGAATCCAGCAGCACATCAAAAAGCTTATCCACCACGATCAAGTGGGCTTCATCCCTGGGATGCAAGTCTGGTTCAACATATGCAAATCAATAAACGTAATCCAGCATATAAACAGAACCAAAGACAAAAACCACATCATTATCTCAATAGATGCAGAAAAGGCCTTTGACAAAATTCAACAGCCCTTCATGCTAAAAACTCTCAATAAATTAGGTATTGATGGACGTATCTCACAATAATAAGAGCTATCTATGACAAACCCACAGCCAATATCATACTGAGTGGGCAAAAACTGGAAGCATTCCCTTTGAAAACTGGCACAAGACAGGGATGCCCTCTCTCACCACTCCTATTCAACAGTGTTGGAAGTTCTGGCCAGGGCAATTAGGCAGGAGAAGGAAATAAAGGGTATTCAATTAGGAAAAGAGGAAGTCAAATTGTCCCTGTTTGCAGATGACATGATTGGATATCTAGAAAACCCCATCATCTCAGCCCAAAATCTCCTTAAGCTGATAAGCAACTTCAGCAAAGTCTCGGCATACAAAATCAATGTACAAAAACTACAAGCATTCTTATACACCAACAACAGACAAACAGAGAGCCAAATCATGAGTGAACTCCCATTCACAATTGCTTCAAAGAGAATAAAATATCTAGGAATCCAACTTACAAGGGACGTGAAGGACCTCTTTAAGGAGAACTACAAACCACCGCTCAATGAAATAAAAGAGGATACAAACAAATGGAAGAACATTCCATGCTCATGAGAAGGAAGAATCAATATCGTGAAAATGGCCATACTGCCCAAGGTAATTTACAGATTCAGTGCCATCCCCATCAAGCTAACAATGACTTTCTTCACAGAATTGGAAAAAACTACTTTAAACTTCATATGGAACCAAAAAAGAGCCCACATCGCCAAGTCAATCCTAAGCCAAAAGAACAAAGCTGGAGGCATCACGCTACCTGACTTTAAACTATACTACAAGGCTACAGTAACCAAAACAGCATGGTACTGGTACCAAAACAGAGATATAGACCAATGGAACAGAACAGAGCCCTCAGAAATAATGCCACATATCTACAACTATCTGATCTTTGACAAACCTGATAAAAACAAGAAATGGGGAAAGGATTCCCTATTTAATAAATGGTGCCGGGAAAACTGGCTAGCCATATGTAGAAAGCTGAAACTGGATCCCTTCCTTACACCTTATACAAAAATTAATTCAAGATGGATTAAAGACTTACATATTAGACCTAAAACCATAAAAACCCTAGAAGAAAACCTAGGCATTACCATTCAGGACATAGGCATGGGCAAGGACTTCATGTCTAAAACACCAAAAGCAATGGCAACAAAAGTCAAAATTGACAAATGGGATCTAATTAAACTAAAGAGCTTCTGCACAGCAAAATAAACTACCATCAGAGTGAACAGGCAACCTACAGAATGGGAGAACATTTTTGCAATCTACTCATCTGACAAATGGCTAATAACCAGAATCTACAATGAACTCAAACAAATTTACAAGAAAAAAACAAACAACCCCATCAAAAAGTGGGCAAAGGATATGAACAGACACTTCTCAAAAGAAGACCTTTATGCAGCCAAAAGACACATGAAAAAATGCTCATCATCACTGGCCGTCAGAGAAATGCAAATCAAAACCACAATGAGATACCATCTCACACCAGTTAGAATGGTGATCATTAAAAAGTCAGGAAACAACAGGTGCTGGAGAGGATGTGGAGAAATAGGAACACTTTTACACTGTTGGTGGGACTGTAAACTAGTTCAACCATTGTGGAAGTCAGTGTGGTGATTCCTCAGGGATCTAGAACTAGACATACCATTTGACCCAGCCATCCCATTACCGGGTATATACCCAAAGGATTATAAATCATGCTGCTACAAAGACACATGCACATGTATGTTTATTGCGGCACTATTCACAATAGCGAAGACTTCGAACCAACCCAAATGTCCAAAAATGATAGACTGGATTAAGAAAATGTGGCACATATACACCATGGAATACTATGCAGCCATAAAAAATGATGAGTTCATGTCCTTTGTAGGGACATGGATGAAGCTGGAAACCATCATTCTAAGCAAACTATCACAAGGACAAAAAACCAAACACCCCATGTTCTCACTCATAGGTGGGAATTGAACAATGAGAACACATGGACCCAGGAAGGGGAACATCACACACCAGGGCCTGTTGTGGGGTGGGGGGAGGGGGAAGGGATAGCATTAGGAGATATACCTAGTGTTAAATGATGAGTTAATGGGTGCAGTACACCAACATGGCACATGTATACATATGTAACAAACCTGCACGTTGTGCATATGTACCCTAAAACTTAAAAAATAATAAAAAAGACCTTTTCTAGACTGGTAACTACTTGAAAACCCTAATGGCTAGTACAATCATCATATTATCTCAGCTCAGTGAAGTCTTGACTCCTAGGTTTGGTAGCCCAAGACCAAGGTGGCTGGTTCATTTTCAGCTAATCCAGTGACATTTCAAATCAGACAGGCTGTGTGGTTTTGGAATCAAGTATATTCAGTGACTAGTTGTCAAGTTAACTGTTGAGGGTCATTAAGGGGGCCCAATTACCATACCTCTTTTCCCCACTTCAGTTCTGAATGAATTGTGGGTCTGAACAAAAGCAGAGGGCATGTAATATCACTAGGTTGAAGGACATGGCATATATCCAAGAGCATGGGACTTCTTAAAACGAAACTCCAAAATTAGAGAGATTCCTGCCCAGCCCTAGGCATGGTAGAACCACCCCAAATATCCCTGCATGAGAAAAAGCCTCTATAAAATGCCCAAATGGAGGAGCAGAGGAGCATGTAAGGAAGGAGGCGAGAGAGAAGAGAGAAGTTATGCTAAGCATATTCAGATTAGTCTTCCCAAGCAGACTTTAAGTCATCCTAAATGTCCCAGGATACAGTGGCCAATAGGACAAGAAAAGGTCAAAAGCATTCCATGAACTGAATTCCCTCCACATGGAAGAAACGTCAGGAAGAATCATTTCCTCAGTGCTGGCCATTTCTTTTTGAGCTATTCAGTACTTGTATACAGGGGATGCAGTAACTTGTTGGTTGACTAATGAGTTTTTTATTTTAGCTGTTCTCAGTGCTATTGAGGAATCAACTGAATTATTTCAGGTACTTGTTGCTACGATAGGAGAGACAATATCACTATCTGGGTAAAAGAAGGGTTTTACATTTCAAAACATCTCTTCTTGGGAGCATTGCTGACATATGGACAGATTTAATTGTACATAGATAAGGCATACATAACAAATGTTCCATTTTGTTCCTCAACCCATTCTTTCTGTTTTGGGAGAAAAAGCTAACCTTGCAATTGGCTGTGTTTCGTATTGGGAAACTGACATGTGTAACTGCCTAATGGCCAAGTATTTTGGGGGGGTTTCAATGAGTACTTCTTGGTCATAGTAAAGAATATGGCAAAGGAAGTTTGGCAATCTTATCAAGCAAGACAGAGAGACAATTCTGAAGTCTGAGACAGTCTGTCATTAAACCTAAGATTACAGTTTTGCCCAAGTTTACTCCTAGTCATTGTAATATTCCGGGAGGACTACTGTTTTATAGGGCAAGAGATCTGTGTTTGAGTCTTGGCTCTGGCATTGACTTGCTATGTGACATTGGGAAAGTGTTATGAGCCTCAGTTTTCATAACTGTAAAATGGGAAATGTAAAACCAGATGATCTGTTTTTTCCAGCCTTGATATTCTGGGACTCCTCATTCTAACCAAAAGGTTTTCAGATGTCTCCCAGTGACGATGGGAGTGAAAGCCATTCTTCTCCCTGTGAAACACTATGATATGGCCAACACTTCACCCTGTCATTCTCATGAGGCATAAGCTCCCTTGTACAGGATCTTATTGTGCATGGACCATATAAAATTACAACCAAGAACACATATGTAATTGAAAAGGAAAATTTGGCTGGGCTCGGTGGCTCACACCTGTAATCCCAGCACTGTGGGAGGCTGAGGCGGGTGGATCACCTGAGGTCAGGAGTTCGAGACCAGCCTGGCCAACATGGTGAAACCCTGTGTCTACTAAAAATACAAAAATTAGCCAGGCGTGGTGGTGCATGCCTATAATCCCAGCTACTAGGGAGGCTGAGGCAGGAGAATTGCTTGAATCTGGGAGGCGGAAGTTGCAGTGATTCGAGATTGCACCACTGCACTCCAGCCTGGGCAACAGAACGAGACTCCATCTCAAAAAAAAAGGAAAGGAAAATTTTTAACCAAGTATAATTGGCTTTCCACATTTTCTTTCTTTCTTTCTTTCTTTCTTTCTTTCTTTCTTTCTTTCTTTCTTTCTTTCTTTCTTTCTTTCTTTCTCTCTCTCTCTCTCTCTCTCTCTCTCTCTCTCTCTCTTTCTTTCTTTCTTTCTTTATTTCTCTCTTTCTTTTCTTTCTTTCGACAGGGTCGCACTCTGTCCCCCAGGTTGGAGTGCAGTGGCATGATCTCGGCTCGCTGCAACCTCTGCCTCCAGGGCTCAAGCAATTCTCCTACCTCAGCCTCCTGAGTAGCTGGGACTACAGGCATGTGCTGCCATGCCTGGCTAATTTTTGTATTTTTTATAGAGATGGGGTTTCACCATGTGCCCAGGCTCCTCTCAAACTCCTCAGCTCAGGTGGTCTACCCATCTCAGCCTCTTCCACATTTTCCAATTAATATATATTTGGTATTTATTTATTCCTCATCTCCACCACTAACATGTTATATAGCATATCCTAACAGATGTAATTCTGGCTAAGAGAGTGTTCTGGAAGGAAATGAAGAGACTGGTTATTTGGTCTGTCCTACCATGGGCATCAAACTATTAAGAGTGACAGTCAGATGTTTCCACTTAATGCAGAAATCTGTTTATGATACCGGGGTTAATTCCTTAACGGGTATATTAAAAAGCTAATTTGAAGTTTAGCTTGGGAATAATTGAACCCATACTCTGAACCGAGAATTATATGTAGTTTATTATACTATTGACATAAACATAAAACCATACCACAAAACCTAAAGGAAATACTAATTGCAATTTACAGCCAGGTGCCTGGAATCCTAGCACTTTGGGAGGCCAAGGTGGAAGGATGGCTTGAGGCCATGAGTTCAAGACCAGCCTGGGCAACATAGTGAGACCCCATGTCTACAAAAATAAAAATCAAAAAATTAGCCAGTCATGGTGGTGCATGCCTGTGGTTCCAGCTATGTGGGAGGCTGAGAAGGGAAGGTCAGTTGAGCCCAGGAGTTTGAGGTTACAATGAGCTATAATCACACCCCTGTACTCAAGCCTGTGTGATAGAGTGAGACCCTGTCTCTAATAATAATAATAATAATGAAAATTGCAATTTCCTCTGACTAAAAACTACCAAGAATCCGTGGCTCTAAGAAAGTCTTTGATCTTAGACTTGCCTGTATTCCTCATCTCTCACAGAGTCTGGTTCTACAGATGTCATGGGCTTGTTGCTTGTGGGTCTGCAGGATGTCATTTCCTCATATGAATACCCTTATTAATGGGGTTTGTGAAAAATTATCCACTTATTCAGTGTCCGGCTAAGTGCTGAGGCTTTCTTGCAGATTTACTTCCCTACAATATGCACCACAAAGTGCCAGCTTCCTGCTGTGTGCTCTCCTGACAATGGTGTTCCTTTCTGCCTGATTGGGACACACTGCAGCTCTGTCCATCCTTGCTCTGATCCTTGTGTGATTTCTAAGGAGAAGTGAGATTTAAACTCCTTTAGCAGTGTAGCAGGACAAGCCGCAGACAAAACTCCTTAGACACTGGATTAAAGAAGGAAGAGGTTTATTCGGCAGGGAGCATCAGCAGACTTGCATCTTAAGAGCCGAGCTCCTTGAAAAAGAAATTGTTGGCCTTTTCAAAGGCTTACAACTCTAAGGGGTCCACGTGAAAAGGTTGTGATAAATCGAGCAAGCCTGGGGAATGTGACTGGGGCTACACGCATCAGCTAACAAAACAGACAGTTTTGCAATGCTTTTTCATACAATGTCTGGAATTTAAAGATAACACAAGTAGTTTAGGTCAGGGGTTGATGTTATTATTATTACTTTTTTAACTCCTAGGGCCAGGTTGTGGTGCCAAGGTTGTCTGGCTACTTATCTTACTTCTGTTTCTTTCCAACTTTTTGCTTTCTCTCTTTCCTCCTGTCTTGTGAACTAGGCAAGGTGGAGGGGAGGAGGGCAGCAGGAGTAGTAGTGGTCTCCTTCCTTAGCAGGAAGCATCCCATTTTTTTTTTTTGAGATGGAGTTTTGCTCATGTTGCCCAGGCTGGAGTGCAGTGGCACAATCTCAGTTCACTGCAACCTCCATCTCCCAGGTTCAAGCGATTCTCCTGTCTCAGCCTCCTACGTAGCTGGGATTACAGGTGCCCGCCATCACACCCAGCTAATTTTTGTATTTTTACTAGAGACGGGGTTTCACCATGTTGGCCAGGCTAGTCTCAAACTCCTGACCTCAAGTGATCTGCCCATCTCGGCCTCCAAAAGTGCTGAGATTACAAGCATGAGCCACCACACCTGGTCATAAGCATCCCATCTTGATGGTCATCCAAACTAAAGATGAATCCTTCCAACTGGGCAGGAACATGGACAGTGTTACCACTCCCTGGTTGGAGCAGCTAGTGGTTTTCTTACCCAGTCTTTCCAAGCTCCCCAACCCTCCACTGCCTGTGTTGCTGATAAATGAGTACTTGCTAACAAATAAGTGATACTCAATGCCAAAAATATAAGAACTTACAGGAGAAAATTTTAACATTGAATTAAATGCTAACTTCTGAGCTCCTTCAACCCCTTTTGCTTCTCTTTGTCCTATCACCAGATGCTTTTTTCTCTCTGGGTCTGACTCCTACACTCAACTATAGATGCCTCCAGGGAAACAATTTTTGTCTGGTTCATTTCTGTCTCTAGCACCCAATATGAATTTTTATGAATGACTGAATGATAAAGTTTTATTCATTACATTAATGACGGATGAAAATTGTGAAGTCGGCCAGGCGTGATGGCTCACGCATTTAATCCCAGCACTTTGGGAGGCCAAGGTGGGCAGATCACCTGAGGTCAGGAGTTCAAGACCAGCCTGGCCAACGTGGTGAAACCCCATCTCAATTAAAAATACAAAAATTGGGGTGGGGGGAGGGGGGAGGGATAGCTTTAGGAGATATACCTAATGCTAAATGACAAGTTAATGGGTGCAGCACACCAGCATGGCACATGTATACATATGTAACTAACCTGCGCATTGTGCACATGTACCCTAATACTTAAAGTATAATAATAATAAAATAAAAATAAATAAAAATACAAAAATTAACTGGGTGTAGTGGCAGGTGCCTGTAATCCCAGCTACTTGGGAGGCTGAGGCAGGAGAATCACTTGAACCCAAGAGGCAGAGTTTGCAGTGAGCTGAGATTGTGCCACTACACTCTAGCCTGGGCGACAGAGTGAGACTCTGTCTCAAAAAAAAAAAAAAAAAAGGAAAGAAAGAAAAAAAGAAAAGAAAATAGTGAAGTCTGCAATTATTCTATAATTATTCTATAGTACTATTGGGAAAACTTCCTGATCCAGTATTTGAGAACCAGATTGTAGCTGTCTGCTCAAATAAACGAAACCAAATTAGATTGCTATAATTCATTTAAAAATATTTATTGAGTTGTTCTTCTGAGCTAGGTGCTGTCATTGGTATCCTGGGAGCTGAATTAGTTGGATCTAGGGATCTAGGGCCCCCAGAACACCCTAGCTCCTGGGGACATGCGATCTTGGTGATGGCTGCTTTGACATCCCTGTTCCTCAGCATGCAGGTGAGAGTGGAGAACAGGTGTGAGAATGGCATGGCATATACAGGGAGGGAAGGATGTATTAAAGAAGAAAGAAGAAGAAGGAGAAGGAGAAGAAGAGGAAGAGGAAGGAGAAGGAGAAGAAGAAGAAGAGGAAGACGAAGAGGAAGAGGAAGAAGAGGAAGAGGAAGAAGAAGAAGAAGAGGAAGAAGAAGACATGTACAACATTGCCCATGACGTGGAAGTCGAGGGGCAGGTCAGCGCTGTAGGCCACATAGGCTATGGCAATGGATGAGTAGTAGGTGCCCACTACCGGGAGATGGGAGCTGCAGGTGGAGAAGGCTTTGGAGCGTCCTTCTTGGGAGTTAATGCGAAGCACCGAGGTCAAGATGTGGGCATAGGAGAGAAGCACCAGGAGAAGGGGGAGGAAGGACACCACCATGGCGATGCAGAAACCCATGAAGGTCTGGGGGTGGTATCAGAGCAGGAGGCCTGGACCACAGCCAGATGATCACAGAAGCAGTGGTAGATGTCAGCAATGCTGTCAAATGCCATCTGGGAGGTCTGTACTACTGCTGGAATGGGCAGGAGGAGGGCAGTGAGCCAGGCACCGGTTGCCAAGACAGCATTGGTCTGTGGGTTCATGAGAACAGGGTATTGCAGTGGGTGGCAGATAGCTACATAGCGGTCATAGGCCATGACCACCAGGATGAAGGCTTCTGAGCAGGAGAAGCTGTGGAACAGGTACATCTGTAGGAAGCAGGCAGGGAAGCTGAGGAAGTGGTCCCCAAGCAAGAACAGGGGCAGCGTCTTGGGGACAGTGACTGTAGTGGAGAGGATGTCTAGGGCTGAGAGGTTTATCAGGAAGAAGTACACAGGCTTGTGAAGGCTGGCCTCTGCCATCACAACCACCAGGATCTGGTCATTACCCACCAGGATAAGCGGATAGATTAAGAAGAAAATCAAGGCCAGGCATGGTGGCTCACACCTGTAATCCCAGAACTTTGGGACGCCAAGGCAGGCAGATCTTTTGAGGCCAGGAGTTCAATACCAGCCTGGCCAACATTGTAAAATCCCATCTGTACTAAAAATATAAAAATTAGCCAGGCGGTAGGTGCCTGTAATCCCAGCTACTCCAGAGGCTGAGGTGGGAGGATTGCTTGAACCTGGGAGGTGGAGTTTGCAGTGAGCAGAGATTGCGCCATTGCACTCCAGCCTGGGCAACAAGAGCGAAGCTCCATCAAAAAAGAAAAAAGAAAGAAAGATAGAAACAAAGAGAGAGAGAAAGAAAGAGAGAAAGGAAAGGAAAGGAGAAAGAAGGAAGGAAGGGAGAAAGGAAGGGAGAAAGAAAAGAAAAGAAAAGAAAAGAAAAGAAAGGAAAAGAAAAGAAAAAAGGAAAGAAGAAAGAAAACCACAAAGACGGGAGTTGGGGGAAGAGGGACTCTGGCAGAGAGGGGATGCTGACCAGGCAGAAGACAGGCAAGGAGTCCTCTGATCCATTACAGGCTGTGGCCTCCACAGTGGGTCAGAGTTGGATGTCTGTAGACACACACTGGGAACATCTGGAAACCAGAGCAATCAAGGAAACATTCACTAGAACATGTATATTTTTCCTTTCCAACCATGGATCTCAGTCCCAACACTTTCTTTGTGCCAGGAATTGTATTGCACAATTAAGATTCCCAGAGTGGTGAGATGTCTAACAACAATGGCAGAAAGAGCTGGTCCTGTTCTGGGGGGAAGAGAGGTGGATACAAACACCTAAGAACTGTCAAAGAGAAGGAGCAACACTTACAAAGAAGTGGGGCCACTGTTAGCAGCTTCAGGGGCCCAGAGATCAATCCCACATATGGAAGCAGTTTCTTACCATTAGAATGACCCCATAATGAAGGCCGGGCGCGGTGGCTCATGCCTGTAATCTCAGCACTTTGGGAGGCCAAGGTGGGCAGATATCTGAGGTCAGGAGTTTAAAACTAGCCTGGACAACGTGGTAAAACCTTGTCTCTACTAAAAATACAAAAATTAGCCAGGCGTGGTGGCACATACCTGTAGTCCCAGCTATTCAGGAGGCTGAGGCAGGAAAATAACTTGAACTCTGGAGGCGGAGGTTGCAGTGAGCTGAGATTGCACCACTGCACTCCAGCCTGGGCAACAGAGTGAGACCCTGTCTCAAAAGAAAAAAAGAAAAAGAAAAAGAAAGAACAACTCCATAATGCAAAAACAGGCTTGATAATTAGTGAAGTCCATGTAACTAGAGGTTGCAAGGCTGAGGTCTTTTTCTGGAATGCTACAGAGATGTAGTACTTGGATAGCAGCTAGATTAAAAACCTTTAAGTGACCTTCTAACCCTAGATTCATTGCTTCTAAAAATAATAATAATAACATAAATGAATCACATGAACAAGATTGTAGCCAGGTACAGTGGCTCACACCTGTAATCCCAACACTTTTAGAGGCTAAGGCCAGAGGATCGCTTGAGGCCAGAAGTTTGAGACCAGCCAGGCAACATAGAAAGACCCCTTTTCTATAAAAAGTCAAAAAAGTTAGTCAGGCATTGTGACATGCACCTGTAATCGTAACTACCCCAGATGTGAAGGTAAGCCTAGGAGTTTGAGGCTGCAGTGAGCCATGATCACACCACTGCACTCTAAGCTGGGCAGCAGAGCAAGATCTTATCTTACAAAAATTAAAAAATAAGATTGCGGTGTTGGTGGGCAAATTTAACCTATTGGAGAGAAAAAAATCTGAGAGGCATCTGCTTGTGTTCAAATGCCAATTAAAAAATCAAGTAGCTCTTTTATTAGTTCAAGTAGCTCCTTTAAGGATGTCTGGTTTTTAGCCCAGTTCCCACTAGCACAGGTGAAGTAATCTTCTAGGTATGGTAATGTTGATGAATACACTTACCAGGTTTTGCCCACTCTAAGCACCAGGATCTTGACTGTAGTCATTTGACATAAGTCCATCCAGTCCAGCTATGCCTGCACGATTCCTGAATGGCGTTCTTTATCTTGGGACCTTGTGAAGACAGCAGAATCACTGGTTGGCAGTGAGTAAAGCTAAACTCTAGAGTGAAAACTATGTCGTTCATTCTAAGGTTCCCTTGATGGTGTGTTCCTCTCAGCCTGGAGGATTGTCAGGGGCCACCGATAAAGACTCCTAGCTCATGAGCTCTAGGGAACTGCTGGGAAAACTTCTTTGGGGATAGCCGGAACAATGGCTTCTGTCATGCTCTGGATTCCATTCCTCTTCTACGCCCCGCTCTATTCTCATCTCACTCTATCTGGGTCGGAATGTTATGTCTGAATCAGTGCCCTTTGTTTCAGTCTCTCCATTTCCATTCACATGAGAATTCCTTTTCTGTGATATCTTTCTCTTCAGCTGCTTCCTTCAAGAAGCACTTCAAAATGCTGTCTGCTTACCCCAGAAATAGCTTCCTCTTCTGTGTGCCTGTACAGGGGCTTGCTCTGTCTGTTTCTTTCTAGCCTGGGTGCCCTGGGACCTGTCTTTGTATCCTTTCTCTTTGTCATATCATACAGTGACCAACCATATTGATTTGCCCAGAACTGTCCTGGTTTCAGCACTGAAAGTCCCATGTCCTGTGAAACTCCTCTGTTGGTCACTCTCAGAGGGCAGAGACATTGTATGTGCCTTTGATAGAAGGAGTTATTTCCTGAATGGAACCCAAGTTGAAAATGAATTCACTCCCTATTAAGATAAAGCAGACCTGGGCTGGGTGCGGTGGCTCATGCCTGTAATCCCAACATTTTGGGAGGCTGAGGCAGATGGATCACCTGAGGTCAAGAGTTCAAGACCAGCCTGGCCAACATAGCGAGACCCTGTTTCTATAAAAAATAAAAATAACTTAAAAATACATTTTTTTAAAGCTGATAGGGGAGCTGATCTTGGTCAAGGCTACACAGAGAGCTATTGGCAGAGCCACACCAGAAACCAGATGCCTGCTCCCTGTTCAGGGCTCCCAGGTGTCCTCTGTGGGAGGGTCCCTGAAGCTTGCCTGTCTGGCAGCCCAGACAATACTGGGAGCTATCCATGTTCACATCTGCTTCCCTCACCAGACTAGGCGTTCCCTGGGGCCTGGGATGTGTTCTGACCCCTCTTCTACAAAATCAACATGTCAGTGGGGTCTGGGCACCTGGTTTCCCAGTTTTCCACAGGCAGACTGGACCATGACTGTCCTAACAACCTCAGAGCTTTCTGTCCAGTGCTGCTGCAGAATCAGACAACACTAGGCTCTATAGAGAGCTCCTAGTCCAGCTCCTGTATTGCTGCTGATACGCAGGGGGAGGCCCAGTGGGAGTTCTGACCCAGCCACAGTCACACAGATGGCAAACCAGCAGCATAGCCTGCCTGCCAGGAATGCTCTAAATCAGAGCACAAAGAGTTTGGCCCAGATCCCTTCTCTTAGAGCCCCTCTCCTAGCGGGATGAGGGTCCCTAACTGCCCACCTCCCCAGACGCTGCCCTCCCAGAGCCTAGCCCCTCCTTGGCTATGGCTGGCTTTGGGCACTTCACTTTCAGCCTTCATGCCCGAGACCTCTGCAGGTCAACCCAGCTCATCTGCCCAACCCAGGCCATGCCAGCTGCTCCTTCCTCTCCCGAAGTCAGTGCTGCCTCAGTGGGAAGAACCAGGTTGGAGCTGAGCCTATTTCCATTAAACTCCCAAGCTCTACCCCTTCCTGGCCTGCTGGGGCCTTGACCCCCAGAGGTTCCCTTTTACTGGGGCCCTGAATAATATTTTCTGGGGACCCCCAGGTGGCTGGTTAGCAGCTACCATGGGCTTTGCTGATAATTAGAACAACAAGATTAATAGTGCTTAGTGGGACACAGAACTTTATGGTCTATGGGGACTTTCCTATGTGTGGAGCAACCATTGGTATCCACATGTGGCAGATGAGGAAACAGGCTCAGAGGTGAAAGGGATTGCCCAAAGTCACACAGCAATCCAAACACAAGTCAGGATAGGAAGTCTCAGATTTCCTAACCCTCACTCCAGCCTCTGCACCAATGACACAAATGAAAAAGTTAGTGAAAATTTTCCGTGTAAATGTAAAAGGCTGTGCTATTGGTTGGTGGGACCCCTCAAGTGTATTGAAGCTGGAGGAACAAGCATGACAGAACAGAGAGCCACTCAGTCTTCCAAATCCTCACTCTCTTGCTCACTCTTGATCGTTCTTAGCGGCTGATATGGTTTGGCTCTGTGTCCCCACCCAAATCTCATCTTGAATTGTACTCCCATAATTCCCACGTTTTGTGGGAGGGACCCAGTGGGAGATAACTGAATCATGGAGGTGGTTTCCCCTCTACTGTTCTCTTGGTAGTGAACAAGTCTCATGAGATCTGATTATTTTATCAGGGGTTTCCACTTTTGAATCTTCCTCATTCTCTCTTTGCCTGCCACCATCCATGTAAGACGAGACTTGCTCTTCCTTGCCTTCTGCCATGATTGTGTGACTTCCCCAGCCAAGTGGAACTGTACGTCCAATAAACCTCTTCCTTTTATAAATTGCCCAGTCTCAGGTATGTCTTTATCAGCATCATGAAAAAGGACTAATACAGTAAATTGGTACCGATAGAGTGCGGCATTGCTGAAAAGATACCCAAAACTGTGGAAGCGACTTTGGAACTGGGTAACAGGCACAGGTTGGAACAGTTTGGAGGGCTCAGAAGATTGCCCAGTCTTGAGTATGTCTGTATCAGCAGTGTGAAAACAGACTAATACAGAGGCCTTATAATTCTAAGCCCGACCTCCTCCAGGGAGCCTTCTGTGACTTCATCTTCCTCCAGGCTCCAGTGCTCTTTCTCTCCTCTGGATTGACCAGGCCTGGCTGCCAATGCTGCCATTTTAAAGATTAAGATAACTGAGGTTCGTTTTTCATTCCACATTGAATAAGGCTGGCTTTGCACTGGGTGCATGGTCACAGGGAATTGACACAGTCTAGTGGGGTAGCCAGCCAAAACCCTGTCCATCATATCCACTGTGATCTGTGCTACCATAGAGCTGAAGGGCCCAGAGGAGGAAACAAAGCGACTTGCATCATGGAAGACATCTCTTAAATGGGTCATAAATTTCAAGCAGATGAATAGAGTGCAGGCCACAAAGGAGGGGGTAAACAAAGTCATGAAGTGTAGAAAAAGCAGGAGGTGTGTTAGAGGGGAGATAGAAGTTGGTTTGGGCTGCAATATAGAAGGAGAGACTGCGAGTCTCCAAAGATGAGGCTAAAGAGGTTGGCAGGGGCCAGAGGGAGGAGAGTCTTGAAGCCAAGAACAACCCTCAGCATGAGGACATTGGAAAGCCAGAACCAGGGCTCAGACAGAGGGCTAAGATAGTCAGCTACATGTTTGAGAAAGCTCATACCCACTGTGGCACGGGGAATGTCTTCGAGTAGGAGAGAGAGACCAGAGGCAGGGCAACCAGCCAGGAAGCTTGGTGGTGAGGAGAGGAATAGAGAGGAGTATTAATGACAATGATAGCAGATGATGGCTGCCCTTTATTGAGAGCTTACTTGTACTAATGGCTGTGCCCTGGTAGTCACATACTTCATTTCATTTAATCCAAGGAGCAATTTCCATTACCCTTGTTTTATGGATGAGGGAGCTCAGAGGGTTAAGTAACTAAGCCTGCTTTGGTCATTCTGCTGGATAAATAGTGAGTTAGTGTAGAGTCCAATCCATCTCCAAAGCCATGCCTCTTAACTATCAAAGCTTAGAGAATCTGGCTGGGCGTGGTGCCTCACGTCTGTAATCCCACTTTGGGAGGCTGAGGCGGGTGGATCACTTGAGGTCAGGAGTTCGAGATCAGCCTGGCCAACATGGTGAAACCCCAACTCTACTAAAAACATAAAAATTAGCCAGGGGTGGTGGCACATGCCTATAATCCCAGCTACTTGGGAGGCTGAGGCAGGAGAATCTCTTGAACCTGGGAGGCAGAGGTTGCAGTAAGCCAAGATCAAGCCACTGCATTCCAGCCCAGGCAACAGAGTAAGGAAAAAAAAAATTTGGAGAATCTTCAAGAGGTAGAATAGTCAGAATTTGACAACTGATTATGGAAAGGTCCAAGATGATGCCCAGTATTCTGGTTTGGGTGACGAGACAGATGGTGGTGATGTTGACTGATGTCTGGAGCTCAGGAGAGAGAGTGGATGCAGGCAAAGACTTGGGAGGCATATACTTATGATAGTGAACAAGATCACCTAGGGAGAGAGTGTAGTGTGAGAAGGACAGAACCATGGGGGGAAACAACATGAGACTGAGGCAGAACAAGAAATTTCTGTAAAAGATACTGAGAAACAACAGCCAGAGAGCGTGAAGCAAAACCAGGAGAGTGTTATATCACAGAAGCTCCCTAGGGCAGCTGTGGTCAGCAGCATCAAATGTTGCTGATGTGCCCAAGAGGACAAGAATCGGATGAAAAGTGTCTGTGGGGTCCAGTGATGAGGGGATCACTGGTGCCCCAGGTGTGAACAGGCCAGTGGAACAGTGAGCGTGGAAGGTTGGGAGTGAGTAAATGGAGAGAGAATAGATAACATCTTCAAGATGTTTAGCTGAAAAGAGATGTGGATGGTTGGAGGCTGATGAGATGTGTCCTAGGCAGTTCAGGGTTTTATAACAAAATACCTTAAACTGGGTCATTTGTAAACAACAGAAATTTATTGCTCACAGTTCTGGAGGCTGGGAAGTCCAAGATCAAGGTGCCAGTGGATCCAGTGTCTGGTGAGGGCTGCTCTCTGCTTCATAGATGGCACTTTCTAGCTGTGTCCTCACATGGTGGAAGGGACCAACAAGCTCTCTCAGGCCTCTTTTATAAGGGATGTAATCTCATTCAAGAGGGCTTTACCCTTACAAACTAATCACTTCCCAAAGGCCCCACCATTAAACACCATCACCCTAGAGGTTAGGTTTGCTTTATTAAAAAAAAGAAAATTTTTTTTGTAGAGACAGTATCTTGCTATGTGGCCCAGGCTTGTCTTGAACCCCTGGCCTCAAACAATCCTCCTGCCTTAGCCTCCCAAGTAGCTGGGAGCTGAGACCATGCCTGACCTTTTAAATTTTAATTTATTTATTCACTCATGCATTCATTTTTTTTTTTTTTTTAGATACAGGGTCTCACTCTGTTGCACTGGCTGGAGCGCAGTAGCACCATCATAGCTCACTGCCTCAAACTCCTGGGGTTAAGTGATCTTCCCGCCTCAGCCTCCCATATAGCTGGGATTACAGGCACATGCCACTATGCCCGGCTAGTGTTTTCCATTTCTGTAGAGACAGAGTCTCACTATGCTGCACAGGCTGGTCTTGAACTCTGGGCCTCAAGCAGTTCTCGCACCATGGCCTCCTAAAACACTGGGGTTACAGGTGTGAGCCACCACACCTGGCCAAGATTTAACATATGGATTTTGAAGGTCACAAACATTCAGACCATAGCAAGAAATCAGGGGGAATTTTGTTGTACTTTAAAAATTGGAGATATTTTAGCATATTTCCCACAATTCGTGGGTAGGAAGCAGCCAGTAGAGAGTGAGAGGATGAAGAGGATGGTCAATAGAGGAGGAGGAGGAGAGCTTCTGAAGCCAGTGTCTGGGCTCCCAGTGGGAGTGGGAGACAAGAGAGTAGAAAGAGTGCAGTAAAGGTCAGTGTGCAGATCTGGCGCTGCAGGGGGACGGCCTATCCTCACTTAAGACTGGAGTGGTAGGAGAATTTTGTGAAGATATTGAGACTGTAGAAGTGTTTGTTCCCCATTGAACGGGACTGGGAGGCAGTATAGTGGTTAAATGCTCCGATCTTGGTGCCAGACTAATTTGGATTCAAGCCTGGCATTTAGCTCTCTGAGAATCTGTTTTCTCTTCTGCAAAATGGAGGATTGATAATCAGGTATTTCTTTTTTTTTTTTCTTTTTTTTTTTTTTTTTTGAGATGGAGTCTTGCTCTGTCGCCCAGGCTGGAGTGCAGTAGTGCAATCTCTGCTCACTGCAACCTCCGCCTCCCAGGTTCAAGCAATTCTCTGCCTCAGACTCCTGAGTAGCTGGGATTACAGGCACCTGCCGCCACGCCTGGCTTTTTTTTTTTTTTTTTTTTTTTTTTTTTTGTATTTTTAGTAGAGACGGGGTTTTGCCACCTTGACCAGGCTGATCTTGAACTCCTGACCTCGTGATCCACTCACCTCGGCCTCCCAAAGTGCTGGCGTGAGCCACCATGCCCGGCCTCATCATCAGGTATTTCTTAAGTGCAAGCTCTGAGCTGGTGTAGTGCAGGTTGAGAAGAGGTAACAGTCACAAGCAGACGTCATAAACATTTCATCCAGGTTGCACAAGCCACTGTCCCTCTCCTGGGACCATGGGGAAGTCCAGACACTCACAGTCCATCCACTGTCTCCCTCCACAGAAATCGGAGAGGCACGGAAATGTCTTCAGCAGGAGCCCGTGTATTTCAGGAATACTTTTAAGCTAAGAACAAAAAAATAGCCCAACCCTTGAAGTTCCCCCTAAACCAGAGGCTGGCTGCCTGTGCCCTGTCCTGGCGCTGCTCTGCCCTGGAAACACTGGGAACGGTGGAGCTCTGTCTCTCTGTCTGGCCCCTACCGCCCTCACTCCCCCAGGTGTGCGAGGCTCCGACAGACGCGAGAGGCTGGAAAAGGAAAGTGCCAAAGGGAGGTTATGAATATGTCCAGAGAGAACCTGGGCCACCTTACCGACCATGCAGAGGAGGCCATGGAGCTCAGGGTAGGAGAGTCCAGAATGTGTCCCCAGTGCTGGGCCTCCGGCATACTCATCACCGCCACCATCCTCGCTGCCACCAGGGGGCAGTGTGGCCCCAGCGCAAGGGCATCAGCTTTGGGGGCCAAACGCACCTGGTCTCAAATCTCAGTTCCACGTACCACCTGTGTGTCCTTGGGCGCGCATGACTTCACTTCTCTCTGCCTCTGTTTCCTCTTTGGGAATGGGGGTAATAATAATGGCAACATTGGCTCGAGTGAGGTTTAGTGAGCTACTCTATGTGAGAGCTCTTTGCAAATCATCAGGTGCCTCAGTGCAATCGCCACCACAGCCACAGAGATTCCACCCGCTGGATGCCTTCCCCTCTGAGGTTTCTCACCCTGCAAAGCCTGAGACTCTTGCACTCAGTTTCTCTTTTGGATTATGCCAGTCCTGTGACAGGTGACCCTGGGTTGCCCCCATTCTTAGTCCAGTGTCTGAGAAGGGGAAGAAAAACTCCATTTGCATTGGAGCATTGGAGCAGCTCAGATGAGTGAACAGGAGGAAGGCTGCAGGCAGAGGAACTGGCTGATGGGAAGCTCCTCGAGTGAATGGCCAGCCTGCTCGATGCTGGTCAGCCAAGGACACGTGGAGAACTAGGGTATGACTGTGAGCACGTGTGTATTCTTTCAGGAGGAAGCAGGGAACACTTGGGTGGTGCTGGGAGGGATTGGAGGTCGTCCTTATCAGGTGAAGGATGGATCTGTGCTTATCCAGTGGTAAAAGGCAGGAAGGGCATTTGAGCTGAGGGAACTGTGCATATGCAGGCGCCAGGGATGAAAGTGCAAAAGGTAGGTTATAGGTGTGTGGTGATGAGCAGCAAATGTTAGGCTAAGAAATAGGCTTTGCTCTGAGGAGAATGGCTGGGCACAATAAGATTAGGGTTGGGAGCTGGGCAAGGTGTCTCACACCTGTAATCCCAGCACTTTGGGAGGCCATGGTGGGAGGATCACTTTAGCCCAGGAGTCTGAGACCAGCCTGGGCAACATAGCAAGACTCTGTCTCTACAAAAATAAAAATAAAAAAAATTAGCTGTGCATGGTGGTGCATGCCTGTGGTCCCGGCTACTTGGAAAGCTTGAGGTGGGAGGATTGCTTGTTTGAGGCTACAGTGAGCTAGGATGGCACCACTGCACTCCAGCCTGAATGACAGAGTAAGATCCTGTCTAAAAAAAAGATTAGTGTTTGGAAAGATGGCTCCAGTAGAATGTGGAGGATGGATTAGAACTAGGGAGACGGGAGTCACAGATGATTAAGGAGGCTGTGCAAGGGTTCTACAGGAACAAGGAGTGGTCTTTGAATTTAGGGAGAAGAGGGAATAAGACAGACAGAAATATGAAGGCAGAGTTGCCACACAGGCTGCAGGGATGGGGGCTGACTCTGAGGAGATGGGAGGGGCTCAGAACAGGGACCAGGGAGGGGCAGGTTTCCAGGCAAATGGTGAGCTCTCTGCTGAGCCGGAGCTGGGGTTCAAGCCCCTCCTGTTGTAGGAGGGAAACCTGAGATTTGACAAGGAAAGTAAAATGCCCAGGGTCAGTCAAAGGCAGCAGCTTAGTACTTGGATCATTCTGTATTCAACCTCATGGCTTAGGGACCAGTGGATAATGACTGAGTCCTCAAATTTGCCCTCTGAGACGGTTAAGTGCCATGGTTAGGGGCTTGGACTCTGGGGCCAGATTGTCTAGGTTAAGATCCTGATCTGCCTCTTACCAACTGTGTGACCTTGGCAGGTCTCTCTGTACCTCAGTTTCCTCATCTGTAAATTGGGGATTATAATAGGTTGTTTGGAGCATTAACTGAGCTGATACAAGTGCTTAGAACAGTGCTTGGCAAATAATGAGTGTTAGTCATGATCATTGCATCCATTTTGAAGAAGAAACTGAGGCTTAGAAAAATGAAGTATCTGCCCCATGCCACACAACTAATGTTGGCCGAGTTCCAGCCTAAGCTACTCCAAAGACTTGACTGGTTTGCTTAAGCTAACTGCTTGCCACCGCTGGCTCTTTCTGGAGGATGGTTGATGTCTTTAACTGAAAAGACTAGAGTCCCCAGCTGAAGGACTCTTAGGAGGAGATTCTGTGGCCCTCTAAGCGTCCTGTCTGGACCCAGCTCTGATTCTGACACCACCATTCAGCTTGTTTGCTGGAGAGATCCACTTGCTCCCCTGGCCAGAGAGCAGGCCAGAAACCAGGATCCATCAGGGAGGCCTGAGGCCTGGTCTCTCCCCTAGTTCCACCTAGGGGACAAAAAAAAGACATGCATTTAAATGAGGACAGTGCCACTTGGAAGGTGAGATGATTTTAGACGCGCATGCCAGGAACAGTTGGAGTGAGTGAATCTTGGAAGTGTGTGCACAGAATGTGGGGGGCGGATGATGTGTTGGGAGCATGATGTGAAAAGGAGAGAATCAAGCAAAACGCAAACTGTTGTGCTCTGAATAAGCAACACTGATGGAAGCAAGTTAGCCTGCTCCAGCCCCTCCTGAGAGAGCTGGCACACAGGCAAGTTAGGGTGTCCTACCCTGGTCCAGACACCAGAGAGAATCCACCTTGCCACGTGGTTCTTATGTGAGCCACTGCGGAGGCCCCGCCCAGCTGAGAAGCAGCTGCTTGTGTTCTGCTTCCTGCCTTCCCCATCCCTAGGCTCATAACCCAGCAGCAGAGGAAGTGACTCATCTTCCCAGATGAGATGGGCGGCATGCTTCCCCAGCAGCTCTCAGAAAATCTGCCCGAGCCACAGAAATGAAGCCGGGCAGCGGTAGGCTGTGGGTTTCTAGAGATCACTCCATGTGGTGCTGCTGCACTGACTTTCCAGAGCAGCTTCCTCAAGAGAAGAAAACAATCGTAACATTGCCTGAGTACCTATTACCCACCTGTAAGCACATGCAAAACACATTCAGTGATTAGTTCCATCCGTCAGATGAGAAAACAGAGGTGGAATGAAGAACACATGAATCTGAGTCTCCGTTTGGAAAGATGAGGGAGGTCTGGAGATGGATGGTGAGGATGGTTGTACAACAGTGTAGATGTACTTCATGCCACTGAATTTTACGTTAACATTTTATGTTATATATACTTTACAGTTTAAAAAAGTACTGCAGGCTGGGCACTCACGCCTGTAATCCCAGCACTTTGGGAGGCCATGATGGGCAGATCACCTGAGGTCATGAGTTCCAGACCAGCCTGGCCAACATGGTGAAACCTTGTCTCTACTAAAAATACAAAAATTAGCCAGGTGTGGTGGTGCACAGCTGTAGTCCCAGCTACTCAGGAGACTGAAGCAGGAGAATTGCTTGAACCCAGGAGGCAGAGGTTGCAGTGAGCCGAGATCATGCCACTGCACTCCAGCCTGGGTGACAGAGCAAGACTCTGTCTCAAAAAAAAAAAAAAAAACCGCAAACTAAGAATTAAATAACACAGCTACTAAGGGGGGAAGCCAGCAGTCACACCCGAGAAGTCCTACCCCAGCGCCTTCCTTGCTCTAAACACTCCTGTAATGTCTCATCTGCGAGTGAGGATAGTGACCTGCAGAAGATGTGATTGGACAGAGAGACAGGGGCCACTCAGTGTCAGGCTGAGAAGGATGGTCTCTCCTGGGGTTACTGAGAGCTGGGTCAGGGTTTTACACAGAAAGGGGCATGGTAGGATTTAAGGGTCAGAAAGTTCCCTCTGGCTTGCAAGAAGATGGGCTGGTGTGAAACTGGAGGTAGGAAAGAGGCCGGGGCATGGCCCAGACAAGAGCAGTGGTGGGCTAGGCCAGGACAGGGCTGCAGATTTGAGAGGCTCGTGAAGTGGAATGGACAGGTGGGGAACGCGGGCAGGCAATGACTGCCCTAGCTGGGTTTCTTCTGGCCCACCCAGTTCAGCCTCTGGACAGTGGTCCTTCAAGGTCCCCTCCCTGACTGAAGCCTCAGAGGAAAAGTCAGGGCACAGGCTTCCTCTCCAGCCCCCAGGGGGCAGTGTTGCAAAGTCTTTAGGGAGCAGGGCCCTTCTTCCAAATTATCCACGGCCTGGCAGGGGCTTGCTCCCATCGCGCATTTGCCACCCCCACTCACCCCATCCCCAACTCCCACCCTCGGCATCCCTCCCAGCCTTTGCTGCACCACCCCTCTCCCGTGTCCTCTCTCCAAGGAGACACATTAATAACTGTAATCCCACACTTGACACTTTAGGAAAACAGTGGCACAGCCATTAGCTCATGTGGGCCATGAGCAGAATGAGACTCCAAAAGACAGGGGCAGAGCAGAATGAGACTCTTCCCCCAACCCCCACCACCCCCATCCCCAACCACCATTAAAATTTTTTTTTTTTTTTTTTTTTTAGAGACAGGGTCTCGCTCTGCTGCCCAGGCTGGAGTACAGTGGTGCGATCATAGCTCACTGCAGCCTCCAACTCCTGGGCTCAAGGGATCCTCCCCACTTCAGCCTCCCCAGTAGCTGGGACCACAGGCATGTGCCACCACACCTGGCTAATTTTTAAATTTTTGGTAGAGACAGGGTCTCACTATGTTTCCCAGGCTTGCATCGAACTCCTGGCCTCAAGTAATCTTCCTGCCTCGGTCTCCCAAAGCACTGGGATTGTAGTCATGAGCCACTGCACCTGCACCCCCCACCCTCCACCATTTTATAATAAGGAAACTGAGGACCAGGCAGGGAATGAGACCTGACCAGCATGTCAGTGGCAGAGCCAGGGCTGGGGGCTGAAGGCCAGCCAGTGCCCAAGCTGGAGCCCTGCAGCACCTGTAGAACAACAGCTGTGAACCGTGGTCCCCCCGCCCACCTGCAGAGTCCCCATTTTTCTCCTGAGCTTCCTCCTACCTCAGGGGGCCTTCCTAGTGATTTATTCTCCTGGGTTGTCAGTGAGATCAGGCTGACCTGGCACGTACGTGTCATGATTTACTTCCTCCTCATCCTCTGCTTCCAGAATTATAAGAGTCATCACCATCACCATCACTGCTGTATTAATAATGGCTCATATCTGCTCAGCTCTCAGAATTTTGGAAGCACTAATCTATCCATCAGCTCATCCAAGCCATATGACAGCTCTGGGAAGGTGTTTTGCAGACAATGGCACTAAGGATCAGAGAGGGCAAGTGACCAGCCCCAGGTCACTGGGCGAGGCTGGGGGCGGTCTCCCAGGAGGAAGAAGCTGTACCACATACTTAGGAGAAGATCGGGCAAGATAACAGGGTTTAGGACAGTCCTGCCAGGAGGCTTCTTGTGTCAACTAAAACTAAAATCTAAGCCCCTCAATTCACTGAATGGACAACCCACCTCTTGGCCAAGGGGACCCCAGAGAAACCTTTAAAAACTGAGTTCTTGGCCATGAAGGGACAAGAGACACACCTCGTTTATCCTCCTCCCTTTTGTGGCTTAGACACTACACCTGAGCAGCATTAATGTTAAAACAGAGATCATAAGACTGACAGAATGGACTCTTTGTGGCAATAAGATGCCAAACTATAAACATGACCTAGGGTCACGCCAGGCAAGGGTTAAGTCCCACACCCATACACTAAAGAATAAACTATGTTCTCACTGCCACAACATTTCTCTTTTTCTCTAGCAGCTAAATAAGCCCTGGTCTTGAGATAAGCAGTGGTAAAACAATTTGCAGCTCCTCCACCGCCAGACACTAACTAACTGATCCCCGTTCCACCAGCCATAACTATAGCTCTGATTGGACTAGAGACTGTTTCAGGAATTTTTTCTGATAAGAGACCACCGACCATGGATGGGTTCTGGCCAGTTTATAGACACCGCACTTGAGCCCTTCATGTCCTTGCTTCACCTTTTGATGTATATATGCATTTGAATGTTAAGTCTCCAACCCAAGGTGAACATGGGTCTTATGAAACATGCATGTTTATTCCATATGCATACATTAGGATCACCTCATGAATATTCATAGCTCCTCCTATAACCTGTTGAATATGTATATTTGGTCAATGCGTTCAGCTTAAATTTCTGTCCAACCCCTCCTCCCTTGAAGTGTCTGTCTCTGGACTCTGCCAAAGACTGAGCTCCCCAGCCCATCAGAATGGCCACCTTGTAGGCTGTAACTCTTCATGAGAAATAAAGTCTCATACCTATAATCCCAGCACTTCAGGGGGCCAAGGTGGGAGGACTGCTTGAGACCAGCCTAGGCAACATAGTGAGACGCTGTCTCTACAAAAACTTACAAAATTAACCAGCCGGGGTGGCATGCACGTGTAGTCCCAGCTACTGGGGTGCCTGAGGCAGGAGAATCGCTGGAGCCCAGGTGATGGAGACTGCAGTAAGCCATGATTGCATCACTGCACTTCAGCCTGGGGGACAGAGTGAGACATTGTCTCTAAAAAAGAAAAAGAAAAAAAGGAAGAAAGAAAAGAAATAAAGTCTTCTCTCCAAATTTATAGATCTCATGATTTTTCAGTTATCACGTTTCATCTCTATTTCACAGATGAAGAAACAGCCTCAGAGAGCTTTGTACTGGGTCAGGGTTGAACTGACACCCAAGCTCATGCTCTTTCTGGGGCCCAGAGCTGTCACTTTCAGGGAAGGATGCAGTTTCCAACACAGTGTGTTTTCCCATAGGCTGGAGGGAGAAACTGCTGAGAGATGGAGGGAGTTGGAATCAGGGGAAGGCTGCTGTGGGGCGAAAGAGCCTGGAGGTGGTGGCTGGGGGAGGCAGCTTCCAAAGGGAGTGGTTGGAGGTAGGGAGAAACCTCCAGATGGGGTTTAAGCTGCTACAGGGAGCACGGCAGGGGCTATACAAGGGTGGGGCACTGGAAGAGCCAGGGGCTGTGTTGAGGTTAGGTGGCTGTGCAACCTGGACACCCACCCGGCCTGCACACCTGCTCCTCTCCTCGCAGTTAGGAGATGAGCTGTGTCCTGATGGAGAAGTTGTGCCAACAAAGGCAGGGGAAGCCCTGAATGCTTGGCAGGATGGGGCCTGTTTCTCATCAACCAGCTAGAGAGACTGAAGCCTGCTTATCTAGGGAGAGATAAACAGTGACTCCCCCGTGATCTCCACACTCTCCTGGCCCCAGTCTACCAATCTGAAAAAAGGAAAGGTTGAATTAAATGAGCTCCATATTCCTTCCACCTCCGACTTCTGAGGACCAGGCATCCATCCTTGCTGCCCTTGGCTCAGATCCCAGCCCCTGCCATATACTTGACATGGAGCCTCAGGCAAGACATGAGGCCTCTGTGAGCGGCAGTGTCCTCATGGGTGAAATAAGGAGGACATTGCCTTCCTTGAGCAGAGTTAACGAGCCATACACGGGAGTGTGTCTGCACAGCGACGGTCTGACTCCAAGGCAGCATCCAGCGGGCAGGGAAGGCTGAGGCTCTGGCTGAGGCCCTCGCTTGTCTGCCTGGCCCATGGCTCATTTTTAGATATCCCCTTCCTGGCTGCCAGGCCAGAAGGGAAGTGGGAACAAAGATGCTGAGGTGGTAGTTTGGAGCCGTTTTCAGGAAGAAGCCTCTGGGCACTCTTCCCCTTTTCACCCCGCCCACACCCCGTCTTCTGAGCCATCTCACAGTGATCCTCAGGACAGGCCTGAGGTGGAGGGTTGGATGTCAGGATCTCCATTTAACAGATGGGAAGACAGAGACCCAGAGAGGACAAAGGATCAGCCCAAAGTCCTACAGCAGGATTATGACAGAGCTGAGACCAGCCTTGAGGTCTTTAATCTGGGCCCAGCCCTCTTCCTTTGTACCCCAGAGCAGATAGTTCTATAAAATGAAGAGTCTCCTATTTTTCCTGGTTTATCAGAAGGCATTTTCCTAAGTGGGTTGGCTTGAAGAAGGTAAGGGCTTGGGTTCTGCAAACAGCCCAGGGTTTTATGAACAGCATCAGGCTTAGCATGAGACACAGGGCTCTGTGAATGTTATGGGGCCCTGGAAGCAGCCGAGGTTTGCAGACTGTGCTAGGCTTTTGCCAACGGCACAGGACTCTAAAAAAGGCATCAAGTTTTGTAAACTGTGGGAATCCACAGATGGTGTTGTGATCCACACGCATCGTGGCGCTCTGTAAAATGCACCTTCATATAATACTTGAACAAAGCACAGCAAACACCACACACTGGCAAATGGCAAAGCCCAGGTGCAAACCAGTGTGGTCAAACCTCAGACCTGGGCCACTCATAGCAGGAGCCGACTATGGGGTTCACCAGGGAGCTGGTCTGAAGGCATGTTAGCCTATGTCTCAGAGGCTCCTGGGTACCTGACCCTTGCTCAAGTTCCACAGCTCAAGTTCAGGAATATTCTTGGACCAGGCTTTGCCAGCCTGGGGAAGTTGAGGTAATAAATGAAAGCTGCTCATGCCAGAGGCTACTGTATATACCATGCCCTGGGGGTTATTGTGCATTGCTTGACTCAAAGATCAATGAGATAGGCCGGGCGGGCACAGTGGCTCACACCTGTAATCCCAGCACTTTGGGAGGCCAAGGTGGGTGGATCACTTGAGGCCAGGAATTTGAGACCAGTCTGGCCAAAATGGTGAAACCCTGTCTCTACTAAAAATACAAAAATCAGCCAGGTGTGGTGGCACGTGCCTGTAATCCCAGCTACTCGGGAGGCCGAGGTACGAGAATCACTTCAACCTGGGAGGCCGAGGTTGCAGTGAGCTGAGATTGTGCCACTGCACTCCAGCCTGGGCAACAGAGAGAGACTGCATTTCAAAAACAAACAAACAAACAAACAAACAAACAAACAAAAAGAAAAAGATCAATCAGATAAACTTAGCCAGACAAGCTGGTCCCCCTACCAAGACCATTCCATGCACAGAACTTCTTCAGGCCCTGGGGCCAAGGTGGGGGTAACTGGGCTTCCAGAAAGTTTAAAGGGATCTTCATACCTGTAATTTGGAGTCTGGAAGGTTGCACCCCCGCCAGTCTTCATGAGGATTCACAATGCTGACGTTCGTCAGAAGGATTTGGAGAGATAGACCCAATTTGGTTTTCTCAAGTAGGGTCTGATCAGGTCAGACCCTGGGTCAAACCCATGAGGGTCTGGTCTTTCTATTAATCCAAGCCAGTTCTTGACCTTTCTCAGTGGAATGGTCATGTACTCACATTTCTGGTTTCTCAAAGACTCATTTATTCATGTAACAAGTATCTATTGAGTGCCTCCTGAGTGCCAGGGAGATCTGTGATTATTTCACACATTCCCTACATCCTACTAGCACCCTCATACAGCAAATAGGAGCCAAGTGGAGCTGGTGTATGTTTCTCTGTTATTGCACCCTGAAAGTTAGACTCCAAACCCACATCCTCATTCCACGCAAAGACTTTATTCCAGAGACAGGGTCAGGTTCACTTCTGCATCTTGGATTTGGGGAAACCCAGATCTTCCTCAGAGAAGATATCCTGGGTGGAGGGAAAAGCCTGGTTCTATCATTAGAGGTTCAAGGCACCCACCACCTACTAGCTGGGTGATCTCTGGCAAGTTACTGAGACTCCATGCCTCATTTGTAAAATCAGGGAATAAATAACCTGATGTTACAGTGTCAAGGGGAGGACCCAGTGGGGCCTTGTGTGTGAAAGTGCTGTGCAAGCTGGGAAAGGCAAAGTGGATTTGCTTTCCCTTGCTGCCCTGTTCGGAGCCCCACCTCTGCCACTCCCTTCTCTGAGCTCCAGGCCTGCAGGCTTGGCTTCTCTGTCCTTCACCGAACCTTCACAGTGGCTCTGCAAGGGATTACTGTCCCTTCTTTATAGATGAGAGAATGGACGCTCAGGGAGATGCTGGGACTTGCCTGAGATCACTTGACCAGCAAATAACAACTGAGGTGGGACCCAGATCTCTCTGGCTCCTGAACCTCCATCCTCAGTCCTCAGTCCAGGAAACTCTGAGAATTTCATATTTTCCATTCTCTTCCCCTCCTCCTTTGCCTAGATGGCTGAAATTGATGGACCTTCTACCATGAGCTCCACCCAGGCAGGCTGCCACTGGATACTTAGTGGACAGAGCCCCTTCTTGCTGTGGATCCTTGGAGCTCAGGGAGAAGATGAGGGATTTAGTGAGAGGGCACGTGGGCTTGAGGGGGACAGGGGTTCAGTGAAAGAGGACAACTGCTAGATGGGGGAACAAGGGCTCTCTATGGGGCCCTCCTATCAAGGGAGGGCAACAAAAGTTCTGTGAAGGGAACAAGAGCTTGGTAGGAGAAGGGCTCAGGTGGGAAATGGGAGTGCAGTGAGGAGACTGGGGGATGAATGTGGAAGGTTGGGGAGCTTGGGGAGACCCATCAGCATCCCCCCTGTGCCCCCACCTCTCTGCTGCTAACAGAGCAGGGGAAAATACCTAAGGGAAATGCTGAGGCAAGAGGCTGGAAAAGGACAGGCTGAGGCTGAGCCTCAGGGAGGCGGGGTGCAGCTTCCTCTTCACAGAGAGGCTGGACTTGAACAAACCCAGCCTTCTATACAACCGTGGAGCCAGGGCAAGGGAGAGACAGAAGGAGCAAGTGACCCAGGGAGACAAACACTTGGAGATACTTGGGGCTGAGTTTGAGCAAGACTCCCTAACCTGTGTCTGGACAAGTCTGATGTCCTGTGTGGCCCAAGAAGAACTGACCCCGTGTCTGGAGCTCCCACCGTTATTGCATCCCTGCTGTGGCTCACCTGCTGCTGTCTCCAGGAGCCCCTGAGAAGATTTGCTTCCTCTCCCCTGCTAAGCTCCAGGTCCTGAGATTAAATTAGGGGCTGGAGCTCACTGCACTCCAGCAGTCATGGGACCCAGGATAGGTAAGTCCGAACAAATTAAGGAAGGGCCATGGAGAGCAAGCCTGGGGGACATGTTCCCAGAGAAAAGGGTGAGGCCGTAGAGCCAGAGTGGGTGGGATGGGTGCTCACAGCTGTTGGCACAGAGCCAGGCACATGGCCGGAGTTCAGTGAAGGTGTGTTAAATGAATGAGTGAATGACTGGAGGAGCAGGAAGGGACACGATTTACTCAGCTGGAGCCAGGGAACCCAGCCAAACCTCGTTGATGAGACCGAGACTTAGAGGACAACAGAAAGACAGGCCCCTGACCCCCTCTTCAAGCCGTTTCCCCTCTCAAAGGAGACAAAGATAGAGACAGACAGAGCAGAGAAAAAGAGAAAAGTGTAGTCAGACAGTGCAGACAGGCAGGCTCAAACGAAGAGGCACACAGGAGGTCGGAGAACACAATATCAACAGGTATCAGCGAGAGAATGCAGGGAAAGGTAGGGAGGTCAAACCGGGAGAGAGGGCTGCAGCAGAGACTGGGAGAGACAAAGAGGCAGGAGACAGAGCAGGAAAGAGAATCAGACGGGGACAGGTGACGGAGAGCTACAGACAGACCTGCAGGCAGCATCAGAAGATCCACCCAGAAGACCAGGAGATTGAGAGTGACCTGCAGAGACCTGCATGGGTCTCTGTGCAGTGAGGTCTCTTACTATAGAGTGGGGAGGAGGCTGGAGGAAAAAGGTCTTGAAGCTCTGCCTGCAGGGTGACAAGGAATCGCCTTGTAGCGAGGGCAGTGTTTCTGGGAACAGAGCACCTGGCCCAACACTTTCTGGGAAGGCAGTATGGGTAGAAGAAACAAAGGATCTTTCTACTGGGAGTACTCCAGGTTAGACGCCCTATAGCAGTCACCTTTGGCCTCTTTCCCAGCTGTTGATCCTCCCCTGGGCTGTGTGAGCCTCACAGCCATTTGGGCAAGGCCCCACTTGCTCCCAGAAGCCCAGCAGGGAGAGCTTCATAGGCCATGGAGACAGACCCAGCTGAGGAGCAGCTGCAGGGACTCCAGGAGAACGCAGCCATGGCTTGGGGACTGCAGTACGGCAGGAAGGGTGGGATGGATGCCTCCTCTCGGGGCACCTCACAGGACAGATGAGAATGAGGTCAGATTTGGGTGGGATGGTTGGGGGGGCGGTGTGAATGGGCCATTGACAAACCAAATTCCCCATCAGCCTTGGCTCAGTATGGATGGGAGGGATGGAGAGCGGGGAGTGTGGGAACTAACTAGAGACTTTGGCTGCACTACACCTCCCCACAAGTCCCCCCAGTACTATTTTTCTGACCCCTGCAGGGCCCAGCTCTGGAATATTCTCCAGGTGCCCACTGACCTTCCACACAGACAGCAGGAAGCTGACCCCAGCATCTGCCTGGTGGGCCATTGGGTGCCATCTCTAGCCTTGCTTCCCGAGACCCATTCTGGGCTGTGGCCAGGCTCACCACACTACTCTGAGGGGTGTGGGAATGTGGGTGGGGTAGGACACAGAGCCTGCAGCCTGGGAAGAGTCCCCAAGGGAGAGGGGAAGCTGTCCCAGTCAGGGCAGACACCAGAGAGGAGTGAAGTTCAGATCCGGCTCCAGCAGAGCCCCTCCACCCACTCACCACATACCCCTTAGGCAGCAGTTTCCCTGCAAGTGCTGGGGCAGCCATTCACACACACACAGTCTGACTCAGAGATTTCATCTTCCCACCTGTTCACCTTTGCTCAGGAAGCCCCTGCCCACATCCCATTCTGGTGACATTTGCCCTGTTTTCCAACTCTTCCAAATGCCAACTCCTCCAGGAAGCCGTTCCAGATTCTTCCAGCTGGGGGTAACCTCTCCCATATGCTGTTTGATGACCTTCTCTTTGAGGTTCATCCCTCCTTGTTTCCGGTGTTGCTCTTCCTCTCTCCAGCCCAACTGTGTTCAAATGTAAGCCATTCTAGGGCAGACAGGTGGGGCGAGGGAAAGAACCAGCAGTCCCAGGTTCAAATTCCAGCACTGCATCACTGGCTTTAAGAGAACTCAGTGAAATGTCCTTCCCCTTTTCAATAGGTGAGAAACTGATGCTCAGAGGGGGCAAGCAAGGTCCAAGCTCACCCCAAAGTAAACAGCAGAGTGGAGGCCAGCCCCCAGGTCTGCCTGGTACCAGAGCTCTTCCTCTCCGTGCCATTGCCCTTGTGGTTTCTCTTCCCTTCCACCAATCCCACACAGGGTGAGCATGGCCAGGGAAGGAGATAGCACTGCAAATGCTTAGAAAAGTGACTACACCTGCATGTCTGTGGAGCTAGTGAGCTGCCCAGTACCGTTGGAGGAGCGGGGGTCACTGGGCAACATCTTGGGAAGTTAAGCCAAAGAAGTTGATGGGGCCCAGTCACAAGGAACTTGTATGCCAGGTTAGGCACATGGACTTTTTCTTAAAGGCAATTGGGAGCTATAGAAAGTATCTGAGGAGGAAGTGGCCCTGCTTCAGTGGCCCAGAGAATCTGTGTCCTGGGAACATTCATTATAACCCCAATCATGTGTACAGTACTTTTTTTTTTTTTTTTTTTGAGACAGAGTCTTACCCCGTCACCCAGGCTGGAGGGCAATGGCGCCATCTCGGCTCACTGCAACCTCTACCTCCCGGGTTCAAACGATTCCCCTGCCTCAGCCTCCCGAGTAGCTGGGACTACAGGCACTCACCACCACGCCCAGCTAATTTACGTATTTTTAGTAGAGATGGGGTTTCACCATGTTGGCCAGGCTGGTCTCGAACTCCTGACCTCGTGATCCATCTGCCTCAGCCTCCCAAAGTGTTGGGATTACAGGCATGAACCACCGCGCCTGACCATGTGCAGCACTTTTATGATGACAAAGCACTCTGGGCCCATTTTCCAAATGAGGGACAGGAGTTCGAGACCAGCCTGACCAACATGGTGAAACACCCCCATCTCTACTAAAAAAAAAATACAAAAAATTAGCTGTGTGTGGTGGCACATGCCTGTAATCCCAGCTATTCTGGAGGCTGAGGCAGGAGAATTGCTTGAACCTGGGAGGCAGAGGCTGCAGTGAGCCGAGATTGCACCATTGCACTCCAGCCTGGGCAACAAGAGTGAGACTCCATCTCAAAAACAACAACAACAACAACAAATGAGGAAATAAAAGCTAGGAGGAGTTCTGTTACCTGCCCAAGGCCATGCAGCTACTCAGCAACAGAACTGGGGCTCAAACTTGAGCCCTCCACTGGTAACAGAGCCCTTCCTGGCCTCCTCTTCCCCTCTTTCTGGACAAATCTGTACTGAAGGCTCCAATGTTCCCAGCCTGTGCCTGGTGAACACAGGCCTGAGGGAGCTGGCTCTGCAGGAAGCCTGCCCTGACCCCAGGGTCTCTGGTGCCAAAACAGCCTGAAGACGGTCATTTGGGTCACTTTGTGTTTGGAGCACTACAGCTTCATGATCCGAGTGAGATGGGATAACATGGACCCCTTAAGGGGTCAATTTAAGCAGAGAGAGAGATTAGCTGGGACCACATGGAGGGAACAGAGCATGGCCTTGAGCCATAGCTGCCTATCTCTGAGCCTCTGGCTCCTTGTTTTAGGCATAGAGAGACTCTCCCTCCAGGCCCTAGTTGCTATTTTTTAGGTCATCCTGGGTCTAGATGGGGTAGCCAGGGTTACAACTGGGAACAGGAAGTCTCAGCTCAGGGTCCCTGACTGAGCTGGGAAACCACCAGAAAGTTTGCCTGGCCCCTCCGCAAACCTGCCAGATCTCCTTCAAGAAACAACAGCTGGAGTCTCACAAAGCTGGACCTCAAGCATGCTATTGTCCTCCCAGCAGACCACCCAAGGTCCTGCTGGGAGGAATTTCCCAAATATGACAGCCAAGCCCAATGCCTGGAGACATGCCCCCTTCCTGCCTTTGACTCTCTCTCCTCCAGAATGCTGGGCCAGGCCGAACAAGGAACTGGAGCATTCAGGGCCCTTATGCTGCCCCCATCCCAACTCATGCACACCACCGCAGTCCCCACCCACAGACCCCGTGCTCCAGCCTTCTCTTCCCCTTCATTTAGTTTAGTTCAATTCAACAATCTTGTTCTTTTATTGAGACGGAGTTTCACTCTTGTTGCCTAGGCTGGAGTGCAATGGCACAATCTCGGCTCACTGCACCCTCGGCCTCCCAGATTCCAGCAATTCTCATACCTCAACCTCCCAAGTAGCGGGGATTACAGGCACATGCCACCATGCCCGGCTAATTTTGGTATTTTTAGTAGAGACAGAGTTTCACCATGTTGGCCAGGCTGGTTTCGAGCTCCTGACCTCAGGTGATCCGCCTGCTTCAGCCTCCCAAAGTGCTGAGATTACAGGTGTGAGCCACCACGAGGCCAGGCGTGAGCCAGGCCTCGAAAGATAAGTGGTTTGCTGGGGAAGAAGAACACTCCACGCTGAGGGGGTACAGCTGGTACAAAGGCTTTGAGGTGGAAAAGAACATGATGAATTTGGGGAATGGCAAGAATCTATTGGAGCCAGGGAATAATGCTCACTAGGGTGGGGGGTACGTGGGATGGGACTGGCTTCCACTAGCCTTGACCTCCTTGGGACTGAGCCTGTACTCACGGTTTGCAGACGCAGCTGGGAGTTGGGGAGGGGCTAACCATTGTTGAGGACCACAGTATACCAGGCATAGGACATTTTCCTTTAATCCTAATAAAAACACTGGGAGATAGACACTGCTCACTCACTTACAGAGAAGAAAACAGGCTTAGAGAGGCTAAATCAGATGTCTTAGGTCACATAGCTACGATATGACAAAACAAATATTTGAATCCAAAGTCTTCTCACCCAGAGGCTTTCAGCAGGGAACTAACATGATCCACCAGGACTGGGGGAGTACAAGACAACCTCTGCCCTGGGGGAGTTTATTGCCTAGTCAGGCAGATAAGAGGGAAACATAAGTAATGCAAGAGAGTGACCGGCAGAAATTGGCCTGGGAGTGGGGTTTTATGGAGGGAGAGATGAGAGATGAGCTGGGCTGCAGGAGCTTGGCAGGGGGATCTGCAGGCCCAGGGAACCCCAAGCAACTTTAGGAGGTAGGAAGGGCCCAAGGCAGGGGCTTGTGGCCTTGAAGTTGTCTGCCTCCCACCCCAACACCTCTGGAGGGAGGTGTCTGCCATTATCATGAGGAATGGATTGCCCAGCATCTGCTGCTGATGTTACCAGAAAGGGGTCTGGATCCAGACCCCAAGAGAGGGCTCTTGGATCTCGTGCAAGAAAGAATTCAGTGTGAGTCTGTAAAGTGAAAGCAAGTTTATTAGGAAAGTAAAGGAATAAAAGAATGGCTACTCCATAGGCAGAGCAGCCCCGAGGGCTGCTTATTGCCCATTTTTATGGTTATTTCATGATGATATGCTAAACAAGGGGTGGATTATTCATGCCTCCCTTTTAGACCATATAGGGTAACTTCCTGACATTGCCATGGCATTTGTAAACTGTCATGGTGCTGGTGGGAGTGTAGCAGTGAGGACAACCAGAGGGCATTCTCATCGCCATCTTGGCATTGGTGGGATTTAGCCGGCTTCTTTACTGCAAGCTGTTTTATCAGCAAGGTCATTATGATCTGTACCCTGTGCTGACCTCCTATCTCATTCTGTGACCTGGAATGCCTAACTCTTTGGGAATGCAGCTCAGTAGGTCTCAACCTTATTTTACCCAATCCCTACTCAAGATGAAGATGGAGATGGAGATGGGTAAGAATCTCAATTCAATGGTTTTGAATTTTGTGGGGAGAGAGTCTGAGAATCTGATGGCCACAGCCTCTTCCCTTGAAGGGCTGATCCATCTTTCAGGAAGTTTCTCTAAAGAACAATCAAACCATTTGCTTTGGACGGACAGTCTAGGAAGAGGAAAAATATTGCTAATGAAGACAGTGAAATAGCAAATACCATCATGTGAATGTTGACGGTAAGGTACAGTTTGAGTTTTTTAGCTGTCAGGCTGAATGTGGGGATAGATGGCTTTCATCCTCAGGAGATGCTTTCTGCACCAGGAAGGAGGGATTACAGTCTCTGCATGGTAGCTGGGGGCTTCAAGCCTGTATCACTGCCTCCTAGCCCAGAGAGGGAGAGAGATGATCCAGAGATGGATGAATGGCGATGTCAGGATGGAGGGGTTTACCTGGAGGAAGACCAGGTGTGTATGGAAGGGGATGGATCCAGCTGGGCCCGATTGCCTCAGATGTGCTTGAATATTTATCAGGAAAAGAGAGCAAGGGCCACCTATATGCCAGGCCAGCTGCCCCAAAGGCCTTACCTCTTTGAGGTCGTATAGAGGAGAAGAGATTTCTTGTCCTCACTCTTTGCTAGGCTGGTGGCTGAGGTCCCTATAACAAAAGACAGCTTAACAGGAGAAAAGCATACAAATTTATTTGGCTTTTAAAAATTTAATTTACTTATTATTATTTTTACATAGAGATGGGGTATCACCATGTCACCCAGGCTACTCTGGAACTACTGGGCTTGGTAATTCTCCCACCTCGGCCTCCCAAAGTGTTGGAATTACAGGCGTGAGCCACTGCGCCTGGCCCAAATTTATTTAATATAAGTTTTACATGACACAGGGGCCTTCAGAAATGAAGACCCAAAGAAATGGGAAAACGTGTGTATTCTTAAACTTTTTAGTTTTTATTATATTGAATTAAATTAAATTATTTATTTATTTATTTTTTGAGACAGGGTCTCACGCTGTCGCCCAGGCTGGAGTGCAGTGGCATGATCTCGGCTCACTGCAACCTCTGACTCCCAGGCTCAAGTGATCCTCTTGCCTCGGCCTCCCGAGTAGCTGGGATTACAGGCATGCACCACCACACCTGGCTAATTTTTTGCATTTGTAGTACAGATGAGGTTTCACCATGTTGCCCAGGCTGGTTTATTATTTTTTAATCATCTAGCCTAAAATGTCAAAAACTTGTGACTTTTTATGCCAAGTTTGATGAAGAAGTATATAGTTGTGGAAGTATTGCACAAAGAGTGTGTGAGCTAATGGTGATACACTTAGGGGAACCTAGCAAGGCCTGTTTGTTCAGATTCTTCTCTGTGTCCTTGCATCTTCAAAGTTAAGGCTGTTTTTTTTTTCTCCAGGTACAAAGACAGCAACTCTCAAATGAGAATCTTATGACCTATTTCAGGGTGAAAGGTGGGAGAAGGTCAGAGTGGGGTGACTATCCTAGGTTTTATGACCTGCTTCTACTGTTTTCTCAAATGTGGCCAAGGTGCCATATTTGGAGAATAGTGTGTCCTGAATTCCATCAGTAAATACTGTTATATTCACCTTACAAATGGGGAAACTGAGGCTCAGAAAGCTCAGGGATGTGCCCAGGCTCACACAGTGGGCTTGTAGCACATCTGGGATTCCAACCCAGGTCTGAGGCCTTAAAGCCTATTCTCAGCCTCACATTTCCCTGAGATCTGTCCTTTGCTGCTGGGAGGCAGCCAAAGGAGGCAGAATCCTGGGCCTTTCCCACAGAGAACAGGTAAAGGAAGGCGGTCCTTGCAGTCAGGCTGGTCTCTGAAACCTTGCTCCTCATCACCCAGACTCAGGTGGTGTGGAGAAGGCTGACTCTACCCATGAAGGGCAGCCCCTTGAAGGGTGAGTCTCTGACTGACCAGATACCTGGGAAACGAAGTTTGTGGCTGACAGACTTTCAGGAACTTGTCTGACTGTCTTATGAGGAGCTGCAGGCAGGTGGCTGACTGACGGCCTGAACGGACAGCTCTCCTGAAAGACAGTAGCCCGCCGGCTGGCTGGCTTACCAGCAGGTGGACACGATGTGCCTGCATGAGTGATCAGCCAAGTGACCGACTGACAGTCAGACACACAGACCCATTGCGGGCCAGCTCGGGCTGTGGGTCCCTAGCCCCTGGAGCCACCTGGCCTACCTGGGACCCCAAAACTTAGCTGCCCACCTGGGAGAGAGAGGGACTGGGTTTTTTAAACTAGGGCCTGGCTCTCTGCCCCAGGTCCCTTCATTCCCGCAGGCAACCGCCTGCCCAGCCCAGGTTCAGTCCCATGGCCGTCCCATCCTCCTGTCAGGGGTGGCCCCTGACAAAGGCCCCACAGCACAGGGCAGGGTCTCAGTGCCCTTCCACAGGAGGACACGCAGTCCTGGACTGGACCATCCTTCCAAGGGGAGTTCCGCCCTGAGTCAGGGAGGCGAAGGTTTGCTGTCAGCGCGTCAGCAGAGACCCCAGCCCACAGGAAAGGCTCGGAGGGGGTGGGCAGCCTGCCTGACAAGCCCCATTCAGTGACCAGCTGACCCCCAATACATGACTCGTGCTCCTCTCAGAACCCGGAGGAATGTGGCCAGTGCTTCCCTCCCCTGCCCAGAGGCACAGGCTGTGGACTTTGCCCTCCACAAACAGCCATATCTCTAAAGGATAAAGTACTCCCAGGAAGGCTTTGAGCCTTGGCAGAAAAGGCTGGGATTGAAGCTTCAGGGAGAGCCAGAGGTGAGGCTGGAGTGGGAGATCACCTGAGGCAGGTGAGCAGGCTCCATGAGTGGGCAGGTGAGAGGCCAGGGGGCTGGAACTGGGGCTAGACAGGCTGGGGCACAGCAAGGATGCCACCAGTATACCCAGGAAGCTAAGTGGAGGGTCCAGGGTCTGGCCTGGAGGCGGGGGCCTCACATTCTGAGCTGGCCCACAGGCTTCCACCCCTCTCCCCCATCCATTCCTTGGGTTTCCTTCAGAGCTGGGGCTCCAGGTCAAGGACTTCTGCTCCCAGCCTCAGCTCCCGCTCTCTCACCTGGTTGGCTTGGCCCCTTGGTGGACTGGCACTGCTACCTATGAAGTGACTTGGCTAGGTTTGGGTGGGCCAAGACAGAGAAAAGCACTGTGCTTCTTCCCCCTGTCAAACTTGTACAAGGAGCATTGAGTGATGTTGAGTTTAACACTTACCTGGGCTTGAGTCCTGGGACCAATGCTAACCAGCAAAGCTAGTTCCTCTGAGCCTGGGTGTCCTTATCAGAAGCATAGAGATAATAAGACACCAAAGGGACGGAGCTGTGGAGAGGGTTCATGGGCCAGTGCACAGAAAGCCTGTGGCATGGAGCCCAGACTACAGCAGGAAACCCACTGCGGCTGGTGAGAGGAGCTGAGGCTCAGAAATGGTCCCCTCCACCTCCTCTGGGAGCCTTTGCTTTGAACTGCCTTATTTCCTCCTTGCCTTTAAAGTGACTCCCACTGAGTGTCCCATGACACTCCTCTTCCCTAGGCCAATTTCCCGTCTCCTCGTCAGGTGTCAGTTTTGTTTCAACAGTTCCTTGCTTCCTCTGAGTGTTTATGCCCCGCAGAGGGACTCCTCCCTAGCCACACGCACTTCCATTTCCTCAGCCAAATTCCTCAACCTGTTTGTATAGACATTTCTCCAAAGCAAGATATACAAATGGCAGTAGGCACATGAAAAGATGCTCAATATCATTAGTCATTAGAAAAATGCAAACCAAAACCACACTGAGATACCACCTCTACCCTATGAGGATGGCTATAATTGAAAAGGCAGACAATGAAAGTATTAGCAAAGATGTAGAGAAATTGGGACATTGCTGGAGGGAGTGTAAAATGGTGTTGCCACTGTGGAAAATGGTTTGGCAGTTCCTCACATGGTTAAACATAGCATTATTGTATATGAACATATGACCCAGCAATTCCGCTCCTAGGTGTACACCCAAGAGAATTGAAAATGTATGTCTCCATACAAATTTGTACATGAATGCTTCTAATACCTAAGACTTGAAAACATTATGCTAAGTGAAAGAAGCCAGTCACAAAAGGCCACATATTGTGTGATTTCATTTATATGAAATGTTCAGAATATAGGCAGATTCATAGAGACAAATAGTAGATGAGTGTTTGTCAGGGAAGAGGGAGGAATGGAGGGTGACTACAGATGGGTACGGGACTTCTTATGAGTGAATGAAAATATTCTGGAATTAGATAGTGGAGATAGTTGTATGGCTTTGTAAATGTACTAAAACCCACTGGATTGTGCACTTTTAAAAGGGTGGATTTTATGGCTATGAATTACATCTCAATTTTAAAAATCATCAGGCTCCCAGGTACCTTGTAAGAGGAGCACAAAAACTTCACCTGTGGTGGTTCAGGGCCTCCGTAGCCCCCTCCCTGAGTTTGTCTTTAGCCCTGGAGATAGAGTGAGAGTCCCCCAGATCAGAGGAATCCTGAGGTCAATTTTCAGGCTCCAGAAAGCATGCTGAGTGAAAGGAAACTCCTGCCGGTGGTGAGAGGGACATGAAACAATGGAGGCTTCCGGCAGGAAGTGGAGCCGCAGAAGGGGAGGAAGACCAAGGAGGCCTGGGCTGCCAGGAGGAGCAGGTGGTTTCAGTCTAAATAGAGGGGTGGAGTCTCAAGGTTGGACTTCTGGGCTCCCCACTGAGAGTGAGCTCAGGAGACCCTGGGAAATGCCTCTGAAGGGGCTCAGCTTTCCTCTCATTGCAGTGAGTGAGATACTGATGGTTACCATAGTTACCATGTGAGGAAAGCCAACATGCATAAGGGAGGCCAAGGGTCCAAGACAGCTCTGTGTCCTCAGTTATCACCCCATGGGCCTCTGTCCACAAGAGTGTTAAGTGAGACGAGCTCAGAGGGCCCTTTCTGCCCTGACCAGCAACATGGTCTGATGGTGTGATTTGGGGATTGGCTGGTTAGCTCTGTGATGACATGCACAGGGGTTCCCTGTGCAGGGGTTGAAATCTACTCCAATACACCCCAGAAAAGCCTTTATTCCCTGACTATGGACCTAGCCTTGACCCTGCACCTGCCCCAGATCTCTGATCCTAGACTGAGCCAGACAGTCCCAGGCCCAGACTCAGTCTCCAAGAGCACAGGATGTCTCACAACCCAAGGCAGGCTGAGAGTCTTCACGGCTTACCCTACTGCTGGGGCCACTACCTGCAGGTGTGTTGTGTAGAGAGGTCAGCAGCTTCTCCCTAGAAGGGAAGTTTTTCTGGGAGCAGAGTGAAGTGTGAAATAGGTACCCAGTAGGTATTTGATCAGTAGGGGCACAGGGATACACACCCTTTTAGGAAAGTCCCTTCCAGAACTGTGACCTAAGAATGAGGAAGGCTGAAGGTGATTTGATTCTCAGATTCTCATCAACCACTAAGAACTCTTCTTCCTGAAAGACCTTGGTTCTGAGGTCTAGGGCTATCTAATCAGGTCAGGGCCATTCTCGGGGATTCTATCTATTCTCTTTCCCTGGTTTTCTGTCCCTCAGGGCCAGCGGGTGAGGTACCCCAGGTACCAGACAAGGAAACCAAAGCCACAATGGGCACAGAAAACACACCTGGAGGCAAAGCCAGCCCAGACCCTCAGGACGTGCGGCCAAGTGTGTTCCATAACATCAAGGTACCTCTCAGGGCCTGGCAGGGGCCTCCGAGTCTAGAAGAGCAGGCTCTGCCACGTGCTGGTGGTGTAATGCCAAGGAAGACTTTCTCTGAGCCTCGGTTTCCTCATCTATAGAATGTGTGGCTGTGAGGATCAAAGGGATGATCTGCGAAAGCACTCAGCTGGGTTTCGGGCACATGGAAGGTGGCCAGTACATGTTCGCTCCTCCCAGAGAGGAAAGGGGTGTTCTTGGAGTAGTACAGGATGAGGCACCCCTTGTTTCCCACTTTCCCAGAGAAACAGAGAAGTGCCCTGGGGATCCCGAACCTATGTGGATACTGGGAGTCCTAGCTCCACCAAGGGCAGCTGTGAACATCCAACGTCCACTGGAGCCCACTGGGTGCCAGGCGCTGTGCCAGGTGCCACTCACACGTGATCTTATTTAGTTCTCACAATATCCCTGGGAACTCGGGCTGTTGTCCTCATTGTACAGATGAGGAAACTGAGACTCAGAACAGAGTGAATATATTAAGCTCTGTCATAAATACTCTATTTTTTAATCCTTTGAAGTTTTTCTTCTCTTAGGAATTCTCTTAGAGTTTCAGGAGGAGACTCCAGGCAGGTTGCGATGTTTGGGGTGGGGTTCAGTGTGTGCAGGTGGCCTCACAGTGCCACTCTGGGAGAGGACTAGTGGGGGTGGGATGGAGAAGGATCTGGGTGAATCTGAGATAGCTTCCCTGAGAGAGGGGCAGGATGGTGGAACTGGGAGGAAAGTCCAGCCCAGCCAAGGGGGGCTCTGAGAGTCAGAGGGGCTCCCACCATTCCTGGCCATGGGAAGACCCTACTCTCGGTCTTGTGGCTCTTCAATAGCCCCCAGGCTCCTGGAGTGTACCCAGGATAGCTTTTCTAGTTTTTAGTCCTGTGTGAGAAGCTGTGAGTTACACCAGTAACCATCTCTCTCTGCCCCCTACCTCCTCTGGCCTTTCTTCCCTTTCTCTCTTTCTCTCCCCTCCCTCCTCCTCTCCCTGTCTCCTTTGGTCTCTCTCTGTCTCTCTTCTGTTGGTCACTCTCCCGCCCTCTGTCTCTTTCTGTGACTCTGTTTCCCCATCTCTACTCCTTGCTGCTCCCTCTGCCTCCTTCTGCCTCTTTGTCTCCCCCTGCACCGCCCACCTCTGCCTGCCTCCGGGTCCCCCCACAGCTGTTCGTTCTGTGCCACAGCCTGCTGCAGCTGGCGCAGCTCATGATCTCCGGCTACCTAAAGAGCTCCATCTCCACAGTGGAGAAGCGCTTCGGCCTCTCCAGCCAGACGTCGGGGCTGCTGGCCTCCTTCAACGAGGTACAGGCCCCACCCAGCCACAGGGGTGGACACTGAGGGAGGCTTGCACCGCACCTTCCACCAGCCTCCCCTCTCACTACCCTACCTTAAGGCCTTCCCCTCCCAGTGCCCTCAGGCAACCCCTGTCCCAGCGCCTGCCTGAAACCTCAGAGCGTTTGCAGCTGTCTTCTAGGACTTGGACTTGGCTGTCTCCCCTTGGGAACCTCTAATGGGTCGGGTCCTGGAATATTTCGGAGCTAGCCAGGGTCCCCATATCCACCCACTCCCACTTTGTGTCCTTTACCTTTTCAGGCACCCAACTATTGCCTGTCCCAGGAAGGAATCAAAGAAAGCCACTTCAACAGTAGTGAGAGAGGCTTAAATCGCATCAAGAGCAGAACCTCTGGGCCTTGGGATGGTCGCGGGAGGGATACCGCGGCGCAGGGTGTCTGTCCTTAGAACTGCCTGGGGATTCACAGGCCTGTGGGGCCCGCAGCCAAGCAGGGAGGAGCAGATGAGCTGCTTTGGGTGGATTTGGAGATCAGAGTCCAGCTGTGCCCCAGTCCTTCAGTCCTTCCCCCGCCAGATGTTTTTACCCTGAAGGAAGTTGTCTTTCTCCCCTGTCCCCAGGGCAGAGTCCCATGAAATTCTCCCCCCTTGGTAATGTGTCATATTTCTCACAACCCAAGGCCGTCCAGCTGCAGTGTCCCCAGATCCTCCTCAGCACCCGCCTCATAGGTGGGAGGGGAAAGTCCTTACTTTGCTCTGGGAGTTTGGGCAAGTCACTCCCCTGTCTCTGGGCCTCAGGGCCCTATCTATGAATACGGCCACTATGGAGTGTGGCTGTCCTTTCCAGGGTCAGCCATCCCCTGGCTCCCCTGCTGATACTGATCCACTCCCCCAGCGAGGAGTGTCTGGGACTCACCCAAGGTCACCAATCAATAAGCAGCAGAGCCAATGCACCCCCTGCTCATGGTGGCAGAGACTGTCCCTGCCCTGCATGCACTGAAGTCACCTCCTGAACTCACATCCTAGGATTGTGATCCTAAGGCTCAAAAGGTCAAGCCTTGGGCCAGGCACGGTGGCTCATGCCTGTAATCCCAGCACTTTGGGAGGCTGAGGTGGGTGGATCACTTGAGGTCAGGAGTTTGAGACCTGCCTGGCCGACATGGTGAAACCCCGTCTCTACTAAAAATGCAAAAATTAGCTGAGCATGGTGGCGCATGCCTGTAATCTCAGCTACTTGGGAGGCTGAGGCAGGAGAATTGCTCGAACCTGGGAGGAAGAGGTTGCAGTGAGCTGAGATCACACCATTGCACTCCAGCCAGGGCGATGAGAGAAATTCCGTCTCAAAAAAAAAAAAAAAAAATTCAAGCCTTGACCTGGCTTTAGACTTTGTTTATGACATTCCTGAAACTCGAAACCCCTTCATTTGATGGCCCATCCTTCCCCATGTTCTAACATGGGGTCCAATCTGTGTTCAAAAATGGAATTGAACTCCTAGCTTTCTCCACTCTGCCCTCATTTCTCTCCCCTAAGGGGGCCGTGCGGCCCTTCCGAGGGGGACCCAGGAGAGGGACCCAGATGATTTTTATTCAGTCCATTATTCAGATGGGCATACGGAAGTTAGACATAGAGACAAGGATAGTGCAGGCCCCCAGCCCTGGGAACTGTTCCACCTTAATGGGTCACCTCGTCCTTTTGCAGGTGGGGAACACAGCCTTGATTGTGTTTGTGAGCTATTTTGGCAGCCGGGTGCACCGACCCCGAATGATTGGCTATGGGGCTATCCTTGTGGCCCTGGCGGGCCTGCTCATGACTCTCCCGCACTTCATCTCGGAGCCATACCGCTACGACAACACCAGCCCTGGTAAGAGCAGCAGGGGCTGGGCAGGAGTGGGACGTTAGCCTCTGCATTGCTTTGCGCTGGGGCCCACCCCACAGGCATTCATCTGGCAGGATACACCCCAAAACCTCAACACCCCAGGACAGCTGCTAGTCCCCCCCCAACCTGGCTCCCCAGGCCCCAGCCCAGGTGGGTCTCTGGCAGACCTGGGGAGTGCGGTAGGAAGTAGGCCCTGCGCATAGGGGTGAGGGCCTGCTTGTATGTCACTGTGGGTTTTTTTAGGTGGGGGTGAATTTACAACACAGCCTACTTTGAGGGCCTGGCATGCAGTAGACCCTCCGGAATTGCGTGTGTAATAATAATAGTGTCATACACTACTTACTATGCACCAGACACTGCTCTAAGCACTTAATGTGTAGTCACGCATTTAATCCTCATAAAAGACATTGGGAAAAGAAAGAATGAATGAGTGAATGAACAAATTTAAAAAATGAAAGAATTCTGGACAGGAATGGTGAAGCCATGTTCAGCCCAGTGGGATTTTGTTGAGGCCCTACTTGACAAATGGATGTCTCTTACAGAATGACCCTAACAACCTGATCGTTCACTTTATTCCTTCCCTCTCCTACCCACTCACCCACCCACCCACTCACCCATCTGTCCATCCACCCATTCATCCATCATCTATCCACCCATCGATCCATCCACCTACTACTCATCCATCTATTTATCTATTCATCCATCCAATGGGACACGCAACAAACTCTTAATGCTGCCTACTTCGTGCCTGAGCCTCTCAGGGGAATCAGTCCTTTTTACTCTAGGGAGCTCCCAGCCTGGGAGAGGAGACAGATAAAACAAAAAACAATTGTGTGAGGAGGGAAGCACAGGGGTGGGAGGAGCCCACACCCCAGCCTGGCATGGAGGAAGCCTTTCTAGGGGAAGAAGACTGTCAGAGAGCAGGTTTCCTCCCTCCTCCTCCCACCAGCTCACACCTCTGAAGTCCCACTCTGTACCAGACCAGAGGCCAGGGATAGGGGAGAGAAGATGAAGCAGACATGACCCAGTGGGGCGCAGGGTTGGCGTGAGCACGGGCAACTCTGCTACAAGGTATAGAGCCCAGCACCTTGGGAGGTGGCCAGAGGAGGCCATTAGAGCCCTGAATAGGGGAAGGACCTTGGCAGCTGGAGGGAGCTGGAGGGGCTAGAGGAGGTGGCACTTGAGCTGCAGCTTAGAGAGAAGGTGGGAGTTGCAGGTGGAGGGGAGGGCATGGGTGCAGAGGCAGGAAAATGGGAAAACTCAGCGCGTGCATGAAGAATGCAGAGTCGTTCTCTAGGCCTGCGTGGAAACTTGTCAAGAGAACTGCTTGGAATACCAGAAAATAATACTTCCTCACATTTCTTTGTACAGAATTTTCACTTTACATTTTCACTTTTTCTGTGCAAGGTCATGCATGTTCTTCATCCTTACTACCATACAAACCCCTCTGCAATAGGTGCCCCTGAATCCTCAAGCAAAGCCCTTCTGTCTGAGCCTCCGTCTTTACATCAGCCCAAAGAATGGGAGAGACTCGGGGATCTCCAAACTCCCCTCCTGTTCTGACTCTCCAGGCTATTCCACTCACTTATTCTTCATCCAATACTGATGAAGTTGTGTTCTGTGCCAGGCCCTCTGCAGGGCACTGGGGACACAGGGATGGGGAAGGCAGACATGACCTCTCTAATAATTGTTGCATCTAACGTCTAGTAGGCCCCATGCCCAGGCACACTCACCACCCACCACTCTTAATGTTCACGACTCCAGGAGGCAGGGATTATCATTACTTCCTCACAAGTGAGGAAACCAAGGCTCAGAGAGGGGAGGAACTGCCCCAAGGACACACCCAGGTAGCCCTGCCTTAGCTGCTGTTCTGAACTGCCGAATTCTTCCACTTCTGAATTCCTTATCTGGAGAACTTTGTTCTTTCTTTCTTTTTTTTTTTTTTTTGAGATGGAGTATCACTCTGTCACCTAGGCTGGAGTGCAGTGGCTTGAACTTGGCTCACTGCAACCCCTGCCTCCCAGGTTCAAGCAATTCTCCTGCCTCAGCCTCCTGAGTAGCTGGGATTACAGGCATGTGCCACCACTCCCGGCTAATTTTTGTATTTTAGTAGCGATGGGATTTCTCCATGTTGGCCAGCCTGGTCTCAAACTCCTGATCTCAGGTGATCCACCCTGCTCGGCCTCCCAAAGTGCTGGGATTACAGGCATGAGCCACAGCGCCTGGCCAAATTTTGTTCTTTCTTTCATTTGAAAGATGAAGAAACCAAGGCCCAGAGTGGGTAAGGGCCTCTGTCAAAGTCACACAGCAAGTCCCAGGCAGCCTCCGTGGAAGGCTTCTTTCACGTTCTTGACCTTGGTTCACATGGCTCTTTGCAGCCCAAGGGAGTGGCTCTCCGTGCTGGGTTGACACAGCTCAGAGTCCCAGCTCCATAAATGGAGGGCCGCAGAGAGAAGGCTGCTTCTACAGCCACATTTGGGATAATAATAGTGTGAGGGTCTCCTCAAGTTTGCTCACCAAATATTGGTGAGCTCCAGGGAACAAATGTCAGGTACTAAATTAAGAAATTCTTTTCTGTACTCTGCATCTGTGTCCCAAGCTGACACTGAACCCTCCCCCAAAGTGAATGCCAAGGGCCCCAGGGCCCTCCACAATCCAGCCCCAGCTGCCCCACCCTGTTCCACTGTGCCTTCAGCCCTGGCCTTGCCCTCATACTTTGTGATCTAGCCATTCTGAGCTTCTCATTCTCCCGGCACGGTGCCCTTTCAAGTCCCTGGGTTTTGCGTGTACTGTGACCTCTCCCTGGAACACCCCTCCCCTCCCTCTTTTTCTGGAAAATTGTGTTTATTCTTCCGGACCCAGTTCAAACTACACCACCTTTGACCACCCCGCCCCACCCAGGGGCCACCGTTGCTATGGCACTTGCAAATGCCTCAGCTCAGAAAGGTGGTGTAGGGCAGTTTAAGAGCATGGACTCTGAAGCCAGACCTCCTGAGTTCCAATCCTGGCCCTGTCACCTTACTAGTTGCTGTCTAAGCATCAGTTTCCTCACCTATGAAACAGGCATAATGAGAGCACTCACCCTTGAGGTTTGTTGTGGGGCTCAAATTATTTTTATACACAGCACTTAGAACAGTACCTTCCCCCGGGGTAAGCGCTATTTAAGTCTTAGCTATTGTTATAATATTTTTTCATTGTCGTCTCTCAGAGGATATGCCACAGGACTTCAAGGCTTCCCTGTGCCTGCCCACAACCTCGGCCCCAGCCTCGGCCCCCTCCAATGGCAACTGCTCAAGCTACACAGAAACCCAGCATCTGAGTGTGGTGGGGATCATGTTCGTGGCACAGACCCTGCTGGGCGTGGGCGGGGTGCCCATTCAGCCCTTTGGCATCTCCTACATCGATGACTTTGCCCACAACAGCAACTCGCCCCTCTACCTCGGTGAGGACCAGTGCCATCCCTTGGCCTCTGAGGGTCAGGCCAGGCTCAACTAGGAGGAAGAGAGACCCAGGGTTGGGGCTGGAGATGGAATCCCTGCCCCCTGCCCCATCTGGCCAGTAAAGGTCCAGGGAAGCCCTGGAGAGTTCCCCATCCCTGACCAGGGGAGACAGAGTGTTCTTGCCCATCAGAGACTGGGCAAGCACTGGTCTGCAGAGGGAAGCCAGGGCCAGAGGATCCTAACTCAGGCTTTGTGTTGTAGGGATCCTGTTTGCAGTGACCATGATGGGGCCAGGCCTGGCCTTTGGGCTGGGCAGCCTCATGCTGCGCCTTTATGTGGACATTAACCAGATGCCAGAAGGTGAGCCTCAGGAGCACATGTTTGCTAGACCCTAGCTAACTGACTGCCACTCTCATAGGAGACATTGAGCCAGGGGACCTCGGTTCAAATCCTAGCAGCACCACTGACCTTGGGCAAGTCTCTTAGCCTCTCTGAACCTCAGCTTTCTCATCTGTGAGATAATCTCTGTCCTGTCTGTCTCCTAAAGCTGTGATCAGAGTCCAGCGAGATGGTGGAGATAAACTGTAAAGTGCCATCAAATTAGGAACCATGGTTGCCGTCACTACTATTACTGGGAGTCTTCGCCTTGTTCCATACCCCACCTTCAACAGGCCCTCAGCCCCCTGCTCACACATGCTGTGGGGCAGGTGGAAGAGCATACTCTCTTGCCTGTAGGGAGCCCCTGTTTTTAGGGGGAAACAAGACTTGAGTTAAACAGAGAGGACAGTGCACACTGGAGAGAACTTTTGGAGCAGAACTTGGTGACTCAAAGTATTACCCTGGGCCTCTCTCAGATGGGACATTTACTGTGACCTCTAAGAACCCTTCTAGTTCTGACCAGCTCAGAGTCTAGGAAACTGCCAGGGGCACCATTTGGGAAAGAGTAGTTTCTGGTCCAGGCAGTGGTCAGAGTGGGCCAAGGAGTGGGACTGACGCTTGGTCTGAAGGTGGCCAGGAGGGAGGGGTGTTGGGGGTTCCAGGGTTCTGGAGTCCTTGGAGAGCAGTAGCGTACTCCTGTTAGAGCACGTCACTGTGGCATCCCAGCTCCCAACTCGTCGCACCAAGCAGCTCCAGATGTGCCTCCTGCCATTCTCACCTGCAGACTTTCTGCCAGGTCCTGGGAGCCTCAGGTGACGTGTGTGTGGCTGAATGGACATGCAGACGCTGCTTCTCGTTCCCCAGCTTTTGCCCACAAGCGCCTCCAGCCAGAACAGATCTGCGCAGCTCTGAACAGCAGCCACCAGGGACAGCCCCGCCCCGCCCACTCTCCTTCTGGAAGGCTGGGTCCAGAGTGTGGGCTCTGGCTGCGACCCCTCCCTCCCCTGAAAGAAAAGTCCTGGGAGTCAGGGGTTCCCTAGATTTCCCTGACACACCTCAGCTCCATGCAAGGGGGTGTGTTTTCTGACTCTGTTGACATTGTCCAGGCAGACGGGGTATCTCCACAGGCAGATGTGACATTTCTGTGGACCGACCTGCCACCTCGAAACTCCCTTCTCCATGGGGGATTTCACAGGGTGGGCAGATCATGCTAGCTGCAGGCACAGACTGATAAGAGAGAAGCGGACGGGTTGGAGAGGTGCATGTGTGAGCTCTCACCAGCCTGACATGGAGGCAGGGGAGATAACAAGTAAGGAGAGAATCAAGTCTAATCAGCGCAAAAGCCAAACCCATCCCCGGCTTTACAGGTGCGTTTGCTAAGTGCCAACTGAGTCCTCTGGTCCCTGCCTGGGAGGAGCTTAGGATCAAGCACCAGGGGAACCAGCTCTGTGTGTGGGGTTGGTACATCAAGGAGCATTTGGTTTTTCTTGTTTTTGTTTTGAGACAGGGTCTCACTCTGCCCCTCATGCAGTGGCACAATCCTAGCTTACTGCAGCCTTGGATGCCTGGGCTCAAGCAATCTTCCCACCTCAGGCTCTTGAGTAGCTGAGACTGCAGGTGTGCACCATCACACCTGGGTAACTTTTTAATTTATTTGTAGAGACAGGGCCTCACTATGTTGCTCAGGGTGGTCTCGAACTCCTGGCCTCTAATGAGTCTTCCACCTCAGTTTCCCAAAGTGCTGGGATTACAGGCTTGAGCCACTGCACCCAGCTCATTTGTATTTTTATGAAGCATTTTTGGATGCTGTGGAAATTGAAGGAAAATGTACACAACTCAGCCTTGTGATTAAGAAGTATGACGGGAGCTTTGTGTGTTCCAGCCAGGAGGTACACCTGGGATAATCTAGTCCCAATTAAACCTAGTGGGGGATCAAAATCATCTGGGGAACTTGTTAAAGGTACGGGTTCCTTGGTCACCTTCCCACCCCACTCTGTGGTCATTCTAAGTGGGTCTTCAGTAAGGCCAGGTATTTTTTGACAAACATCCCTGGGGATATTAATCATCATGAAGGTCTGAGAAACACAACAGTAATCCTAAACATTCATTTAAGAATAATAATCACAATAGTAATGAGAAGGAGGAAGAGGAGGAGGAGGAGGAGCAGGTACCTATATGGCACACACTCTTCTAAGTGCTTCACATCTATTTCGTTAATTTTCACAACAGTCCTATGATTTGGAAGCTACTAATATCTATATTTCACAAAGGACAAAAACTGAGGCACAAAGAGGTTGTGTAGGTTGCCCAAGGTTATGAGTTAGTAATGGAATTCAGACCCAGCAGTCCGCCTCTAGAGTCCATGGCCTTGACCACTGCACTATACTGCCTTGGTAGTTGAAGAAGCCAAGGCTCGGAAAGGGCCAAGGACTTGCCCAGGGTCACACAGGACACACCTGGCAGAGCAGACTGGAACTCAGGTCTCCTGACTCCCAGCCTGGGCCACCTCATGTCTCAGAGGCCAGTCCCAGGATGGCGGCTTAGAAGTGACAGCCTATCATCCTGACCCTAATGTCACCATGCTCTTCTCTTCCAGGTGGTATCAGCCTGACCATAAAGGACCCCCGATGGGTGGGTGCCTGGTGGCTGGGTTTCCTCATCGCTGCCGGTGCAGTGGCCCTGGCTGCCATCCCCTACTTCTTCTTCCCCAAGGAAATGCCCAAGGAAAAACGTGAGCTTCAGTTTCGGCGAAAGGTCTTAGCAGTCACAGACTCACCTGCCAGGAAGGTAAGCTCCCTCCATGTCACCTGACTGGGTCCAGGCTCCAGCACCACCCACTTGTTCTCCTTTGTAACATTACACTTCGGCTGGGCGTGGTGGCTCACATCTGTAGTTCCAGCACTTTGGGAGGCCAAGGCGGTTGGATCACGAGGTCAGGAGATCGAGACCATCCTGGCTAACACGGTGAAACCCCGTCTCTACTAAAAATAGAAAAAATTAGCCGGGCATGGTGGTGGGCACCTGTAGTCCCAGCTACTCAGGAGGCTGAGGCAGAAGAATCGCTTGAACCTGGGAGGTGGAGGTTGCAGTGAGCCGAGATTGCACCACTGCACTCCAGCCTGGGCAACAAAGCAAGACTCCGTCTCAAAAAAAAAAAAAATTACACTGCATCCCCACTGGGCACTATACTTTCTGCCTGGGCTCCATCACATCTTTCTGACAGCCTTGCACAGTGAATATCACCTGCTGTCTCCACAGCTGAGGAGACCCAGAGCCAGTGTTGGAAAGTGACTTACCCAAGATCACAAAGCCAGCAAGCAAGGCAGCACTGGGATGAGAACCCGCACCTTTCTGAGCCCATGCCCCCATACTAACCACTACAATATGGCCTCTGTGCTCATCACTTAAAGTTTTTGTAAATTCTGAATGTGCCATAGGAATGTTAAGAATTGGGAGGGTGGGTAGGATCATCTGGGAAGACTTCCCTGAAGAGGAGGGATTTCAGCTGGACTTTGAAGGATTTGTGGAAGCACAGAAAGGAGAGAGCAACAGAGATTCTAGGCACAGAAGCACCCTGCATGAAGGATTTGGCTGTAGAAATAAACCTGGCCCTTTCGGGGACAGTGAAGGGAAGAAACATGCATGGAGTGCAGGCCCCAGGCTGGATCTGAAGATCAGTCCGTGGCCTCCACCCTTCCAGCGGGCACAGTCTAGGGAGGACACAGACTCACGGAGAAGTCACGACCGGTGTGATGCTCCAGGGGTATCTAGAATCCTCCTCCTCTGCTCTTGGGGCAGGTGGGTCTCTCCTCAGAAGCGGACACAGAGGCCCAGCCCAGTGGAGGGATTTGCCCAGGGTCACAAAACTGGTAGGAGAGGACAGGATCATGTGAGCCACCAGGCAGGATAGCCATTCTGGGCCAGGGACTTCCAAGTTTTTCAGATACCCACAAAAACACGAGGCCTGAAAAACAACAAATTGGCTTCAAATTAAAAAGAAAATGACAAAATAGAAACAATTTTTAAAGTTTATTTATTTATTTTTATTTTTTGAGACAGAGTCTTACCCTATTGCCCAGGCTAGATCTCGGCTCACCACAACCTCCAACTCCCAGGTTCAAGCGATTCTTCCGCCTCAGCCTCCCAAATAGCTGGGATTACAGGTGTGTGCCACCATGCCTGGCTAATTTTGTATTTTTAGTAGAGATGGCGTTTCACCATGTTGGCCAGGCTGGTCTCGAACCCCTAACCTCAGGTGATCTGCCCGCCTCAGCCTCCCAAAGTGCTGGGATTACAGGAGTGAGCCACCGTGCCAGGCCTAAAAGTTTAATTACAAGCCAGTAATGTCAAGTTCATTAATTTTTTTAATACTTATACACATTTCATTACATTCTGAAAATTTGTGCATTAGATTTCCTCCTTCTCAAGTATGGGAGGTGGCTGTTGAGAAATCATAGACAATCATAAATTAAGTAACTTACTTGTTGCTAAGTAATTCTAATTTCAAAGGGACAATTTATAAAAATCCTGTTGAATGTTTTTGCTGCAAGAGCATTTCTGTGGCAGGTTGATGCATTTGAATATGTTTGGAGAGGGTGGGGGCGGGGAGAGAAATGAGACAGCTCTGATGGTGGTCCAGGCCAGGTGGAAGCCGTGCATTGGCAGTGAGGGGATAGAGGTGCATCTGGGAGCTACCCAGGTTGGGGACTGCACATAGCTGCCCTGCTATGGGATGTCCCCAAGACAGTGATGAGTTGGGCTGATGCTGGGATTGGGTGCAGCTGTCTCAGAGGCAGGGGGAAGCAGCTGCCAGGGAGTGAGCAGTTTCAGGGGAAGAAGACAGTTTGGAACTACAGATGGGCCTTTCTGATTCTGCCTAGTTCAGGCCAAAGTTTCGAGAAGATGAAATTCCTAGAACTTAAAGGTGGAGTGATGTTTATAAAGGAAAGAGAGAGAGCCTATATTGCTGGTTACAGATGATCTCCAAATTGAGTCCTAAATTTGAACAGAGAAGAATGCCAGTTGAGCCACGGGTGGGATAGGTGACAGAAGCAAAGTTTAGGGGTGGGAGACCACGCTGGGCTCTGTCACATGCCAGTCATGTGACCTTGAGCAGCAAGCCACTTCCCCATTCTGTGCTGCTGTGTAAGATGCTGAGGTTAGGTTCCTGGAGCAATATCCTGTGCGCCTCAGATTCTGAGAATGCACGAGTCCTTGAGTCGGAGCTGCTATGATTCAGATACTCAGATTTTAAGAGCTGTGTCTCTATGATGCTTTGAAACCCTGGCTCCCCAGCTGTGAACCTGTCTGGCTGTCTGGATTCATTCTGTCAGCACACTGGGGATGGGGAGTGGGGAGGGAAGGGGGTGAGAGGTTCTTTAAAAAGAAACAAGGGCTGAGAACATGATGATCTGCTTCCAGCAGCTCTCAGGCAATAAATATTGATGTGGGAGGAATTGTTCCTCCACCTCCCTGAGGCTGCCTTGGCCGGGTCTGCTTGCAGTAACGTGGTTGGCCTGGCCCAGGAGGGCCACCAATGAGGAGTTGAATAAACCAGGAGCAAAGGCCCAATGAGGCTGAATTGGCTGCCAGAAAGTCCAGGCCCCCAGACATGGGATGTGTATCTTCTGCAGGGCGAGAGAATGGGCAAGAGGAGAAAGTGAAGGGCAGAGCTAACTCTGAAATCTCACCAGGCGTCCCCTCCCAGGCTCAGGGCTCAGGGGTCCCCTAAATACCCTCTTAGAAGTAAATGCTGTTTTTAAAGGTATCCGGGAGATTGGCAGTTTGTAATACAAGAATTATGTGCCCCCGAGAAGGTTTCTGGCCTCAGTGTCTCTATCTGTCTAATGGGCAGCAGATCAGACAAGGTCTGTCGGCTCTGACAGGTTCAAGGCCATCTCCTCTAAATGACTCACTGTCTCTGGAGAAATATGTGAGCATTTTCACAGGGGAAAAGAGGGGTGCATTCCACAGCCCCTGCCCCGAGGAGGTCTGAGAAGGTGAAGGAAGGCCAGATGCAGAGAGACAGGGAATGACAAATGACAGCTCAGATTTCTCCCATGGCCATGATTATGGGATTCTCTGCCTGGGGGGCAGGGGGCAATAGCAGTCCCCACAGAGAAGAGCAGGACATGGGATTGGGGGAGGCCATGCAGGGAATGGGAGGGGACAGGAGCCCTACTTTCTTGCCTTTGGCTCTGTCCCTGTATCTGCGGCCTCAGAGCTCAGGTGCTACCAAGAGACCCTCACAGGAGTGACCCAGGACAGGCCTCACCTCCCTCTAGGCCTCAGTCTTCCTGTCTACAATCAGCCAGTCCCCAAGGTCCTGCTAGGCCCATGGACTCCTGGCAGATGGCTCTGCAGGGTCTGTGGGGTAAAGATGGTCTCTTGAGGGCTCCCTGACAGATTCTTCGTCCCCATCTGTCCCTGTGGTAGTGGTGCTCCCATTCAGCCAGCAACTCTCCTGGGCCCGCCATGCCCTCTGGTCCTTCTGACAACCTGCCCTTGGGACTGGGTCAGGGGCTCAGAGGGGCCCAGAGAGCTACTTCCTGGCAGGCAAGCCTGTGCCATGAGGACCCCTGTCCCTCTCCAGGCTCTGAGCACCACCGGACTCTGTGACCATAGAGACCAGGAGTCTGTTTGTCTGTTATTTCTGGAATATGTCTGAGAGGTTGGGATTCTAAAATTATATGGTTTTAAAGTCTGTGTTCCTAATAGAGCTTCTCAAGTACTTACATTATGCTAAAAGTCTGTGCCTCGAATGGTCTATGACTCCCCAAATCCACATTTCTAAATGGCTGCAATTTTGGCTAAGAGTCTGTAAGCCTGTGATGTCCACTGTCTCCCAGTCGTTAACTTCCATGTTCTTCTTTGGGAGAATAGTCAGGGATGGAAGACAGGAGTGTGAGGTGGCAATGGTCCTTAAAACCCAGGACTTAGGGCTGGTCTGTAGGGATTTGCCCAGCCAGGAGGCCTCCATTTCCCTGGGACTTTGTGTCTCCGTGGCAGCATCTGTGAGTTCTGAGGTGCGCAGGCCTCCTAGTGCCCAGGGCCTCCACTTTGCAGGCACAGCGTCTAGACCCTGCTGCATCTCACTGACGGAGGGATTGGCCCATAGAGGGTTAAAGACCTGTCCAGAGGTTGGACAGCACCACGGGCCCTTGCACCTGTCTGTACAAAGCCAGGTCCTGGCGCCAGAGGGCTGAGGAAGGGCTCCCCTAGACCACCAGGTCTGCACATAGAGCTTCCTTTAACATCGACGAGGCTTGAGGCCCTGTTGGGGCAATCTGCTTGAGTGGTTTTTCGAATTGAACCCCCAGAACCCCAAGGGTACCACCATAGGGAGGAGGAGGAGGGGCATCACCGAGCAGGGCTAAGGGCCTTCCACCCCTCTACACACACACACACACACACACACTTCAGTCCAAGTAGTTCTACTATTTTGTGTTTTTATACCTGTCTAAAGACTAAATCTAAAGAATAAGATTTCAGTTGGGAAAAGGGTTCTGTTCCTAAAAACCAGCTGAGCTAGTCCAATACTGCCATTTGTCAGAGGAGGCTGAGGCTAAAGAAGGGATGAAAGGTAGCTGATCATGCCCAAGAGGCACCATGCAAGCTTCCTTGGTGTCTAAGGCATCCTGCAGTGGCAGGGACAGGGCTAGACATGGCAGGGGTTAGACACATGTCATGCTGGAGGCCTGCTGACTTCAGTAGGGATGGCACCATGCTCGAGGGGCTGAAGAAAAGACCCGGAGTGAGCAAACAAGACATAGGGTTTATTGAGGGAACTTACATACAGGGTGGTCCAGTGGTGGTGGGCTGGACAGAGAATCACTACCATTTGTAAAAACCATGCAAATTATATGGCACCCTCCACCTGGCAACCTTCACTTAACCCAAAACAAAGGGCCTTGATCCTTCATACAGCCTGTGTTTCATGGGATGAGCCAGAGGTTCAGATGTTCTTCATAAATAAGAAATGAATTTCTGGGTTGGCCACTCCCAGATTCCTTAGCTCAGAACTCCAAATGAGGCTGGGTGTGGTGGCTCACACCTGTAATCTCAGCACTTTAGGAGGCTGAGGCGGGCACATCACTTGAGGTCAGGAGTTCGAGACTGGCCTGACCAAATGGTGAAACCCGTCTCTACTAAAAATATAAAAATTAGCTGGGCATGATGGTGGGCACCTGTAGCCCCAGCTATTTGGGAGGCTGAGGCAGGAGAATCACTAGAACCTGGGAGGCAGAGGTTGCAGTGAGCCGAGATTACATCACTGCACTCCAGCCTAGACAACAGAGCAAGATTCCATCTCAAAAAAAAAAAAAAAACAAAAAACAAAACTCCAAACGCAAGTTCTGTTTAGACCAATCATTCTCAGGGTATGCTTAAGAAGCTAGTACTGTCAGGTGCGTCTACCATGCAATATGGTGGCCCCACCATACCAGCCAGGCTCTGCTACTTACTAATTCTGAAATCTGTAAAATGGGTATAACCATAACATCTGCATCTCGGGGTCTTTATAAGAATGAAGTGAGGCAAAGTGGTGAGGTGGGCAGTTCAGTGCCAAAGCGCAGGCGCAGTAAACAGGAGTGCTTGTTCTTGGCATCTTTCTCCGAGCAGGCCAGCTCTTAAGGGGAAAACTAAGAGAAAAAGTGCCTTTTTTCTAAACTTGTATGCTTTTCCTTTTTACATGTTTTTTAACTTTTTTATTTTTTAAATTTGGTTTATCAACTGACAAGTAAAAATTATATGTATTTATGGTGGAACATGATGTTTTGATCTATGTATGCATTGGGGAGTGGATAAATCAAGCTGTTTAGCACATGCCTTACCTCACTTACTTATCTTTTTGTGTGTGTGGTGAGAACACTTAAAACCTACTTTCTTAGCAATTTGCAAGTGTGCAATATATTGTTATTAACTGGACTCATCATGATGTACAATAGATTGCCTGAACTTATTTCTCCTGTCTAACTGAAATTTTGTATCCTTTGACTAACAACTTGCTCTGGTAACTTCCCTTCTGCTTTTTGCTTCTATGAGTTTGGCTTTTTTATATTTCACACCAAGGTGAGAACATGCAGTATTTGTTTTTCTGTGCCTGGCTTATTTCACTTAACATGATGTCCTTAGGTTCACCCAGGTTTTCACAATGACAGGATTTCCTTCTTTTTTAAAGCCAAATAGTATTCCATTGTGTATACATACTACATTTTCTTTATCCATTCATCCATTGATGGACTCTTTGGTTGAATCCGTATCTTGGCTACTGTGAATGGTGCTGCAATAAGCGTGAGAGTGCAGATCTCTCTCCTTTCTTTCATTTAAATACATTCTTTTATTTGAAAATTTGTGTTTTTTCATTTTCTTTTTAAAAATGTTTTCATTTTTAATTTTTATGGGTGCATAGGTGGGTATGTTTATTGGATACATGAGATTTTTTTTTTTTTTTTTTTTTTTTTTTGAGACAGAGTCTCTCTCTCTCTGTTGCCCAGGCTGGAGTACAGTGGTGCGATCTTGGCTCACTGCAACCTCCGCCTCCGGGGTTCAAGCAATTCTCCTGCCTCAGCCTTCTGAGTAGCTGGGATTACAGGTGCCCGCCACCATACCCAGCTAATTTTTGTATTTTTAGTAGAGACAGGGTTTTACCATGTTGGCCAGGCTGGTCCCCAACTCCTGACCTCAAGTGATCCACCCCCCTCAGCCTCCCAAAGTGCTGGGATTATAGGCTTGAGCCACTGTGCCCAGCCTACATGAGATATTTTGAATTGGCATACAATGTGTAATAATTATATCAGGGTAAATGGGGTATCCAACACCTCAAGAAACAAGAAAGAATTTATCATTTCTTATTTCTTTAATTTATTTTTCAATGTATAACCAATCAATAGAATGCATCATTTCTTTGTGTTTCAAATGTTCCAATTATACTCTCTTAGTTGTTGGTTTTGTTTTGTTTTGTTTTGTTTTTTTGAAACAGAGTCTCACTCTGTCACCCAGGCTGGAGTGCAGTGGCACAATCTTGGCTCACTGCAACCTCCACCTCCCGAGTTAAAGCAATTCTCCTGCGTCATCCTCCCAAGTGGCTGGGATTACAGGCTCCAGGCTCCATGTTGGCCAGGCTGGTCTTGAACTCCTGGCCTCAAGTGATCTGCCTGCCTTGGCCTCCCAAAGTGTTGGGGTTACAGGCGTGAGCCACCACACCTGGCCCTGGTCCCTCTCTTAGTTATTTTTATTTATTATTTATTTATTTTGAAATGGAGTCTCTCTCTGTCACCCAGGCTGGAGTGCAGTAGCGCAATCTTGGCTCACTGCAACCTCTGTCTCTCGGGCTCAAGTAATTTGCCTGTCTCAGCCTCCCAAGTAGCTGGAATACAGGCATGCACCACAATGCCTGGCAAATATTTGTAGTTTTAGTAGAGACGGGGTTTCGCCATGTTGGCCAGGCTGGCCTCGAACTCCTGACCTTAGATGATCCACCTGCCTCTGCCTCCCAAAGTGTCTTAGCTATTTTTAAGTGTATAATAAATCCAGCTCTGTCTCTGTTTAATATACTGATTTCATTTCCTTTGGATATATACCCAGTAGTGGATTGTTAGATCGAAGTTTCTATTTTTAACTTTTGGGGGAAACTCCATACTGTTTTCCATGATGGCTGTGCTAAATTACACCCCTACCAACAGGGTGCAAGTGTGCCCTTTTCTCCACAGCCTCCCCAGCACTTGTTATCTATCATATTTTTTATAATAGCCATTCTACTCTATTTTAATATATTATATGGTATCTATACACATTCAGGTGTGAGATGATATCCCACTGTGTTTGCATATGCTTTTCTATATCCTACTTGCACTATAGTCTATAAAAGGTTTGAGACAGCTCACACCACACAAAGGTACAGTACTACAACAGTAGGAATTAGGCTAACATTTATTACTTACTCTGTACCATGCAATGTTCTAAGACCTTTGTATGGATGATCTCATTTAGTCCCCATAACCCACCTGTGAAGTAGATATAGTTATTACCCCCATCTTATACCAGAGGGACTTGGGTAACAGAGATTAAGTAACCTGGTCACATAGCTAGTAAATGGTGAAACCAATCAATTAAGGCTAAGGAGCAGGAAAAATATAAATAAGAGCGAAAGGTTCTCAGAATGAGAGAGAAAAACATAAATGCATGGACCCATAAAGATTAATTCAGTTGATACCATTGAGCCATTTATTTGGTTCTGAGGTTTCTGGTAGCCCAAAGGGAAAAGAAGCATGGCCAGTGGCATGAATCTCATTAAAAGAAAGCCAGGGCCGGTTGCCGTGGCTCACACCTGTAATCCCAGCACTTTGGGAGGCTGAGGCAGGTGGATTACCTAAGGTTAGAAGCTCGAGACCTGCCTGGCCAACATGGAGAAACCCTGTCTCTACTAAAAATACGAAAAATTAGCCAGGCATGGTGGTGGGTGCCTATAATCCCAGCTACTTGGGAGGCTGAGGCAGGAGAATCACTTGAACCCGGGAGGTGGAGGTTGCAGTGAGCCGAGATTGCATCATTGCACCACTCCAGCCTGAGTGACAGAGGAAGACTCTGCCTCAAAAAAAAAAAAAAAAGAAAAAAGAAAGCTGGAAGTGTGTTTCATTCTTCATGGAAACTCAGCTCTTGCTGAAAAACACTCTCTTTCATGGGGTGGGAGGAAGTTAAGCAGATCTCTCATCCCTGTGGCTGCTTCCCTTCGTGATATGTGAAGGAACCCGAGGCTGGCAGAGGGTTCCATATCACCCCAGAGTCCACATTGGCTCTGTGGGTCAGGGACCCTAGCCCCTGGACAAAGCCTTCTTTTAATAGGAACTTAGTTCTCACCAAGGATAGCGCCTGGATCCCTGGGGGCCCAGCAGACAGGAGGGCCTTCCATGGGCTGAGCTACACACAGCACATGGTGTCCGGCAGGCTTGCAACAATCAGCAAAGAGCCCCCAGAGGGGAAGTTCCAGCAGCCCTCTCCATCCAGGGCTGCTGACCCAGGCAAACACAGCCCAGATGGGTCACACTGCAATCCCTGCACTGAGCAGAGGCACGTTTCCTGTTTCTGGAGCCCGTTATTACTCAGCTGTCCTCAAAACAGATGAGGGGGCAAGCGGCAGAAATCTGTGGAGAACACAGGGTCAGGAGCTAAGGACAGATAGGGCTCCCAATAGCCACAGAATATAGCCCAAATCTCAGCCTGGCCTTCCAAACCACCCGAGTCTGGCTGTGGCCCATCTTTTGGCCCCAGCCCCTACCCCAGCCAAGCACTGCTGTAATCAAGTTGGTGTCCCCACTGTGTCCTGCACAAGACCTCCACCACCGTGCCTCTGCTTCAAATCTGCTCTCCCTTTCTATCTACCCAAACCCCAAAGCTCACTTCTCCCTGGATGTCACCCCTGACCACCCAGCCCCTGAAGGTCTGTCACTCCCCTCCTGTTCCAAACCCCATGCTCTTTCACAGCAGGAGACAGGACTGACACAGGGAGACTAGAGAACCTGGGTTTGGTTTGAGAGCCTGCTCTGCCAATAACTGTCTGGGTGACACTCCCCCTTTTGGGGCCTCAGTTTCCTCTTCTGTAAAATAGGTGCAATAATAATCCCTGCACCAGACAGACCATTGTGGGAATTAAATGACATGATGGATATGAAAGTGCAGTGTAGCTGGGCGCAGTGGCTCACGCCTGTAATCTCAGCACTTTGGGATGCCAAGGCGGCCAGATCACCCGAGGTCAGGAGTTCGAGACCAGCCTGCCCAACATGGTGAAACCCAGTCTCTACTAAAAATACAAAATTAGCCAGGTGTGGTGGCGTGTGCTTGTAGTCTCAGCTACTCGGGAGGCTGAGACAGGAGAATTGCTTGAACCTGGGAGGCAGAGGTTGCAGTGAGCTGAGATTGCACCACTGCACTCCAATCTGGGGGACACAGCAAGGCTCTGTTAAAAAAAAAAAAAGTGCAATGTAGACCAAATAGGAATGTACACGTGGGAGCAGACGACATTGTGGTTGTTTCTACTCTTTATGAGAACAAGGAACCCAAGCAAGGAACTCAGAAGATTCTGCTTACCCTGCCCCTTCCTGATAAAAAATGTTGGGAAGTGATCAGTCTGTCCCCAGGCTGTTCTCCTGCTTCCTGGGGCAGCCCTCACTCCAGCACTCTCTCTCAGCTGTCCAGGACCCTCCCACCACTGTGGCATCCCTCCCAGATCACTCTCCCAGAGCTCAGACGGGACTCAGAAAGGAGCAAGGATTCACTGATTCTCTTTAAGGCAGCATGTCCAAAAGAAATGTTATATGAACCACATATGTAATTCTAATTTTTTTTGTCCACATGCAAAAGTAAAAGAAATTAATTTTAATAATACATTTTATTTAAACCACTATATCTAAAATATTCTTATTTTAACATATAATAGTAAAAAATTAATGATGAAACATTTTCCTTTTTTCATACTAAGTCTTCAAAATGCGATGTGTATTTTATGCCTACAGCACATCTCAATTTGGACTGGCCATATTTCAATTGCTTAGAGCCATGCGTGACAGGTGGCTGCTGTATGAGACAGTGCAGCTCTAAGGTATAAATGAATAATCCACGCAGGCTGCCTTACCCAAAAAAATAAGACATGGTAGGATTTCAGTTTCCTTCAAATCACACCACAAAGATGCCTCCTAATTCTCCAGTCCTGCATCAGGGCTGTCTGACTCAGGGGGCTAGTGGATAAAGTATGAGTTGTTTTTTTTGAGTCAAGGTGTTGCTCTGTCACCTAGGCTAGAGTGCAGAGGTGCCATCATAGCTTACTGTAGCCTTGGACTCCTGGGCTCAAGTGATGCTTCCACCTGAGCCTCTTGAGTAGCTGGGACCACAGGTGCATGTCACCATGCCCAGCTAATTTTAAAATTTTTGTCGAAATGGGGTCTTACTATGTTGCCCAGGCCAGTCTCAAACTCCTGGCCTCAAGCAATCCTGCTGCCTTGGCCTCCCAAAATGCTGGAATTACAGGTGAGAGCTCAGTCAAGGCATGAGTTTTCTACTCAGGCAAGCTTGAGCTCGGATCTGAGTCCTGCCACTCTCTAGTTATGTGATGCTGAACAAGTTGCCTACCTTCAGAACTTGTTTGCTCATGTGTGAAGGAGTGTAGGACTTGCCGGCAGGTCCCAGTGAAGATGGAGCAGGCTCATGTGTGCGTAGCTACCAGCCCATATACCAGTGGCCTGGCATGTCCTGGAAAGGTAGTTCCGCTAGAGCTGGTGTGCTCTGAGGACCCTTTGCCTGTCTCGGAACCATCAGCAGTTCAAGAACTCCCTGGCGGCATGATGGCATCTCCTCTTGCTTTCATTTTTTCCCCCAAAAGCCTGGCATTGGCTATACCCACTTCTGGTTAGAACCATCTCTTGCGCTCCTCTTGCAATTGATATTTACTAGATAACCACTATTTCGCCCCAGGCTCTTGCTAGGCACAAGAGTTTGAACAGAAAACAAGATAAACATGAATCCTGCTCTTGCAGAGCTCAGGGTCCAGCAGGGGAGAAAGATGTCAAATAAGGTTTGCCTCAGACCTAAAGCATGTATAAAATAGACATTCTTTATTTTACTTGAAAATCAACTTAATTTCTACTCTGAATGCCTATCCTGCCAGATCATCAAGAAATTCAATCTCAGCCTTTCTCAGAGCTCTCTGACCAAGGTGAAGCAAAGGTCCTGTGTCTTACACAGTGCTCAAGCACCAGGGAGGCCCCCCCAGCAGACATCAGCATCAGCCCACTGTGGTCACTATGGTGATGCCCACTTGCCATCCTGGCCCATATGGTTCCCTTACCATGCTTGGAGCAGAGTCTTGGTGAGGCTGGGAACCTAGGAGCCCAGCCTCCCTAAGTCAGCCTGCATCCTGCCACTTGGAGGTGAATTGCTTCCGTGGGCCCTATCTCAGAGGGTACGTGGCTCCTCGCTGCTCATGGAACCCACAGACTGCTCTGTCTCTGCCCCATCCTCTTTTCCAGGCTTTATTTTAGGGAAGATGGTATTCTTTTCCTCTCATCCTCAGAGCCTCCCCCCTCTACTCACACCCACCACAACACCCAGCAGAATCTTCTCAAGGGACTCAAGCTCTGGAGACAAAAGACAGGAAGGGAAATCTTGCAATCCATTACTGTTTTCTGCCATGCCACAAACATCCCCTGAGGACAGGAAACCTAGAGCCTGCTCCCTGCTGGAATGAAAGAAGAAAGAAGAAAGGGAAAAAAAGTCCAAGGGAACACACACATGAATTAATATTTGAATGAATCGTCCTGCTGGGACAGGCCAGCCTTGAGCCAGCCAGCATCAGGAAGCCAGGTTGGGGAGGCATGGAACAAGGGACCCCCCAAGGTGGTGGCTGACATGAAGGTTCTGAAATGTGGGGAAATCCAGCATTTGCCTCATGATGATCTCAGAAAAAATGAGATGGGAGAAGAAAGAGAAAGTGTCAGACCCAACCAGAGTGTGAGTCCTGTAGGAACCTCACAGGCAACATGGGAAGAGGAGGCAGAACCAGGAAGCCCAAATGAGTGCTCTCCAGCCCAGCAGGTCCTTCCCTATGGCCCATGGCATCCTGGCCCTGGACGTGGGGAAGCCTTGCCTGCGCACCACTCCTAGTTACAGGGAGCTCGCTTCCTCCCAGGGTAGCCTCTTCCAAACTGCTGTCCCCATTGGGTATAAGTCTCTTTTTTTTTTTTTTTTTTTTTGTGAAACAGGGTCTCACTCTATCGCCCAGGCTGGAGTGCAGTGGCATGATCTCAGCTCACTGCAACTGTTACCAGAAAGGAGTCTGAATCCAGACCCCAAGAGAGGGTTCTCGGCTCTCACACAAGAAAGAATTCGGAGCAAGTCCATAGAGTAAAGTGAGAGCAAGTTTATTAAGAAAGTAAAGGAATAAAGAATGGCTACTCCATAGGCAGAGCAGGGTGTTCCCGAAAGTAAGAGGAGGAACGCGTCCACCCTAGCTACAATACATGTTTATATATAGGATGAAAAAAGATCATGGGGAGATGTGCTCTGCTACAAGGGTTTGTGATCAACGATTTTCTTAATCACTATATTTTGCAAGAATCGATATTATTATATTTAAAGCAAAATTAGAAATGCTTCTGTTCTCCAGACATGGGGCTATCAGGACACTCCTAAGTCTGGGTCTCTTTAGTAAACATGATCAATCTGTTCCCTTAACCATAAACATCTAGAGGCTAAGAATGCCTGACTTTCTGGGAATGCAGCCCAGCAAGTCCCAGCCTCATTTTCCTACCCCTCAGTCAAGATGGAGTTGTTCTGATTCTAACGCCTCTGACAAAATCTCCATCTCCCTGGCTCAGATGATCCTCCCTCCTCAGCCTCTTGTGTAGCTGGGACTACTGGTGTGTGCCACCACACCTGGCTGATTTTTTTTTTTTTTGAGAGGGAGTCTCGCTCTGTTGCCCAGGCTGGAGTGCAGTGGTACGATCTCAGCTCACTACAACCTCCGCCTCCCAGGTTCAAGCGATCTTCCTGCCTCAGCCCCCCTAGTAGCTGGGATTACAGGCATGAGCCACCATGCCTGGCTAATTTTTGTATTTTTAGTAGAGACAGGGTTTAGTCATGTTGGCCAGGCTGGTCTTGAACTCCTGACCTCAGGTGATCCACTGGCCTCACCCTCCCAAAGTGCTGAGATTACAGGTGTGAGCCGCCACGCCCGACTGATTTTTTTTTTATTTTTATTTTTAGTAGAGACAAGGTTTCGCCATGTTGCCCAGGCTGGTCTTGAACTCCTGGGCTCAAGCGATCCTCCCACCTCAGGCTCCCAAAGTGCTGGAACTACAGCCGCGAACCATCACACCCGGCCTAGGCATAAGTCTTCTTCCAGCTAATTTTTTGCTTTTAATTCTGACCTCAGCCTACATAGCAAAATAACTAAATTACACTCCACTTGCCCACTTGTATTCAGATGACCCTGTGCCCATAGCAACTTCTCCAAGATTTTGTTTCCTCATCTAAAAAGTGTGCACGGTAATAGTACCTGCCTCACACAGTTTTGTGTTAGAGAAATGTAGGTAGAGTACTCTGGGGCCTTGGCCTTGGTTGCCCCCTTCCTTCAGGGTGTACCAGTGAAGTGCTCAGGCTCTGGAGCCAAGCCGTCTGGATTCAAATCCTAGCTGGACCACTTATTATCTGTGTGAAATAAGTTGAAATAAGTTATTTTCTCTCTGTGTCTCAGTTTTATCACCTGACAAAAAGGGATTATTATGGTATCTACTTCATTATTTAAAAAATGATTTTTGACTCTTATTTCCTTCTCCAAGTTGTTGGTAGGGACGTATATACTTCAGGAGGTTGTGAGGTTTCGGTAAGTTATGCATTAGTCATTAGAACAGTGCCCAGCATACAGTAAGTGCTTAGTAGGCATTAACCGTTATTTATCATTATTTCCTTTCTTATTTCTGACAGTCAGAAGATGGTGATTGTGCCCCCTCCCTCCACACACATGATATTCTCTTCCCCTCTTTTTCAAGAGTTGCACATGGGCCGTTCCCACCCAGGTGGAGGGACATACTCCAGGGTGTCCATGGGAATCTTCACAGCTTGGACCCAAAGCTGAGCCCATCCTCTGGGTGCGGCCTGATTCATCCAAGAGGAGCAGTGACAGTGGGAGTGAAGATTGACTGGATTGGTGTGTTGGTGTTTTGGGTAACATTGGTGGTGATGATGGCAGTGGCGATGGAGATGAGGCTGGTGATACTGATCTTGGTGAAGACAGTGGTAGTGATGATGATGTTAGAGACAGTGATAATGATATTGATGATTCTGATCATCATCATGGTGGTAGTGATTCTGAAGGTTCAGGTGACAGTGATAATGATGATTGTGCTGGTGGTGGTGATCATGACAGAGACAACAATAACAATCATCACATCGTGATGGTAATGTCGTGACTAAATTTGTCATTTAGTCACAACGATATGGGTGATGTGAATGAGGGTGATATTTAAGCTGAAAGGAATAGAAATGATGATGATGATTATGGTGGTGATTTTCCTAAAAATGTTGGTGATTATTATGATGTTAATAGTGGTCATGACAACTAACCCATGTGGATACTGGTGATGACAAAGTTTAACCACAAGAATTTTATTCATCCTTTCAAAACCACTTGTTGGGTACCTATAGGGCCAAGAACAAATGGAACACTGCAGGCCTCAATTGCTCCTGAAGAGATGACAGGGCTCTCACCCTCTCCTCTCCAAGACCTCTCCTCCCCAGCCCACAGCCAACTCTGAGTGGGGTTGCTGGCATCCAGCGGACTGTCCTTGGTTTTGTGTCTCCTTCAGGGCAAGGACTCTCCCTCTAAGCAGAGCCCTGGGGAGTCCACGAAGAAGCAGGATGGCCTAGTCCAGATTGCACCAAACCTGACTGTGATCCAGTTCATTAAAGGTAAGTCAGCTCAGACCAGGTTATGGGGAGCCAGGGCCAGAGGGGTCTTCGAGATTGTCAGGATCCAGTCCTTCCTGCTTTTCTTGATTCATCTTCTCTACCTGCAGACCCCTCATGAGCACCATCTACTCCTTGTGAGTCTTTGCACATGCAATCCTCTCTGCCTGGACCATCATTTTTTATTGCTTTCAAAACCTTCCCTATGGGCCAGGCATTGCGGCTCATGCCTGTAATCCCAGCACTTTGGGAGGCCGAGGTGGACGGATCACTTGAGGTCAGAAGTTTGAGACCAGACTGGCCAACATGGTTAAACCCTGTCTCTACTAAAAATACAAAAATTAGCTGGGCATGATGGTGGGCACCTGTAGTCTCAGCTGCTTGGGAGGCTGAGGCAGAAGAATCACTTGAACCTGGGAGGCAGAGGTTGCAGTGAGCCAAGATCACACCACTGCACTCCAGCAGACAGAGACTTCATTTCAAAAACAACAACAAAAAACCTTCCCTATCCGTCTAGGTCCAGCTAAAAACCCACTACTTTCCCCACATGTCCAGCTCTTCCAGCCAGCAAAGCCACTTCCTTCCCTCTTTGGTTCTCAGAACCCTCAGGGCTTCTAGATCAGTTCAGATCTGAGCCTGTGTTCCTGAAGGTCAGGCCTGTGCTGGCTCATCTATGACCCTTCCTCTCCTCCCACCCACTGCTGAGCCTGCAAATGGGAGGCCATCGGGAAATTGTCAAATTTCCAGACAGTGGCATGGGCGAAGAGAGCTCTGGGCTAATATCCAGAACCTGGGCTTTTGTCCCTGATCCCTGCTCCTTTCTGGGCCTCCGTTTCCCCATCTATATAGCCAGGAGTAGACTCAATGATCTAACGTCTTGAGGCTATGATCCTGAGACTACGAACTCAGTCTATCAGTAACCAGAGTACACATTATGACCAGGCCATTCTTTCTCAAGATTATGACCCCAGGAGCATTGATTGAGTGCCTGCCGTGTGCCCAGCTCTTACAGAGCACTGGATGGCAGGTCAGAAGACTTGGATTTGAGCCCTGCCCCTAACAGTGACCAGTGTATAATCTTAAAGAAGTTAGTTTCCTTTTCTAAATTGAGTTTCCTCATCTGGAAGATTGGGTCAATAATCCTTGCTCTGCCTGTCTCAAGGGCTATTACGAGAATCAAATGAGACGAAACATGGAAAGCCTCTTTATGCTATTAAAAAAAACTGTACTTATATATAAGGTACAATTATTTCAATTATTACTCTTGTTCCACCGTTATTCTGACCATGCCCTAGGATAGTAAATTGAGCTGCCTGTGGTTTAGGAGGGCATGTCCACAGGAGTTGCCTCATAGTCCTTACTGAGGATTTCTGCAACAGGAAGGAATTAGGCCTATTCTTGGGAAGAGCTTCCTAAGATTTGATGTTGGGGCAGGACATGGTGGCTCACACCTGTAATCCCAGCACTTTGGGGGACCAAGGCAGGAGGACCTCTTGAGCCCAGGAGTTTGAGACCAACCAGGACAACATAAGGAGACCCTGCCTCTAAAAAAATAAAAATAAAAAATAAAGAAAGAATTAGCCGGGCTTGGTGGTGCATGCCTGTGGTCCAAGCTACTGGGGAGGCTGAGGTGGGAGGATTGCTTGAACCTGGGAGTTTGAGGCTGCAATGAGCTGTGATCTGGCCGCTGCGCTCCAGCCTGGGTGACTGAGAGAAACCCTGTCTGGAAAAAAAAAAAAAAAAAGACTTGATGTTGGGATATCAGTAATCTAGCCCCCAGTTTTTTCAGCATTCCCAGGGAAAGAGAGGGCTTGGACTCCATGCATGGTGCTGGGCCTAGACGCAGCGGCCGGGACTCCCTAGCCTCAGGCCACCCCCAGATGCTATTAGGTCCCCGGCACTCTGCGCTGCTGAATTGCTTATTAATCACTGTTTGGGCTTCTGCCCGGAGGGAAGCTTCTGAAATTGGAACCTAGAGCAAGTGTTCTAGGCCAGATTGTCTCTGGTGGTTTCAGCTTCTACATGAGCCTGGAGGGAATCAGGGCAGGGGTGCCCTCAGGCCCTGTGGCTGGTGAGCCAGCCTGGCTTCTGCTGAGCTCCAGGGGCCAGTCTAACTCTAGGGCCTGGCCTTGACCACCTGGTGTCACAGGGAAGGCCGAGGGAGGAGGAACCATGGTCCTTCAGCTGGAGGTGCCCTATACTCTTGGGGAAAGATAATCCCTGAGCTAGGAAAGGCCCCTGTCAGATGGGGGAGACAGTCTCTGAGCTGGGGGAAGCCCCTGTCTAATGTGAGAGATACAATCTCTCTGATGGAGGTTACGTAGTCCCTGAATGGAGCGAGACCCTGCCTTGTCTGATGGAAGAGACCTGACCTCTGTGATGGAGAAGGCCCCTGTCTGATAAGGGAGACGTAGTCCTTGAACTAGAGGAGGTTCCTGGGGGAGACATTGCCCTTGAGTTAAGGGAAGCCCCTACCTAATTGGAAGAAGCATAGTCCCTAGACTGAGGGAGAACCTGTTCTATTTGACAGAGGATACCTGGCCTCTAGCTGGGTGAGGCTCCTGGCTGATGAGGAAGACAGAGTCACTGACTTGAGGGAGGCCCTGGCTTGTCTGATGGGGGAGACACTGTGCTGTGCTAAGGGAAGCCCTGTCTCATGGCAAAGGTCTGCCTCAGAGCTGGAGATGGGCCCTGGAATTCCCCTGCAGGTAGACCTATCTCAGTGAAAGGCATAGCCTCTGCCCTCCAGGAATTTTCCATCTATTCCGGTGCCATGCTGTGGATGCTGAGGAGAGATGGGGGATGGCTACAAAGCACACTGCAGTGATCAGTGCAGGAGAATGGACTGGAAGCAATCCATGAGATGGAGCCCTTTGGAGTCAGGCAGCCAGAGAGGCACAGGATGGGGGAGGGAGGATAGAAGGGAGGATGGACCTTGTACTAGGAGCCAGGAGACCCTAGGAAACTCCTGGCCTTAAACTGGCCTCTGGATGAACTTGGGCGAGCCCCTGTCCCTCTCTAGACTCTACCATGCAGTAGGGGCACCTGTACAACCTGGACCATGCCAGATTGAAATTCATGGCTCAATATAAGGCCTCAGATGCCCTGGCCAGAGCAGCTTATGGCAAGAAGGCTGAGCAGCTACCTGGGGTCAGAGCGAGCCTCATACCTCTTCACTCTAATGCTAGTTAAATGCATGGTGTGCAGCAAGGAACCAGGGACAGGAGGCAGGCCTGGCACAGAAAAGAGGGGGAATTCCACAGCCCCCACCCACCGTCCTGAACTGTTTGTTTTTATTTTCTGGTTCCCAAGGAAACAGATCCTAGCCTGGCCCAGGGGGCTAGGGAACCAGCTGGCTTGGCCCTGCTCTGAGGACAGACAGAAATCTTCCCATGACAGAGGCCCTGGTCCTGCTGCTGCAGGAACAGAAGGAGCCCCCACCTGGCCCAGAGAATCCCCATGGCCCTACCAGCCCAGCCGGGCAAGTGTTTTGCTCCTCTCCCTCCATACCTTATATTTGACTTCAGTCTTGCCTACTGCAGGCAGAAACACAGGTTAGTGGAGAGAGGATTTCATGTGTCTAACAGAAAATGTCCTTGACACTTTCACCTGGGCTGCCCCTACCAATGAGCATCACTTGGCTGCTGGAGCCCAGAGAGGAAAGGACTTACCCACCCTTTTGTGCCCTTTGGTTTAGCAGACTTGCAGTGGGGGCAACCTGTGAATGAGGCACCATTTTAGGAGCTAGCAGGAGACTGGGGAGGTAATTTTTTGCCAAAACAGTCACTTTTTTTCCTAACTCCAAGCATTTGCCCCTCCTGGGCCCCTACTCAATTCCTTTTCCTCCTCGCTTTACCTCCCCAGATCCCCCCCACCATTCTTTAGGCCCTAGCTCTGTCCCACCTCCAGGAAGTCTCCCAGCACCAAGCAGACTCAGATTTCACTTTCTCTGGAGGTCTTTGATTCTGCCCCAGACATATTGACATTTGATCACATATTAGTCCATATATCCATTCATTCCTTCCTTCATTCCATGAATTCAGGTGCCTCCTATATCCCAGGCTCTGGAGATTTAGTAATTAACACAACAAACAAAACCCCCTGATCTTTTAAAGAAGGCTTACGTTCTGGTAGGGTGACAATAAAACAGCTAGATGAGTGAGAGGTATAGTACGTTAGGTAGAGGGCTATGGAGAAATGCAAGCTAAGGATAGGGAGGTCAGGGCAGAGGATTGGGGCCTGTGTTTGGGATGCGAAGGAGGATGAAGGCCTGGGAGGCTTGGAAAAAGCTGTAGCAGGACAGGATGGAAAGAACTGGGTGGGGCGGGGGAGAGGAATGAATACGTAGAGTAGAAAAAATGAAATGACATGGGATGGGATGGACGAAATTGAATCAAATAGGATGGCATGAACCAGAACTATATGGAACTGAATAGAATTGAATGGAAGAAAAAAACACATCAAATAAGATATAGTCTAACTCAGTGGAACAAAATGAAACAGAATTTCAAAAATGAACTGGAACAAGGGCCAGGCATAGTGGCTCACGTCTGTAATCCTAGCACTTTGGGAGGCCAAGGAGGGTGGATTACTTGGGGCCTAGGGTTCGAGAGCAGCTTAGCCAACAAGGCAAAACCCATCTCTACTAAAAACACAAAAATTAGCCAGCATGGTGGTGCACACCTGTAGTTTCAGCTACTCGGGAGGCTGAGGCCGAGAATCACTTGAACCCAGGAGGCAGAGGTTGCAGTGAGCTGAGATTGCGCCACTGCACCCCAGCCTGGGCGACAGAGAGAGAAAAAAAAAGGGACTAGAGTAAATGGAATGGAGTCAAGTGGGATAAAATTGATTGCAATAGAATTAAGTGGAATGGGGCGGGTTAGAAGAAATGGAACTGCTTGAACTGAGCAGGGCAGGAGGGCAGTCTCTGCTGGACAGCTTGGCTGCCCTGCCTGCCCTGACCTCTGCACTCGCCCCCACAGTCTTCCCCAGGGTGCTGCTGCAGACCCTACGCCACCCCATCTTCCTGCTGGTGGTCCTGTCCCAGGTATGCTTGTCATCCATGGCTGCGGGCATGGCCACCTTCCTGCCCAAGTTCCTGGAGCGCCAGTTTTCCATCACAGCCTCCTACGCCAACCTGCTCATCGGCTGCCTCTCCTTCCCTTCGGTCATCGTGGGCATCGTGGTGGGTGGCGTCCTGGTCAAGCGGCTCCACCTGGGCCCTGTGGGATGCGGTGCCCTTTGCCTGCTGGGGATGCTGCTGTGCCTCTTCTTCAGCCTGCCGCTCTTCTTTATCGGCTGCTCCAGCCACCAGATTGCGGGCATCACACACCAGACCAGGTGAGTGTGTGCGTGGGCACGTAAAGGCAAGCCTGGGAGGACAGGACAGGGAGGACAGGGGCCCTGGGCAGAGGCCAGGATGGCAGGGCAACCCCTGCCTCAAATCTTGCCTCCCCAGTTCTGCTTAACAGCCCTTTAGAGATTCGAGTCAAGCAGTGGGGTGCTCCAGAAGGCTCCAGGGTAGGTGTCAGGCACCACTGGAAGGGGCATGGATGAGACTTCAGGGGCAGAAACTCTCAAGCCCAGGAGGGTGTGGAGGCTGAGATAGGGCAGAGCCACCCATGGGATGGCATGTCCAGGGTGACCAAGCCCTGTGGGCCCAACAGAGATGAGCCAGAGGCTACATCACAGGAGCCAGGACCCAGCTCAGCCAGAGGAATGGCCTGCCCAGGAGGAAGCATGCTCTCCATCCTGGGGACGAGAGGGGATGAGAGGGTGAGCAAGGGACTGGATGGCCCCTATCAGGGAGGCTGCAGAGGGGACTCAGGCACTGGGAAAAGATTGGACAGCAGACCTCTGATAATTTTGGGTTTTAGAGCTTGGGAGCTAAAATTCTGATATTCCACGACTCTAAAATTACAGAATTCTTTTTCCACATCTGTGAGGCAGCACCTGCCTCTGCCCTCCGGGAGGAAGTCTCTTGATTTCTATCTCTCCAATTCTCCCTCACACCTTTACCCTTGGGAGCCTTCTTGGAGAGGATGTTGGAAGTCACATTCCTGCCTCTTCTCCAGAATGATTTCATTTTTCCTGGAAACTGCTCCAGGCTTAGGTTGGCCCAACACTCGGCTAGAATTTCCCAACTTTCTCTGTACCCACCCCTTCCTTGGCATCTTCTGCCTCCACCTAGGTGCCAGCTTTCATCACCAGGGGTCCTCCTGCATGGCTGTCGGGGGCTCAGCTCAGGGCCAAGGAGCACCCAGCCCCTCCCCGTCTGTCCCAGGTCCCACCCTCGCTGATCTCTCCCCCATCTCCCCTCCCTCCTCCCCCTTTCATTCTCTGCCCCTCTTTTCCCACATAGGGAGGCAACTCTGCTCTCTAGCCTGGGGCCTCCTGTGTGCGGAGCCTTGTTCTAGGCACTGCAGCGGGGGTTTAGCCACCTCCTCAGGAAGTCCCTGGTCTGAGGAGGGAGCCAGGTCCTCAATCAAATGATTTTTAGAGTAAAAAGTAAATGGATATTTTATCACAATTTTTTAAATAGTGCAGAAAAAGTCAGCTCATCTCACACACCCCATCTCTCTTTTCTTCTCCCTTTCACACCTTAGCTTTGACATCTCATGTCACCTCTGTTCTCGTCTAAATTCTTGCGATTTATTCACTAAGCTCTGGGTTCTAATTCACTGAAGAGACCATTTGGGACCAACTGAGCTAGGCAAGAAGAACTTTCCATATTTCTGCACAACCGCAGGTACTAACAGCTGCAAGAACCGACGGTCTCCCTTCGCTCAGCGTCTTCCCACGTTACCTCTCACTGAACCCCCACAGGATCTCTGTAATGGGTCCTGTTATTAGCCCCATTTCACAGATGAATACAGCAAGGCTCAGAGAGGTGAAGTCACCCCACAGCTGGAACAGGGTAGAGCCTGGAGCCAGGACTCTCCCCACAGAAGCAATCAGCTCCAGGTGGTCAATGACAGCGAGGAGCGGAGGAAGGACTCCCTAGCTCTTATCTGCTCAGCTTTCCAGCTGCTAGCAGAGGGTTCTGGGAAGTGCTTCACCCTTGGCAGAGTCCCCTGGCACTGCCTCCTGATGGGCCCTCAGCTCAGACAGTGCCAGCCTTCCCACTCCCACCCCCACCCCGAGGGAGATGTGCCAAGATGTTGTCAGACACACACAAGCACTGTCTGGCAGAGGAGGAAGAGGAAATATTTTGTGGCTGATGATCTTCCTTCCCTCTCTGATAGAGTGCCCCCTCACCCCAGGGAGGGAGAGGAGCTCACTTTGCCCCATGCCCCACTTCCCCACTCCACACCCTGGCTAGAGACTGTCTCCAGCTCCTGCTCACCCTCTTCCCCATGGAACTGACATTTCACTAAGCTCCAGTCCCAGCCTCACTGATCATCCTGGGCCTCTGCCCCACACCCACCCCAAGCCCAAGACAGGGACATCCAGCTTCCGCCTTTGGCCTCCTCTGCAGCCTGGCCACTGGACCCCTGTGTGACCCTGAAAGGCGCAGCCTCTCTGGGCCTCTGTCTCCCTGGCAGGTTAGCTGTGCTCCCCGCTAGCGTGAAGCCAGGTGACACTGTGAGTCCCAGGGGACACCTCCCTGCCCTCCTCCCAGGGTGACCTCCCCCTCAGACTAAGCCTCCCTCTGACATCCTGCCCCTGCCCACCTTCACCTTGCCCTGGCCACCTGGAGCTGGGGCACCCCAGGGATTTGGGAACAGGCCCTTGGAGGGAGGCAAGTGGGACTAAAATGTGCCCTGGACACAGTGAACAGGGTGGTGGGAGTGAGACTGCAGGATGGCCATGACAGGCAGAGAAACTGAGGCCCAGAGAGGCAGGAACAGGCTGGAGATCCCACGGGTGGTCAGGTCTCCTGATCGGGTCCCACACTCATAGCTCTGATTTTCTGAGAAATGAAGCAATCATTGATTTTCGGAGAAAGGAAGCTGATTGAGGGAAAGATACTCCTCATCTGACACTAACTTCTGGGAGGAATTTATCTTGTATACCCTGTAGAAGGGTCACTGAGGTGCAGAGATGTTTGAAGAAGCTCAAAGGCTTGTAGGATTGAGGGGGCCTGTCTCCATACTTGCCCACCTTCATTGCAAGGAGCTCACTATCACGCCATCATCGGGCAGCCCTGATGATGAAAATCCTCTGTGTGGAGCTGAAATCTCTGGCCATTGCTCTCGGCTACAGGGCCGAGGATGCCCCAGCTAGTGGCCTAAGGGAGGGAAGCCAGGCCAACCCTACTGGTCTTCTCTCCCACCAGTGCCCACCCTGGGCTGGAGCTGTCTCCAAGCTGCATGGAGGCCTGCTCCTGCCCATTGGACGGCTTTAACCCTGTCTGCGACCCCAGCACTCGTGTGGAATACATCACACCCTGCCACGCAGGCTGCTCAAGCTGGGTGGTCCAGGATGCTCTGGACAACAGCCAGGTGAGTCAGGCCTCTCGTGGCAACCTCTGCCCCTCAGGACTCTGCCTGCCCTGTCTCTGTGGGCCTGTCATACTCTCCACTTCTGCATGCTCTCACTCTGTAGCTCTCGTCTCTCTGTCTCTCTCTGTTGGCAGATGTAGAACATTATTCTCACAATAAGCTTTCACTGGCCAGGAGCAGTGGCTTATGCCTGTAATCCCAACACTTTGGGAGGCCGAGGCAGGCAAATGACTTGAGGTCAGGAGTTCCAGACTGGTGAAACCCATCTCTACTAAAAATACAAAAAATTAGCCAGGCGTGGTGGTGTGCACCTGTAATCCCAGCTACTCAGGAGGCTGAGGCAGGAGAATCACTTGAATCCGGGAGGCGGAGGTTGCAGTAAGCTGAGATCATGCCATTACACTCCAGTCTGGGCAACAAGAGTGAAACTCCATCTCAAAAAATAAAAATAAAGCTTTCATTGCCAGCCTGGGCCCAGGGCACAGAGGTGAATCATTCTGGCTTCCAGATCTCTGTGCAGGGGAGATGCAAAAGGAAAGAACTCACAGGAATTCCAGAGGTGCTGATAGGTAAAACAACTGGTCCCTACAAGCACATACAAAGATGAAAAGAGACACATCCCACCTGGGTGGGGTTGGGTCCCAGAAGCCTTCATGGGAAGTGGCATTTGTGCCAGACATTCAAGAATGAATGGGTAAACTATTCATTTACTTGGGAGGGAAGGGCTTTCCAGGCAGGGGGAAATGCGCTCAGCAGAGATTTGAAGGAACACACATGCGCAAGCATGCACACACACTGTTTCTGTTGGAGCAGAAGCACAAGGGTTCATGAAGGGAAGGCAGGGCCCAGAAAAAGAGGGGCCTTGAATGCCAGGCCAAGAGTGGGGACTTTCTGGAGAGCAGTGGGAAGCCATGGATGGGTTTTCAGCCAAGGAGTAACAAGTTCAGATCTGTGTTTGATCACGCTTGAGGCCATAGTGTGGGGGCAGGTGAGCAGAGTACAGGATAGGACACAGAAGGCTAGCGAGCATTCAGTCAGTCAGTCAGTCAACAAACTTCACTGATCTCTTCCTCTGTGCCAGGCCCTGTTCTGGGAGCTGAGGACTCAGAGCCAAGGGGCCCAGTGGGGAAATGAAGGCAATGTAATCAGCAGCAGTGCATTCTGAATCTTAGGAGGGCTAAGACCAGCCGGTTCCTCCTCCCCTTTTTCCTCAGTTCCCCAAAATGACAAAGGGGGACAATGTCTGCCTTCTCAGGCCCCCAGGCTGTAGTGAAGCTTGGGGGATTTGTGGGGGCAGCAGCATCAGGCTGGTGGTTATGACAACATCTCCCTCTCTCCAGAGTCCTCCCACCTCCCACCCTCATGCTGGGCATCAGCATCTAAACCTGAGGCTCCTCCAGGGAGAGACCTGGGCTGCACTGGCTGGTGCAGAAGAACCTGTTGATGGTGCATAGTCCTTCAGAAGCCAGCCAGGCACCACCTGGGCCTGAGAGCCCTTCCAGAGACCCCCAGGCCTTGGCAGGTGGAGCAGTGAACTCCTGTGGATATGGGAACCGATTCAAATCCTTCTTAGGCCTCTAACTGACTCTGTTACCTTAGGCAAATTATTTAACTAGTGCCTCAGTTTCTTGGTCTGTAAAATAGGGGAGATATTATTAAGTGCCTACTACAGAGCAGGAATGTGCTGAATAAATGCTTTACCTGGATGAATTCATTAACTAGTAAGCAAAGCGCCACATAACGTTATCCATGAAAGCACATAGCACAGTGCCTAGGCAATTTTAAATACTCAGTAATACACATTTCTATTACGCCCATTGTACAGATGAGAAATGGAGGCCCAGGAAAGGACCAGACATTGCCCAGAGTCTCAATACCAGGGCTGGGACTAGGCACCAAGGCCCTGGCCTCCCAGCCAGCCCCCTCTTTGGAGCATCACGGAGGCTTGGATTTAGGTGCAGTATTTGGAGGAGGGTGCAGCTGAGACCGGGCCAGCACTCAGGGACTGTTGTCACACTGGCCTGGAATCGTGTCTTGACATGTCTGCCTCCTTGGATTGTGAACATCTTGGCTCAGGGATGGGTGGCTCAGTGCCCAGCACAGCTGCTCAGTAACAGCTTATGAGTGCATGAGTGAATGAGGTAAGGTGGGGCAGGTGGGCGCCTGAACAGGTGTGGAGCTGAATGCTCTGGGGGAATGAGACTCTGAGGCAGCAGAAAGATTGAAGTCATTCATAAGAAAAACTTCCTGCCATGGAATTAGATGAATGTGAAGGGTCAGGAAAAACCCAAGTGAAGGGTGAGGAAAAACCCAAGTGAAGCCTCCAGCCTTTGCGTTCATCCTGGCAACCTCTGCTTCTGAGAAAAGGAGCAGGGGCAGGATGCCTCTCTCCCAGGAACCTTGCTTAGCATTTCCCTTTCTTGTCCCTCCATTGTATCTCCAGCCTGTAGTTGGAGGTTCAGGGGCCGCTTTTCCTGCAGTGTAAGATGATATGCACTTAGGGGTCACACAGCTTGTGTGAAGGGTCTTCAGACCCTTGTGTGAAGGATCAGCACAGCTTCATCATGTGCATTGGTTCTGCCGGCCAGTGGAGAGTGCCTGGTCACCCAACCCTAAGTGCTCACGTGCTCACTCTCTCTTGCCTTTGTCTGATTCCACCTGCTAAGTAACTTCAAATCTAAACCCATTTATCCATCCACCCCCAAGCCCACTCTATGATGGGCTCCTTGGCCTGCCTCCCCGATCTGGTCCCTCCTCCATGCAGCTCCCAGAACACCCTTTGTACCACCCAGTCTCATCTACCCCTTGCTTAAAATTTTCCCAAGGCCCCCAGCATCCACCTCAGGGATTCCCAACCCTTTTCACACTGGGAAGTGTCTGCAGCTGCCAGGGCTGGAGGTGAGAGGCCCAGAGGGCTCCAGCTGTCCAGGCCAGCCAGCCACTTCAAGGGTTGATGGGACTAATCCCTGCACACCTGTCTCCCATCTGAGGCCCTGTGTGGCTGGGGCACATGAGTCTAGAAGCTCTGGTCTATGGGAAAGCAAAGAGAAGCCCAGGCCTCTTGGCTTGGGCTGGCTTCTATCGGGTGCCTGTGAGCCCTGGCAGTCCAGATCACTTCGCAGAGTCCTTGGCTGGAGGTTTTCCTCGCTACCTAGGGAGTGAGTGCAGGCTGGGATCAAACACTCCAGGGGGCAAGCCCGGGGACATGGCCAGCCTGGGGATGTTTTCTTACAGTTGGTGTGTAGAATGTGGGGGAATGATGCTCTCCTGGCTCCCTCCCTCTTCTTCTCTACTTTCTCTCTGCTTCCCTCTCCCTGCCCACCACCTCAGCCCAGGCTCAACTTGCACATAGACAGCCCTTGAGGTGCCTGCTCCTCAAGCCGTCTTTGCTCAGCCAACGGGTCACGATCTCGGACTCCCAGCCAGCTCTACCCCAACTGGCTGTGGAACTTGGGCCTCTCACAAGCCTTCCCCGCTGCAAGCCCTTGGCCAGCTGCCTGCCCTTGGAGGCTCTTGAAGTCTCTTCCTCCTCTTCCCACTCCAGGTTTTCTACACCAACTGCAGCTGCGTGGTGGAGGGCAACCCCGTGCTGGCAGGATCCTGCGACTCAACGTGCAGCCATCTGGTGGTGCCCTTCCTGCTCCTGGTCAGCCTGGGCTCGGCCCTGGCCTGTCTCACCCACACACCCTCCTTCATGCTCATCCTAAGGTGAAGGTGGGGGTGGGGCAGGGGCAGGTGGATACCAGGAGGTCCTTAACCACAGGCAGAACAAGGAATTCCAAGGACGGAGTTCAAGAAAGGAGGCCACTTGGGTGTCCTGGCCCCCACAATATGGCCTTAACTGTGTTCATCCCATGGCAACCTACTGAGGCAAGGTTTTCTCCCCATCTTGCAGATAAGAAAATTGAGGCTCAGAGAAGTTCAGGAGCTGGCCCCCATCACATAGCAAGTGTTGGGTGGAATAGTACTGGTTCCCTGGCCCACAGCCCAGGCTCCTACTTGCCCAGGGGAGAGGAGGACATACCTAGGGCCCTGTCCTGGCCTCTGGAGGTGAGGGCATAATACCTGCAATGGATGAGCTGCAGGAGGTGCATCTAGGAAACCAAACTGTGTCAGTCTGGTGCATGACTCTGAATGCTGCTTCAAGGCTACATACAAGTGCTTATTAGGTGCCCGCTGTGGACCCAACCCATGCTGAGCACTGCCTTTTGGGCCAAGATCTTTGTGGCCCTCGTCCTAAGAATGCCTGCTGGCCCTGACAAATTGTCACCTGAGTTCAAAGTCAGGGTCTCCTGGGGTGAGGGCTGGGATAAGAGGACTGAGTGAGAAAAAAATAGTTTTTCCTTTTTTTTTTTTTTTTTTTTTGAGATGCAGTTTTGCTCTGTCTCCCAGGCTGGAGTGCAATGGCGCAATCTCGGCTCACTGCAACCTCCTCCTCCTGGGTTCACGCCATTCTCCTGCCTCAGCCTCCCTAGTAGCTGGGATTACAGGCACCCGCCACCACACCCAACTAATTGTATTTTTAGCAGAGACGGGGTTTCACCATGTTGGCCAGGACGGTCTCGAACTCCTGACCTCAGTGATCCACCTGCCTTGGCCTCCCAAAGTGCTGGGATTACAGGCATGAGCCACCACACTCGGCTGAGAAAAACAGTTTTTCTATTCTCTCACTCAACAATCAACACAGAAGACTTCTGCAACCAGAAGTGTGGGGGTATTTTCCCACACACCAGGCACTCAATTAATTCTGCAGTGGACCCTAGCCAGTGTCCCCCAATTCTATTCTGACACAATCTACCTGGAGACAGCATCAGATCCCACAGGCTGAGTGCTCAGTCCCACAAGACTTTCCCTCCACTTCCCATGCCAACCACAAGCCTCAGGCTGTTTTACCAATGATTCTGACTGACCAGCCGTATGCTGGGGTTTCCACAGCCCCATCTTTGAGTTTGCTTTATTTGCTAGAGTGGCTCACAGAGCTCAGGAAAACATCTACTTAATGTTTATCGGTTTATTATAAAAGATATTACAAAGGATACAGATGAAGTGATGCATACGGTGAGGTATGGGGGAGGAGCTTTCATGCCCTCCCTGGCTGCATCCTGCAGGGACCTCCATGTGTTCAGCTATCCGGAAGCTCGCCAAAGCTTCATTATGTAGGCATGATTGATTAAATCACTGGATATTGGCAGTCACCTCAACCTTCAGCCCCTCTCCCCTTGCTGGAGGTTGGGGCTGAAAGTCCTAACCCTCTAATCCTGCCTTGGTCCCTCTGGTGACCAAGCCCCAGCCTGAAGCTACTAGGGGCTGCTCACCATCAATCAACTCATTAGCATACAAAAAGACACTTTTCACTTTGAACATTCCAAGAATTTTAGGAGTGTATGCCGGGAAGACCAAATACACATCTCACAATATCACAGGGACCTCAGAGCAAGATAATTTCCATTTTCCTTCTCCTGGGATTATTTTATTCACTATCTACTTTCTAGGAAATTAGAAGGGAAATGGAGCCTCTTGCAAATACCAGAAGACATGTAGATCTAGAACACAAGCTGGCCTGGGAGAGAAAATAGAGGAATCAGATGCCCAACAGGCAGCCTGACTAAAAGGAGTTGAGAACACAGCCTCAGGGCTGCGTGGATACAGGCCCTGACCGCTGTCAGCCATGAGATCTTGGCCAAGTTATTGAATCTGTCTAAGTGTCAGTCTCCTTATCTGTAAAATGGGGCTAATGTACACCTCGCTCATAGGAGTGATGTGGGGTTGCAGGGCAGAGTTACTGAGCCCGTAGTAAGCGCTCCATAAATGCCAGCCACTGGTGTTGTCTGGCAGGAGCTGGCGTTACAGTGGTTGGGGATGCTGGGGAAGTGTCTGACTGTCCCAGCTCCAGGTCTTGCCAACTGTAGGAGTAAGGGGAGAATTTGATGGGACCAGTGGGTGGAGGAAGAGGAGTGATGTCTGTGACCAGAAACATACAGAGGTCAGCACAGGACCCTGATGGTCAGTGGGTGTGTTGTCTTGTATATGGGACCAGGCTCTGCAGGTTGAAAAAGGATGGGGTACGTCCCTGAGCCCCCAGCCTAGATCATCAGATGGGAGAGAGGCTGGCTCTGGGTGGTGGGAGAGAAGGGCATAATAAGAACCCTTCAACGTTGATGCATGGCCCTTGGGGGCTGGAACCCCTCCAACCTCATGTTGCCCATGTCTCTGCTTGTTAGAGGAGTGAAGAAAGAAGACAAGACTTTGGCTGTGGGCATCCAGTTCATGTTCCTGAGGATTTTGGGTAAAGATCTTGCTTGGGACCATTGGTGGTGGTGATGGGGTCCAGATGCCCACTGTGTGCCAGGCCTGGGGCACAGGCATGAGCGGAATTCAATCCCTGATCTTAGGGCTCACAAGCTCATGGGGTGACAGACCTGGCCCAGCTCTCCTAGAGCGGGGTATAGAGGCAGAGTCTAGACAGCCCGTCAGGAAGCCACCTCGGATGCAGGGGTGGGGCGGGCTTGAGGGCCAGACAGCCAAGAGGCCCCAGTAACCCAGAGCCCCTGAGGGGTTGTACATGCCAGGGAGGGGGCAGGGTAGGACGGTGGGCCTTCATTGTCCCCTGAGCACCACCTCCCTCAGCCTGGATGCCCAGCCCCGTGATCCACGGCAGCGCCATCGACACCACCTGTGTGCACTGGGCCCTGAGCTGTGGGCGTCGAGCTGTCTGTCGCTACTACAATAATGACCTGCTCCGAAACCGGTGAGACCTGGTTTGATGGCTTGTGGGAAGGGTGCTGGAAATACTCTCAGAGTCCCAGGCAGGATACCAGCAGGGAGGGGAGGTTTCATTTAAGTCTACCTGCTAGGTGACAGGTGTCATTATATATTCAGTGCTGAGCTCACCAGTCCTTCAAGCTAAACACTGCCCCCCTCCTTTTATAGATGAGGAAAGTGACAGTTAAAGCAAGTAGCCCAAGGTCACACAGCTAATAACTTGCAGAGCTGGGCCTTGACCACAGAGTCTATGCAGGAACTTGGGGAGAAACAGAGGAGCAGCCATGCTGCGAGAGGGACTTGGGGTGAAGGGCTGGGGAGAAAGCCCTGTCTAGGACACAGGAGGCCTGGGTTTCAGGCCCAGCTCTGTCTCCCTCATCATGGGACTTATCTTGTCTGGGGCTCAGTCTTCCCATCTGTACAAAGGGGAACTCAAAGGAACCTGAAGGCACAGAGGCGGCTGGCCTGGGATGGATGTGGAGAGGACTTGCTAGCAGGGCTGGGGACAGGGAGCTGGTCACTTTCAGCTCTGAGGAGGTGAGGAGGGCACAGTTTCTGTGGGCTGGGACTGTCCACAGGGGGCTTCCTAGAAAAGGAAAAGTCAAACAAGGGCTTTGATAGTTAAACAGGGGAGAGGGAATCCGTTTGTTCTTGTGGCAGGTGGCGCAATATAAAATTGCACTTGTCAGGCCCCCTGAGCCCTTGGGCTCGGAGAGAGGCAGGGCCAGGCCAGGCCACAGAGCAGAGTCCAGGACAGGGCGATGAAGATGGCCAGGCCTCTGCTCCCACCCAGGGCTCCTCTGCAGAGCCTCTCCCCCTCCTCCAGGGAAGAGCCACAGCAGAGGTCAATGTCTCCCTGAGGCCTCAGTATCTCTGATTTCACAATGAGTGATGACTGCTGACGTCCATGCCCTGGCCTGGCAGCTCTTGAGTTCAAGGGTCCCCATTCTTTCCCCAGGTTCATCGGCCTCCAGTTCTTCTTCAAAACAGGTTCTGTGATCTGCTTCGCCTTAGTTTTGGCTGTCCTGAGGCAGCAGGACAAAGAGGCAAGGACCAAAGAGAGCAGATCCAGCCCTGCCGTAGAGCAGCAATTGCTAGTGTCGGGGCCAGGGAAGAAGCCAGAGGATTCCCGAGTGTGAGCTGTCTTGGGGCCCCACCTGGCCAAGAGTAGCAGCCACAGCAGTACCTCCTCTGAGTCCTTTGCCCAAGATTGGGTGTCAAGAGCCCTGTGTTCCATTCTGGCTCCTCCACTAAATTGCTGTGTGACTTCAGGCAAGACATTGATCCTCTCTCAGCCTTTGCTTGCTAGTCTGAACCAAAGAGTTGTTTGGGCATTTGCTGTGTTGGCCATTTCTGGAGCAAGAGGGTCTTCTTCCTCCTTCCCCCAGCCAGCCAGCTGTCCTGGGGCCAGGCTTTCCTGGGTGGAAAGAAGTATACCTTTCCCTGGGGCCCTAGGATAGCAAAGTGAGCCATAGTGGGCCAGGCTGCCCTCCATGCTGGGCCCCAGCCCAGGTCTGCACTCGCCTGGATCACCTTCTTTGAGCCTTAGCCATCTCCTGTCAGGTAGGAATGAACTTGCCAGCCTTCAGGCTCGTTCAGCTATGACCATCTGTGCGGTCAGGGTACACTCAGCTCTCCTCCCCAACTCCAGCAGCCTTTAAGAAGTGTCCCTTTGGCGCCCCCTGGAGGCAGAGCACTGAGCTGGACCCTGGGTAGACTCCCACAGGGAGGACGGAGCTGGCCTCAGGAGTGGGACACCCAGACTTGGCAGGGCCTTCAAGAGGCCTGTGTGGGGGCCCCAGGAATCCTTAGCTGAAGCGGGGAGACTCACTCTCCATCTCAGGAAATTCTAGCCCTTGCCCTCAGGGAGCCACGGTTGAGGGTGAGGCCCAACACCTGCCTTAGGGCCCTGGGTGGGCAAGTCTGGGCCCTGGGGTAGGGAGGGAGACTCAGGCCCACACTTGGGTATTTTCTAATTTCAGACAAACACACACTCAGCGCGCACTCACTGATTCCTACACATTGCCAAGATTTCACACATGTGACCAGGGGCCACCAAAGTCCCTGTGACCTTTGTGACTAGGATCCTAATTTCTCTATTTTCTCCTGGGTGCCTGGGTCTGTGTCACCTGGGGCAGTGTGGATAATGTTTAGTTCTGTGACACTGTTTTTTGGGGGTGGCACCTGGTTCTCCGATGCCTGGGCTGGTGTCAGGCCCAGGACTGTAGTGCTGGGAGCAGTAAAGCTCAGCTCTGTGTAATGAGTGATGCTATGGCTTGCTCGTGTCTTATGATCCAATCCTTTTCTACATCAGCCCTTGTTTTGTTTTATGGCTAGTCTTATCTGGCCTGGTTATTTCCTTGCGGGGAGGAGAGGGTTTGCTAATCTGCTCCCAGCCCAACCTATTACCACCCCACCTCGCTGGGACCTACTGCTCGGGAGGCAGCAGACAGGGAGCCACCAGCAGTGGCTTCCTGGCCCTGTGCTGGGGGTGGGGGGAAGCTGGGGGCACATGTGGCCCTTGCCTTCTGAGCAGCTCCCAGTGCCAGGGCTTTGAGACTTTCCCACATGATAAAAGAAAAGGGAGGTACAGAAGTTCCAATTCCCTTTTTATTTTGCTGGTTGGTATCTGTAAATGTTTAATAAATATCTGAGCATGTATCTATCAACGCCAAGAATTTCAAAGTCTCCTTCAACAATATGAGGCTTTTAGGATGTTTATATTCCTTCATCCCTCTTGTTTCCCAGGTTTTGCAGGGAAAAAAAGTCTGGAATTATAGATACAGCTTATTATTAAATTTGTTCTTGCATAATGTCTCTTCTATTACAAAAATTCTTTCTTCATAAACTGCATTAGAGGTTTGCAACAACCACATCATTTCCATTAACTTAGATTTAGGTTTTACTGGATTCATTGCTCACCATTATTGCTTGTATATTACATCTTTTCCAATCTTTATATTCTGGTCTAATTTTTGTTTGAGTGTCTTCGTCTACTAATGGTTTCAAAAATGGAATAAGGTCATGAGGATTTCTGAATCCTCACCTGTCCAAATTGTCATTCACATTTTATAGAAGAGGAAACTGGCTCAGAAAGCACAAGTGACTTCCCCAAGATCACACAGAAAATAAATGATGGAGCCAAGGTTGGATGTGTAGACCTTGTGGGAACTGAAGGTTTTATAATTTGAGGAGCCCTCTTTAAGAAAAATATACAAAATTATGAATATAAAATTAGGTACAAGGTACCTATATTTACCTATAATGAGAAAAGAAATCAAAACAGATACATCACACAATCCCCCCAAAATGCGTAATACTTTTATTAACTGCCCTGCTTAACCTCTGAGACACATTTTCTCCCCCTGATGATTAGAAGAATTTTCCACAGACTAGCTTCTGGCTCTGTACATTTCAAACCTGGTTTCTCCTGTTTCTTGTCTACTGCCCATATACTTCCTGGGCTGGGTGCCATGACACACATTCATATCACGATATGACCTCTGCATATGGCAACTTAATATCACCATGCCAAGTGAGCTGGGCAGTGGGTAGAATTCCTAGAAGCTATTCTCTACACAGAGATTACTAGCAATGATTTATCTATACACAGAGAACCACATAAATATTAATATATCCTCTGTTTCAGAAAACCACATAAACATATCCCAGTGAACCCAACTCAAATCAGTCCCCCACTCAGCTTCCCCTTGGTCAGATCCCAGAAGTGCCCATGGCCACTCCAATTATCCCACATAAAGGAAAATTGAAACACAAGGGAAGTTGGAGTGGGAAGAAAATAGTAATTTTGATTGTGGTTAAAGTATCTTACCTTTGCAAATTTTATAAAAATATGACAACGTGAACACATCGCTGAGGCCCTCCCTGGATCTGGGGAGAGTCCTGGATGCTCAAGCTGCATTCACATCACGGTGAGTCCGCCTCTTGGTTGAGCCAAGATCTGAAGGAAAAGACGAGGTCCTTGTGCCTAAAGTCTTCCAAACTGGACATGGTGAGGAGACTCAGGAGTTACCCAAGAGAGAAATGGGTCAAGAGCCAAGGGGTGGAGCAAGTCAGGGCCAGAGGGGTTTTCCAGGCCCTGTGGGGGTCCCAGGGAAGTCCTCTCCCCTAATATAGCCTCTGGTCAATGAAGAGCCACAAGCATTTGCATCTGCAAGCTTACTTTCTTACACTGTACCAGGAAGCTGGGAGGAGAAGACATTAAGTCTCCCTGCTAGATTGTGCTGGTGTAAAGTCAGCAGAGGACAGGACTCAGACCAGAACTGACATCCTGATGCCTAGGTTTCTTTTCTTGTAGACTCTGGGAAGGTCTGGGATGCTAGATGCTGGGAAGTTCTAGGGTAGGCAGATGACCCATCAGGAGCTGGCATCCAGGGGTCATGACTGACATGCAGATAAGTGAAAGAGAACTCAGCGACATCCTCACCATTGCCTGGAGGTGTTGAATTCTTTCCCCTTCACATACCTTTGCTTATGCTGTTCCCTCTGACCTGGGTTATCTTCTTCATCCCCATCGCACAGCTTGTCTCTCCATCCCCACTTCATAAAGTCCTACCCAATCTTCCAGGCCCAGCTCAAAGGCCACCAACTCCAGGAAGGCAACATGGTATAGGCAATGGGGGGCAAGTGAAAACCACCTCTGGGGATCCAATCAAAGGCATAGACTCTCCACTAAATATAAAACAAAACACACACACAGAGACATATACACAATTGTGCATATGATTTCAGAGGTTGAAGACCATATGATGCCTGGGTGTAGACCTCCTAAGCATCCCAGGTCCCCAGTCAAAAGCCCTTAATGGAGTGAAAAGATTATAGAGTTGTGGAGAGAGTCAGACTTGGGATCAAATCTTGACTCTGCCACTTATTACAGTGTGACGATGAACAAATGATTTAACCTCTCTGCACCTCAGTTTGCTCACCTGCAAGTGAGGTTGAGCATGCCTAGCTCCTATCTCCCAGAAGCTGTGAGGACCGGGTAAGATCATGTACATGCTCACAGGCACCACACCTGATGATCAGGATTTGTAAGCTCCCTTCCCCTTCTGTCCCTGAAAAAATTTCATAAACACATAGAGCATCAGAGTCGGAGGGGGAAGTGACAACAGAGGGAGGAACACACCTCCTTTGCCCTACCCTGGCCACAGCTCCGTTGTCCCCAATCTCTCCTCCACTGTCAGCCAGGGCTCAGCCAGCCCAGTCTTATCTCTCCCCACAGCCAGCTTGGGACAGCTTTTCTCAACCAGATTTACATTTTTATTGATTTTCTTTCTCCCTCCTAGAGCAGTCCCTCCCTTCTACTTCCCCTTTGGCTATCAAATGGGCTTACCCTGGGAAACAGCAGTTCTAGGGCTGGCCAAGAAGTGATGGTTCAAGGTTGGATTCATTCACCCTTCCTTCCTTCATTCATTCAGCCACTCACATGAGCAACACATATCCTACATGTCTGCTCTGTGCCCTTCTCCTGGCATTGCTGGGGACACAACCATGTGTCAGATACAGTCTCTACTCAGGAAACTCTCAGTGTAAACAGACGACAAACAGTAACAAAAGCATGAGTAGTCATACAGGAGAGGGAAGAAGAGGAAGCCAAGGACTCTTCCTGGGGCCAATAGGGAAGGCTTCCAAGAGGTTATATCAGACCTGGTGTTAAGGATTAGGCAGGACTTCCTCAAGTGGACAAGGTGGAAATGGGCAGGAAAAACAACAGGACGAGCAAAGATAGAGAGAGGTGTGTCTGAGATACAGTGACAAGAGCAATGTGGCTGGAGGGCACTGCATGTGCAGGGCAATCAGGAGACAGAAGAGAGCAGAGGCTGGAAAGACCAGCAGGGACCAAGCATGGAGACCCAGCTGAAGGTGTGGATGCTTCCCTGAGGGCAAGGAGGAACCCCTGAAGCACTGATTGATGGATTATTCCATTGGCCAGTTATTTTAAGCAGGGAGTGACATGACAAGATTTGCATTTTGGAAAGGCCGCTGGTTGCACCATGGGGGCTTTGAGTGGAAAAGAGAAGCTGAAGGCCAAGAGCTCAGGCAGGGGGCAGGTGCAACAATCAAGAGAAGTAGGAGGACTACAGCCAGGTCAGGAGAGGCATCCTAGAAGTGGGATATCTAAGGTCAGTCTTGAAAGACGAGTGGGAATGCACCAGGAAGAGAAGTTGGGAAGGGTGTCAAGGCAGAAGAAACTGCACAGACAAAGTAGACAGAAACCTCCTGGCAGGCTTGGGGTATTTCCACTAGTTTAGCAGGGCTGCAGCATGGCCTAAGAGAGAAGGCATGGAGAGGGTGAGGCTGAAGAAAGTGGGTTGATGCTCTCAATGCCACTCAGTGTTGTCCACCTCCCGAACCTAGCCCCAGGTGAGAGAGGAGAGGGAGCCCTCACCTCTGTACAGAGGTGGCTGTACAGGTCTGAGCCCTAGGTCAGGGGTGCTCCTTAGTCCAAACACACCTTTTAGTGTTCACTACATTTCACATTTTACACAGTCCCTTTACACCCCGTCCTCATGGTTTCCTGGTGAAGAAGGCAGGAAAGGGATTATTATTGCCATGTAGTAGGTAAAGAAACTGAGGCCCAGAAAAGTGCAGAAACTTGCCCAAGGTCACTCAAGAGCCCAGGTATCCCCCTCCTAAGGCTCCCATGTTGTTGCTAATAAACCTACTTGTCCCTGAATCACATATGTACAATAGATGTAGTAAGTGCTAACTAATGTGGTTGGGATGAAAAAAGGGGGGAGGAGAGAAAACACATCAGAGAAAGAGGTTTCCTTTTTATGTCCCCATTTCCTCAGCCTTCATCCTGCAGCTGGGGACATTCCAGCTGGGAAAACAGAACCCAGGTCCCTCTGCTTTGGAATCCAACAGACAGGAAGGTCAATCCAAGCTCTGCCACTTACCAGGCATGGGAAGTCACTGCACTCATCGGAGCATTGGTTTTCTCATCTGTAAAAGGGATAAATAAGCTTCACCTATCAGAATCGTTGAGAGGATTTAATGTGATAAAGTAGCAATATAGTAATCTACTACTGAGTAATAAATTTTCTGGCTGACACAGTGGCTCAAACCTGTGATCCCAGCCATTTGGGAGACTGAGGCAGGAGGATCACTTGAGCCCCAGAGTTTGAGACCAGCCTGGGCAACACAGTGAGGCCCCATCTCTCCAAAAAATAATAATAATAATAAAAAGAAACTTAGCCAAGGGTGGTAGCACCCACACCTGTAGTTTCAGCTACTTGTAAGGTTTAGGTGGGAGGATTGCTTGAGCCCAGGAAGTCAAGATTGCAGTGAGCAGTGATTGTACTACTGCATTCCAGTCTGGGTAACAGAGCAAGGCCCTGCCTCAAAAAACCCCCCAAAACCAAAAAATAAATTTTCCCAAAGTTTAGCAACTTAAAACAACAAATATTTATTATCTCATAGAATTTCTGAGGGTCAAGAACCCACAGATGGGCTAACTGGAAGGTGCTGGATCTTCATGAGGATTTCTGATGAAGTTGTAGTCAAGCATCAGCCAGGGCTGCAGTCATCAGAAGGCTCAACTGGGGTGAGAGGATCCACTTCCAAGTTCATTCGATGATTGCTGTTGGGCCTCTGTACCTTGTTGGCAGTTGACCAAAAGCTTTGATTCCATGTGCCTTTTATGATCTAATATTGGAAGAAACATACCGTAACTTTTGCCATATTCTCTTGGTCATGTAGACAAACCCTGGTATAATGTGGGAGGGGAATACAAAAAGGCATGAATACCAGGGGGTATGGATCATTGGGAGCCATTTGGAAGCTGGCTACAACAAGCACTCAGACCAGTGCCTGACACACAGTAGGTACTTATTCATTAGTCGCTGCTATAACTCTTGCAATGACCTATCACAGCCTGGTTGAGAAGATAAGATCTGGACATGATAAGGTGAGAAATCTTTGGCAAAGTGAAATGTAACTTGAATTAAACAATGTTCAATTACATTAGAAGAGGGTGTGCCGGACAAGGCCCTGGCAACCAGGGAAGACTTCCTGGCGGAGATGGAGAGGAGGTAGGAGGGCAATCCAGAGAGAAAACAGAAGATGAGTATGGCAGGTTGTATTGGTTGCCTTCCCATGGCAAATGCTCTCTTCTTCATTCTGGTAGCAAGGTGCTCAGCCACAGGGATGATCCAAGGCAGCAATGGAAATGCCTTCCCCTTTGCCAGAAAGTGGTCCAAGAGTAGACATGTGACCTCGTCTTAGTCAATGACATGTTTGGGGATAGTCTGCTGGGAAAGCTTCTCTCCTGGATAAGAGAATGATGTGAAGGGAGAATACCCTTTTTGCTACCATGCCCTTTCTCCCTGCTTGGGAGGACATGGTTCCTGATGGCACTCAGTCATCTTGCAATCACAGGGGTAGTCACCCTCGAGGCTCAGAATGGGAAATGCCTGGGTCATCAAAGACATTGTTGAATCAGCAGACCAATCCTCATTCCAACTTCTTCTGGCCTCATTAAAAAATAAAAAGTTTAAGCCACTCTAAAGCAGGTGACCTCTTCCTTGCATCCTAAATGATTCAGTGAGAAAAGTATCCTGGTTCCCTCTGGGACTATTTTCTTTTTCTGAGGAAGACAGAGGGAAGAGTGGAATGGGAAAGGGCCCAGGCTGGGAGGCAGGCGTCCTTGGTCTAACCCCAGCTCTGCCTCTGAGTTGCTGTGTGATCTTGAGCAAGTCCCTTCTCCCCTGGGCCTCCAATGATTACAGCTAATATTTATTGGCTGTTTACTGTGTGCCCAGTGCTCTTCTAAGAGCTTCCCTTGCATCATCTCATTCAATCTTCACAACACCTCTGTTATGTCAGTATCACTATTATCTTTATTTTAGGGATAAGGAGACTGAGGCCCAGAAACTTGAGGTCCAGGATCCTGACTATAAAGCCATATTGCCTAGCAGTAAAAGGAAGTATCCAGACAAGGTGACCTCTAAGGGCCTCTTAAGCTCAAATATTCTTTCATTTGCTGTCCCATTTCTAGCTACATGATCAACAAGCCAGCTTAGCCTAGAGAAAAAAGAAATAAGGGCTGTCTTTAGACATCTGAAAAGCTGTCACGTGAGCAGGAGATTAGACTTACTCGGGGTAGCTCAGAGGACATGAACTGGACCAGTGTGGGAGCATGATAGGGAGATAGAGTGCAACTTATATAAGGGAGAATTTTCTAGCACAATTTGGCAGGCGGCAGAGCTATGCCCAGATGTGATGACTCCCACGTCATAAAGGTTATGCAAGCTTGTGTTTGATAACGCAGTATTACTGACAAAGGTTTGAGCAGGTATGGGACTGAATGGCATAAGACTTGTGGTAGAAATTAAATGGGATAACATATGAGATTACTCCTAACATCATGACCAGTGCAAATAGACAGGATCAATAAATTATTGGGTTCTTTTTTTCCTTTTTAACACTGAGATTCTTGGATTTTAAAATTGTCTAATATGGAGTTTTGGCTCTCTGGCTCTAATATTTTACCATTCTATAATTTCTGTAATTCTTCCCTGCTAAGGTGCTATGATTTTAATACTAGAACTTTCCATAATTGTGTGGCTCTAGAAGCTGAGAAGCCTCTTATTTTATAATTTAATAGTCTTTAGCTTTAACAATTCAAGTCAATAAAGTGTCTCTCATCAACTCCAGAAATACAAGGGAGTTGCTCCAAATGCTGTGGTTCAGTGGCCTGGACACACATTGGGCTTTTCCTTCTGCCCACCCTGTCATTCCACCAACATCCTCCCACCCCCAGCCTCAGGCTCTCCATTCCAACCAACCCTCCTCCCCAATTCCGATCCCATCCACACTCTGCTGTCTCCCAGCCTACCAAAGAGGTACATTACTCTCTACCTGCTGGCTACTGTTTATTAAACAAGAGTCTTCACTGTGGCCAGGCTTATACTTATTTCAAAGGTGATATAAAAAATGGGAAGACATGGTTATTGTTCTCATGTGGCCTAAGGTCTAGAGACACATGTCTCTTGCTTTCCTGTTAACCCAACTCAAATGTACCTCTTCCAGGAAGCCTTCCATGGTTGACACTAAATCTCTAACACCAACAATCTCAATTTGAGTGTGAAATGTGAAGATCTGAGTTCCTTGGTTGGTTATTGTACAGACCTGTAACTTGTCTGTCTATCCTGTCTCCCTGATTATATGTGAGATTTCCCCCTGAATCAAGAGTTTGTCTCCTCAACCAGACTGGGAATTTTACAGAGGAAGACAATGTCTTCTCCATCAGACTGGAGGCTCCATGTAGACATGGGCCAATGTTCCCTTGTATCATACTTGAGTAGAGTTAGAGGCACAGTGATGTTCCTCTATCAGATCAACAAATTCCCAAAGGCAAGTATATGTCTCTGCCATTGGACTAACGATTTCACAAAAGCAGAAGCCACACCTCCCCTTTAAGATATGGAAGTCCTCAGCTGGGCGCAGTGGCTCAGGCCTGTAATCCCAGCGCTTTGGGAGGCTGAGGCAGGCAGATCACCTGATGTAAGGAGATCGAGATCATCGTGGCCAACATGTTGAAACCCCGTCTCTACTAAAATACAAAAAATTAGCCAGGCGTGGTGGTGCGTGCCTGTAGTCCCAGCTACTTGGGAGGCTGAGGCAGGGGAATCACTTAAACACAGGATGCAGAGGTTGCAGTGAGCCAAGATCGCGCCACTGCACTCCAGTCCGGCGACAGAGCAAGACTCAGTCTTAAAAAAAAAAAAAAAAAAAAAAAGATATGGAAAAAAAAAGATATGGAAGTCCCTTAAGGACTGTGCCTCCACCCTGGGGACCCTCTCCCTGACAGCAAGGAGTCTAGGGCTCTGCCTTCTCTGTGTATTCCCTCCCTCTATCCCAGCCCAGGACTCTGGTCATAGGAAAAAATATTTTTCTTAAAGCAGATAGACAAATATATGGAAAAGGAAAGGTTCAGGAGGCAGAGTAGAAACTCGAGCCTCTCCCAACATGTCCAGACCCTCTCTTGGTCTCTCCTAGATCCTATTCTAAGAGCTGCTGTCCCTTGGCCAGGAGGGGGCCTCTCCCAGCTCCTCCCAGCAACTCGGAGCAATAAGTGAAGATGTCAGCACCTTGGACAGCGCCCAACCCATTACAGGACGCGGAGCCAGCGGAAGCCAAGCTCTCCACCTCCCTTAGCCTCTGGGTGATGGATTTCCTCTCTTCTCAATTTGATTAAAGCCCAGTAGATAACCAGAGCGCCTTGTTCCTTTCTCTTCTCCCTTCCTGATGAACATAATTAACTCCGTCAGGCTGGGAATGCTTGCTCTTAAATACTGCCTGCCCAGCTCCCACCCAGGCATGAATCAGTAAAATAGAACACTTGGAAGATTCACACGTTTCTTCCTAGGGAATGAAAGTGGGAGAGGAAGCTGTCTCTGAGATATACAGAGGCTGTGAATGAAGGCTGACATGTGGTGGTTGGGTAGAGAAACCCCTAAACTGGAAGTCAGGAAGTTTACTTTAGTCCTAGCTTTGCCACTAATCCAGATATGATCTAGGCAGGTCATGTGCCCTTTCTTTCTGAGCCTGTTTTTCCATTTGCAAGATGTATATTGGTCTAGATAATATCAGATGCTGAGTTCAGTGCTAATGTGCTATGGTTGAAAATCTTTAAACAGAGAGGGAAAGGAACTTGCCCAAGGTCACACAGCAAGCTTATGGCAAAGCAGACTTTAATTCATGGCTCCTGGCTTCTACCCCAGTGCTATTTCCACAAACTTACCCCTTCATTCATATCACAGACTTTCTTGCCTGAAGATGGAGGCTAAGGAAGTTAAAAACAGATAGGATTGCATTAATTGGTGTTAGCATTTAGAAAATAACATTTAACATATGTGTAAATGCTAATCTCTCTGAAGAGAACAGAAAGCATGGCATAAATAATTAAGATTATGGGGAAAGGATCACCTGATAGAGACAGAAAATCAACCCCACACTCAGAGAATCCCAGAAAGGTTTTGTGACTTGCCCAAGGCCATCTAGTAAGGCAACTCTTGAATCTTTTAAAAAGAAAGAGTGAACTCTTACCTTAAGTGTTGGTGGTGCCCCTGTCGGAGAAGGAGAGAGAGAGAGACAATATGAATTAGCAAGTATGTATTAAGTTGCTGACGTGTGCCCAGCTCTCTACTAGGCACTTGAGGAGGGATATAAAACATAAGGTATGAATGCTGCTCTCTAGGCACCAGGTCTTTGATGTTTTGCTTCTTCTACTTGGAATGACTTCCAATGTACCTGTGTATATCCAAATACTGCTGTTTTATCAAGGCCCAAACCAAATGTCTCTCCTGACAGGAAGGCATCCATAACCTCATCCAGAAGCCACTCCCTCCTCCAAATCTCCAATGCATTTTCTGTGTTCCTGTTTTATAGTATTTCACACCGTTTGCCTTATCTGCTCCTATTCCTTCCCCTAAGAAAAGGAAGGAGAGAGAGAGAGAGAGCACAAAATACTCAACACAAGATTTGACATACCATAGAATCTCAGTAAAAAATGGATAGATGGGCTGGGCATGATGGCTCATGTCTGTAATCACAGCACTGTGGGAGGCCGTGGTGGGTGGATCACCTGAGTTCAGGAGCTCAAGACCAGCCTGGCCAACATGATGAAACCCCGTCTCTACTAAAAATACAAAAAATTAGCCAGACGTGATGGCACATGCCTGTAATCCCAGCTACTTGAGAGGCTGAAGCAGGAGAATCACTCAAACCTGGGAGGTGGAGGTTGCAGTGAGCCAAGATCACACCATTGCACTCCAACTTGGGCAACAAGAGCGAAACTCTGTCTCAAAAAAAAAAAAAAAATGGATGGAAGGATGGATGGATGATGAATACAGATGTATGGGTGACTGGGAAAGAGGGTAGATGAAGGCATGAATATGTGGATGAGTGAGTGGGTGGGCGAATGGATGGATAAACAGATAGGGAAGTATATCATTGGTTAGGAAGGTAGAAAATTGATTAAATGTAAGTGGGTTTGTGGATGAGTAGGTAGTTGGAGAGGTGAATGAGTGCTCTATGGACAGATGAATGGAAAGGAATGTGGGTGGTTAGCTGGGCTGGTAAATGTATGGGTTAATATATAGTGGTTAATGCATGTTCTCACTTATAAGTGGGAGCTGGACAATGAGAACACATGGACACAGGGAGGGGAACAACACACACTGGGACCTGTCAGGGGGTGGGGGAACAGAGAACATCAAGATAAATAGCTAATGCATATGGTGTATAATACCTAGGTGATGGGTTGATAGGTTGCAACAAACCACCATGGCACATATTTGTCTGTGTAACAAATCTGCATTATATATGGTTGGGTAGTTGCATATGGGTGGGCAAACAAGTAGATGAATAATTGCATCATTGTATGGAAAGATAAATGTCAGAGTAGGTGGAGAGAAGAATTATTTAGTGGGGGGACATGGAGATGTTCCTAATATCTTTTTCATAGAAACTTTCCATTGCTGGTGCCAGAAAAATTACTATGGGGTTTAGTTGACTCTGTGCTTAAGCTGAGTCAAAGTGTGTTAACACCCCCAAAGATCTCAGGTGATTTCAGGCTGTATCAATGGAAATCTAATAACAAGACCAAAAAGAGTGATGATTCTATCCTGCCCTGAGCTGTTCACACTTCCCTGGGGTCTGTGCTCCACTCTGTACCTCTGAAGAGATGATGCCATCCATAGCTTGTGCATTGCTATGGTGTCCCCCAAAGTTCATGTGTTAGAAACTGAATTTCCAATGCAACAGTGTTGAGAGGTGGGGCCTTTAAGAGGGGATTAGTTCATAAGGGCTCTGCCCTCATGAATGAATGAATATGGCTATCATGGAAATAGGTTTATTATTGAAAGAGTGGGTTTGTTATAAAAGCAACCCCTCTCTTGCTCACTCTCTCTCTCTCTTTCTCTCTCTATCTCTCTTTCTGTCTCACACACACACCCTCTCTTGCCCTTCTCCCCTTTGCTGTGGGATCACACTGCACAAAGGCCCTCACCAGATGTGGGCCCCTCAATCTTAGACTTCCAGAAGTGTAAGAAATAAATCTCTGTTCCTTATAAATTGCCTAGTCTCAGGTATTCTGTTATAGTAGCACAAAAATGAACTAAGATGTGCACATAGGAGATACAGTAGGAAGTAATCTATTAAGTCCACCAAATGAAGAACCACTGAAAGAACCATAAGTGTTCAGCCTGGAGAACAGCCAACTCGGTAGTGGCAACCACTGTGTCCCAGGATCTGGCTGGCTGTCCTGGGGCATGCCCTATGTCCTCAGCAGCAGAGCTGGGTCCTAGGGGAAGTCACCAGGCTGCTGTCCCAGCCCCATGTGAAAAAGGACTTTCTCCTAGGTGGAGTCATCACATAAGGGAAGGACTATCCCAGGGCAGTGAGCTCCCTATTCCTGAGGGTGTACAAATAGGGCCTGGGCATCCTCTATCAAGGAAGCTCCAAAGTAGAGGCATGCTTGGTGTGGAAAGTAAATTAAGGTCTCTTCGCAGCCTAAAGTTAAATAATTTGTTCATCTCTTCACTTTTCAATGAATTAGATTTATCTATGTCCTGTGCTCAGAACTGGAATGCAGGGAAGTTCTGTTCATAGCTAAGGGTTAGGGGGATCTAAGAGACAGACAGGGTCTTAGGGACCCTTGTCTTTCTCTATATGTAGGACAGGGGCTTGAGGAATGAGGAGTTGCTGAAAATGTCCTTTCATAGACACAAATGACTAGGGAGGAGGAGGAGGATCAGAGCCACTGAGAGCCAATCCATGACCCAGATTCTCTGTAATTAATGAGTCTACGTCACTGATGTGTTGGCTTCTGATCAACACCATCTCCCCAAACCCGGCCCCACTCTCTGGTATGAGAAGATTAAATCAATTAGGAGGAGGAGGAGGAGATCTGGTTGGCGCTGGTTGGGGACAGCAGATAGTTCACTTACATAACTGGGGATTGAGGTTTGGACTTGGTCCTTGAGTAGTGGGGGTGGATTCCAGACCCCAGGCCTTTAGAGAGGGACTCTGGGACTTGAGAGTGAATGCAGAAGGAGAAAGGGAGTCCAGGAGAGGAGGGAGTCATGAGCCCAGGCTCATCTTGTATCTTCCTGCTAAGGAACTAATCCCTGTCCTCTGGGCTAGAAGAGGTCCAAAATGGAAAAATCACTGTCCAGTCCCCAAATGAGGGTGTCCCAGCCACCAGTATCATTGAACAATGCAAATCTAGCCAAGCCTCCTTTCCTTAGCCTGGCATTCAAGGCCCTGCAACCTCTCTAGCTGCATCATCTGCCTCCAAAAAGTGGGTATGAGTGAAAAGGAACTACCAGGTCCTGGCATTCCTTCCGGGCTAGGTACCAGCTAGGCCCTGGAGGTACAGAAGGAAACAAACCCGGTTCTTTCAGGTATACTGCTTCGTGGGGGGACACATACTCACAACACTCCGTGCCAAGTGACAAACAGAGTTCTGCATGGGCAGGCATGGAGACAGCACAAGGGAGGGAGGCCTCCCAAGGCCAGTTTCAACAGGCTTCCCAGAGGAGGCAGTGCTTGCACTCCCTGAGCCTTAAAGGAAGGATGGATTTGTGGGAGTTCATCAGGCTGCCCTGGTTGAGAGAGGGCTTTGGGTGGAGGGAAAAGCATGTACAATGGCTTGGTGGGTGAGGTGGGTTGGCATGCATTCAGAGAACTACGAACGAGTCTTGTGGTTGGAGCCTGGAGAGTGAGGTAGGGATGGGAGGTGCAAGGTAAGAGAGGTAGGAGGGCTTAGGTCTCACTTTTGATGGGATGCCAAGAAAGGATTGAGGCAATAATCCCAGACTGTCAATCCACACTTTCTGAGCACTAACGGCAAGCCATGCCCCATGCTGGAACTGGGGTGGGGTGAGAGTGGGGGAGCAGAGATGAACCTGACTCAGGCCCTGCACCCATGGGAGCTCTAGAAGCACACATGAATATTCCCTCTTTTTAAGCTCGTTAGTACCAACTTGGCTCCAAGTGGGATTCAGGCCAGACATGGTATTTCTGGGGCTCCAATTGTTGGCTAGATCTGCCTACAGCCCCTTGCCTAAGGACTGAGATATCCAGACAAGCAGTCTTGCTGCTCAGAGGGGAGCTGACCTCTGGGGGCCTGCCCCTGACAACTACCTGACCTCCCAAGGATACGTCTTATGGTAATCCAGGGCCTTGGGAAGAAATGCAGACAGATGAGAGGATAAACTGGAACCCTGAGGATAGGGGCAAGACATGGATTGAGAGGTGTTTAGGGGGTGAACTGACCAGGACTGCTGGATGCTGGGGAAGAGAGATCAAGGGAAGTGTCCTGGATGGCACTCAGGATTTCTATCTTGGGCAGTGCCATCCGTGGTAAACATGGGAGAATGTGAGATCAGAAAGGGAAAATGAGTTGGAACTGTTTCAGGCTGCTGGAATCAGGATTCATTGGGTAGAGGCCCAAGAGCCTTAGGAATTCAAATGTACCACACATAAGCTGCCTTCAGGAGCTTTCTTCATCACATGGAAATCTTTGTACTCTCTCCCTTCCCTCCCTTACTCTTTCCATCAGCAGCCCTCTCTAAGAACCTCCCCTTTCCGTGCTGGCTCTGGGCCAAGCAGGGAGGCAAAGATCTGAGAGTCACCCTGTTCTTTGTCCAGAAGGACAGCACAGAGAATGGCACTTCTACCATATCCCCCAGGACCTTTCTGCATGAAAACTTGGGCTGGAAATTGAAGCTAACGCTTCAAATTTACTTTATTATTGGAAAGATTTAAGAACTAACTTTGGCTGGGCATGGTGATTCATGCCTGTAATCCCAACACTTTGGGAGGCCAAGGCAGGAGGATTGCTTGAGCCCAGGAATTTGAGACCAACCTAGGCAACACAGTGAGACCCTGTCTCTACAAAATAAATAAATAAATAAATAAATATATATAGATAAGAACTAACCTTTGTGGTGCAAGCAACAGAAACTGACTGAGGTTAAACAAAGCAGAAAAAACCTATTGAAAGTTCCACCAGGCAGCTCAGAATGGATGAGAAAGCTGGAGATGAATGAACAGCTGAATTCATAGTCAAGTTCATAACATCGGAACAGCTGATTCCAGTGTCTCCAACAGCATGATCTTGGCCTCTGAACATCACCCCACTGCATACCCAGACTGTGGCATGACACAAACACAATGAGTTCTAATGAAGCTTCCTCCCAGCCTCACCAATTCTCACACCAAATCCTGAACCAGGCACCCTGTCGGCCAAATTGCCAGGGAGTGGAAGGGAAAGAGTATCTGGCCACGTTTGACTTTGAAGGGGGAGATGGGATCCTAGTTTCCATAAAGGCTCACCTAGTGGGATATTTACTCAAAATACAAAGCAACAGATTAGTCCTATGCAGCAAAAAAAAAAAATGTGACAAATGTCCACTGCACCTTTATTGAGGACCCACTAAGTGCTGAATGTGTTGCCAGGAGGTTTTTTTGTTCGTTTTTGATTTTGTTTTTTTTTACAGTAAAGGCCCAGCACTGTATAGGGCTCCAAGGCATCTGCCTTGCCTGCAGTTTTTATATACACAATTTATTTTTATTTTTATTTATTTATTTATTTTTTACTTTTAAGTTCAGGGCTACATGTGCAGGTTTGTTACATAGGTAAACTTGTGTCATGGGGGTTTGTTGTACAGATTACTTCATCACCCAGGTATTGAGCCTAGTACCCATTAGTTATTTTTCCTGATCCTCTCCCTCCTCCCACCCTCCATCCTCCAATAGGCTGCAGTGTGTGTTGTTCCCCTTTATGCATTCATGCGTTCTCATCATTTAGCTCCCACTTATAAGTGAGAACGTGTGGTAGTTGGTTTTCTGTTCCTATGTTAGTTCGTTAAGAATGATGGCCTCCAGTTCCATCCATGTTCCCGCAAAGGACATCTTGTTCTTTTTTATGGCTGCATAGTATATATACAAATTTTCAAGGCAACTCTATCAGCTAGATGATGCTTGGTCCCATTCTACAGCTGAGGAAACTGAGGTTAATAAAGGTGAAATAAATTTCCCAAAGTCACTCAGCTAGTAGGTGATGAAGCCAGGACTCAAAAACTGGTGGGTTTTGTTGTTGTTATTCATAAACACATTATGCTGCCTCCCAAATTGTAAATACAAAGCACTTGTGCACATTAAAAAAAAAGTATGGGGCACAAAAAAAAATTACTGGAAATAAATACTCCAATATCTTCACACAATGATTGATGGGATCATGAGTAATATATTTTTCTAGCTTTCTAATGTTTTTCTGTACTTTCCTGTAAAAAAAAAGAGCATACTTTACCTTAATAATCATAAATAAAAATAACGTAAGACTGTTTTTTTGTTTTTTTGTTTGTTTGTTTGTTTTGAGACAGGATCTCACTCTGCCACCCAAGCTGGAGTGAGTGGTGCAATCATGGCTCTCTTCAGCCTTAAACTCCTGGGCTCAAGTGATCCTCCCACCTCAGCCTCCCAAGTAGCTGGGACTACAGGCCCATGCCACCACACCCCAGCTAAAAAACAGTTTTTTGTTTGTTTGTTTGGGTTATTTTTTGCGACAGAGTCTCACATTGTCACCCAGGCTGGAGTGCAGTGGTGTGATCACGACCCACTGCAGCCTTGACCTCCCAGGCTCAAGTGACCCTCCTACCTCAGCCTCCCAAGTAGGTGGGACTACAGGAACATGCCACCATGCCCGGCTAATATATATACATATATATTTTTTGAAACAGAGTCTCGCTCTGTTGCCCAGGCTGGAGTGTAGTGGTGCAATCTTGGCTCACTGCAATCTCCGCCTCCCAGGGTTCAAGCAATTCTCCTACCTCAGCCTCCCAGGTAGCTGGGACTACAGGCACCTGCCGCTATGCCCGACTAGTTTTTTTTATTTTAGTAGAGACGGGGTTTCACCGTGTTGCCCAAGCTGGTTGCGAACTCCTGAGCTCAGGCAATCTGCCCACCTCAGCCTCCCAAAGTGCTGGGATTACAGGCATGAGCCACCGCGCCCGGCCTAATTTTTATTTATTTCCTGTGGAAATAAGGTCTTATTATGTTGCCCAGGCCCATCTTGAACTCCTGGGCTCAAGCAATCCTCCAGCCATGGCTTCCCAAAGTGCTAACGTTATAGGCGTGAGCCACTGTGCCCAGCTGTAAAACCGTTTTAAGGATTATAGCAGTGTTATAATAATTATGAAGAAAATATGCATAGAAAAAAGACTGGAAAGATGTCCGTCAAAAAAAGTCTCTAGATGGTGGGACTATGAGCATAATTATTTTTCTTTCAACTTCTGTTTTTCAAATTTTCACACCAAAAAAATAAAAAGTAAAATACATTTTATTTTAAAAACAAGCATAGGCCGGGCATGTTGATTCACACCTGTAATTTCAGCACTTTGGGAGGCCGAAGTGGGTGAGTTGCCTGAGTCCAGGAGTTCGAGACCAGTCTGACCAACGTGGTAAAACTCTGTCTCTGTACAAAATACAAAAATTAGCCAGATGTAGTAATGAACGCCTGTAATCCCAGCTACTCGGGAGGCTGAAGTGGGAAGATGGCTCGAGCCCAGGAGGCGGAGGTTACAGTGAGCTGAGATCTCGCCACTGCATTCCAGCCTGGGCGACAGAGCCAGAATCTTGTCTCGAGAAAAAAAAAAGAAAGAAAGAAAAAGAAAAATAAACAAGCATAAATAAGATATTACCCTAGTGATGGTACTGACGTGCCTTGGTCCTTTCAAGTTCTCATAGTCCTATCCTATCATGGTTGGAAGCATAGGTAGTTCTGTGTTTTCTGGGACAGCCTGGCAGTTCCTGCAGCATTCACTATCCGAGGTGGTGTGGCCAGCATGAGGGCACAGTGATCACGGTTATCTCCGGCTGACCACTCAGAACCAGGGTGGGAAGAGCCCAGTGTGCCCACGTCTTGTAACAATGTGTATGGTATCAAGCCCTTCTGCACTATGAGGACTTCAGCTCCAGTAGCTGGAATCCTCCTCTCTGCTGGTTTCATCCCTCATTTCCCAGGCTTCAAGGTTCACCTTCCTCTACAAATGGGGCAGGGCTGCTCAGTTGTGTGAATTGTGGGCCCCTCCCTGGTGTCTTCTGTATCTTTCTTGTCTGAGTGGCAAGCCCCCAGCCCTTTCTTCCCTGCACTGTCGTGACCTCCCCTGGCCTCCAGAGCCCGCTGCCTTGCTCGGCCTTTCTCACCCTTCCAAGTGCAAGGAGGATTCTTGGTGCCCCTCTAGAAAGTCAGGCCCCCTCTCTTCTCAGTTTTTTCCTGGGCAAAAAACTGAGGAGCTAGTAACCTCATAGGCCACCCAGCCCAGTGCTTTCTGTGTCTCTTTCTCCTCTCCCCAAACCTCTTCCCTTCCCTCTGCCCTCCCAGCTTCTTCACCAAGCTCCTCCCTCTCCTTTTCCTTCCCAGTACACTCCCTGCTGAGCCCCTAGAATCTCCAGGTTGAGGCCCACTTTGGCTCAGGTAGCTAAGCCGCTGCAGTAAGAGATGCAGTGGGTAAAGTAGAGGCAGCCGGGGAGGAGGAGGGCCCAGGCCAAGGCTGAGGTCTAGGAGGCTAAGCAGGGCAAGCAGCCAACCCTAACAGCCCAGACCAGAGCCACCTCAGCAGCTTCTGCTAAACTCTAGCGAGGTATCTATGCTTGGGTGGCAGCTCCAGGGCCAAAGAGGCTGGTGGCAGGAGTAGGGCATTCTGCTGAGCTCAGCACAGCCTCCAAAAACCTCTCTGGAGAAGGAGGAGGCCACAGAGTGACCATGGACTCGGGGATAGGTGAAAACACTTCCTCCTCCCTTGGGGAGGTGACTCAGATCCTGGAAAAGACTCCAGAGGACACCTGCTGGATGGAGGGCTCTCTCTCACCCTCTGTCTGTAGAGCCCTGGCTCTCATGCCTTCTGGGACAGGAAGCTCATTTCCCTCTCTGGCAGCCCACTCCACTCAAGCTGCTGAAATGCCTCTCTGAGCCACAGCCTGTGCTGGGCTCTGGGGAAGCAGGGATGAATGTGGTCCCTGCCCTCAGGAGCTCGCCATCTGGGGGCAGGCAGGGGGCAGGTGGCAGAAACTGACAACACACCCCCACAGGGAAGCAGAGGGAGCTGAAGGGGGCCCTAAGCTAGCCTTGCAGTGGGGTAGGCATCAGGAATGGCTTCCCAGAGCAGGTAGGGGACTGAAGAGGGCCTTGAATATACAGGTATGGTGGGTCTGTAGTTTCAATTATCCTCTAAGTGCTGGCAAATCCCAGCTGTGCACCCCCAGTCCTGACATGGCTCCTGAATTCTAGGCGTCAATATCCCACTGCCCAGTCAATGTCTCCACTTGGATGTCTTGGCATCCCTAACTCATCAGGACCAAGGCTAAGTTCACCCTCTCTGCCCACCTCACACCTGGTCTTCCCTCTGTCAGTTCTACCATCCACAGGCCAGAAACCCTGGGCCCATCCCTCCCCTTCACCCCGTATCCAGTCTGTCACCAGGCCCTGAGTATCTCAAACCCACCCACCACTCCCCACCTCCTCACCACCACCCAGCCCAAGCACCATTGCCTTTCACCTGTACTTCTCCAAGCGTCTCCTCATTTATCTTCTCATACTTGGCTCTTTCAATCATGTGGTGAGAGTGATCTTTACAAAATACAAATAAAATTATGTCACATTTCTACTTAAAAGCTTTCAATGGCTTCTCTTTGCCTTTGAAACAAAGGTTAAAATCTTCAAGGCCTGCAAGGCCCAGCATGGCCTGGCCTTCGCTGACAGCGCCAGTAGTATCTCAACAACCCCCTCCCTTGTCTCCTGACCTCCCGCCTCCAGCCCACCTGGCCTCATTGCCCACCTTAGAAACTTCTGTATGTGTTACTCACATTGTCTTTCCTGTGGGCACAAAAACCTGGGATGTCCTCTTTTTCTCTCCCAAATGACTCCCAGGACATCTGTTTATGTGCTCACTGACCCTGAACACCAGTCTCTAGCCCTTCTCTCCTGAAGGATCAGCTGCAGGACACAGTGGGGGGTTACAAAGTAACCGGCCTGTCTGGAGCTAAGGTCCCAGAACCTCCCAGTGTCCACAGAGGCGTGTCCCTGCCTGGCTCTCAGATGCCTTCCAGAGCTCCCACTCCCCTCCTGCTCTCTCTGTCTCCCTGTCTGGTGTTTGTTTGTTTGAGACAGAGTCTTGTTCTGTCGCCCAGGCTGGACTGCAGTGGCATGATCTCGGCTCACTGCAATCTCTGCCTCCCGGATTCAAGTGATTCTTGTGCGTCAGCCTCCCAAGTAGCTGGATTACAGGCACTCATGCCCAGCTAATTTTTGTATTTTTAGTGGAGATGGGGTTTCACCGTGTTGGCCAGGCTGGTCATGAACTCCTGATCTCAAGTGATCCACCCACCTTGGCTTCCCAAAGTGCTGGGATTACAGGCATGAGCCACCATGCCCCACCCCCTCCTGCTCTCTTCTTCCATTTCTGGTGAAGAGTTGGCAAACCTCCTTCCCTCAGCCCTACCCCTTCCGGGGCCTCAGTGCTCCTCACCACTGAGGGGCAGAGGTGAGGCCCAGCCTGGGTCATCGTGCTGGGACCTACAATCCATGTCCTCCCTGGGCTCCCAGACAAGCCAACCAGCCTCGGGCCTCAGGCCAGGCACTGCCTCTTCTACAGTTTGCTGGAGGGTTCAGGTTTTCTCTGGGCTCCCACAGTATTCTGTATGCCCAGCACTGTCAAATCCACCTGTTCTAGTGTTGGTTGCTCTTCCCCCGACCAGGAGCTCAACTTGCTCAGGGGCTGTGAGTTTTCATCTCTTCACCCCAAGCCTAGCTCAAGGATGGTCCCAGAAGAGAGGCTCAGGAAAGACTTAGCATATGAATTCAGGACTAATATCACATAAATGTGTGGTTTTGTTTTCTTTCCACATAAACTGCTATTAAACTCTGTTTCCTTCATCCTGAACTTTTTATGAAGAATGGACCTAAGAGTCTTATGGGCCTTGGCTTTGATCTGAGCTCCATCTCTTACTATGTGACCTGAGCAAATGCTTAGCTTCTCTGGCTTTCAGTTTCTTCCACTATAAAATGAGAACAGGGTGGAAGGGGTGAAGACTGAAAAACTACCTACTGGGTACAATGTTCACTATTTGGGTAATGGATACACTAGAAGCCCAAACCTCACCATTACACAAAATATCTGTTTAACAAATTGCATGTGTACCTCCTGAATCTATAATTAAAAAAAATAAAATGAGAACAACATCCTCCTAAGGTTTTCACTATTAACTGAGATATCTTATGTTAGGGTACAGCACGAAGTATGTGCTCAATAATTCCTTCTTCTCTCCCTCACCCGAACCTCTGAGCCCCGATGAGGACTTGACATTTACCTCCATGAACGTGAACCTATGGTCATCACCTATGGGCCAAGTTAATGCAGATCATTTTGAAACCCAGTTCTGCCATCTGACATAATCACTCTCCCACCCAGATTTGATAAGCATGCTTTATTTGGCCTAATCCAAGTCCCTGAAAAAATACATCAGACTGAGCAAGATAGCAGGGAGGAACAAGCCCGGAGCAGGGCACTAGTCTTCCCTCTAAGCTGCCATTGATCCACTTACCCGTTCTCCACCACCTGCTGTCCAGGCAGCCAGGGATTCCCCTAGTGTATCACGATTTGATCCCTACTGTAGCTTGCCATGAAAGTACCTTGGGAGGCTGGGCACAGTGGCTCACGCCTGTAATCCCAGCACTTTGGGAGGCCGAGGCAGGAGGATCACCTGAGGTCAGGAGTTCAAGACCAGCCTGGCCATCATAGTGAAACCCTGTATCTACTAAAAATACAAAAATTAGCTGGGTGTGGTGGCAAGCGCCTGTAGTCCCAGCTACTTGGGAGGCTGAGGCAGGAGAATCACTTGAACCCAGGAGTCGGAGGTTGCAGTGACTTGCGATCGCACCATTGCACTCAAGCCTCGGCGACACAGCGAGACTCTGTCTCAAAAAAAAAAAGTACCTTGGGAGATGTTCCAATTGCCTTTTTGAAATCAGGATTCTCAAGACTTCAACAGACCCCTGATCTATTGCAATTTTGGTTCTCCCAAAGCAAGAGAGATGAGAGATTAGCCTGACTTATTTTAAGTAAACCTAGGCTGGGTCCTGGTGATCACTATGTTTTATTCTTCTTTAATTTTTTTTTTCCTAGCTGGGATTTGAACTATATTCTTCTTTTTAAAATGATATATACCATTCCTTTTCTGCTGTCTTTGTTAATGCCGTTAAATTGGAAGAATTTTCAGTGATCAGTGAAAAGTCTCAGTTAGGAATTATTAAATTAACACAGGCTTCTTGCCTACTTGCTGTTGGCTGAAAATAGTTTAAAATACTTAAGTGAAAACTTTTCTCTACCACAGGAAATTTGCTTTCTGAGTGAATGAAGGTTTTCTATAGGAAGATAAATGTTCAACCTTCTCTTCTGACTCATTATAATCGTGGAATGGTAAAATTCAAGTAACTGCTGTTTTGTAATATTGAGTCAAACATTCACTTTAAAAAAATGTAACAATACTGTCTTAATAAAAGCTTAGCTGTATATTCTTAAGACTTAGAAGACTTTGGGAGGCCGAGGCGGGCGGATCACGAGGTCAGGAGATCGAGACCATCCCGGCTAAACGGTGAAACCCCGTCTCTACTAAAAATACAAAAAATTAGCCGGGCGTGGTGGCGGGCGCCTGTAGTCCCAGCTACTTGGGAGGCTGAGGCAGGAGAATGGCGTGAACCCGGGAGGCGGAGCTTGCAGTGAGCCGAGATCCCGCCACTGCACTCCAGCCTGGGCGACAGAGCGAGACTCCGTCTCAAAAAAAAAAAAAAAAAGAAAAGAAAAGAAAAAAGAAAAAAAGACTTAGAAGATAAGCTTGACTGATCATGATTTTCAAAGTTTTATAAGATTACTGAAAATACAAAAAGCCAGTACAAGAGGAAGCATAATGAAATCCAGCAGGAATAATTTGTAATTAGAAAACCCCATGCAATTCTTCAGCCAGGGATAATGGTGATCCATCTTAAAAACACATGTGTCCCATGCTGAGCACTGATGAGCCTAATCAGACACACTCCACTGACATTTTTCACAATACCAAGGGGTCCTTAATTGCTGGGGGGTACAGGCAGGCAAGCTTCTCGCTGCTCCTCTCAGGAGATCATAATGATTAAGAGCAGGCCTGGAGCCAAACAGCCAGGGGAGGCATCCCAGCCCTCCTCCAACTCAACTGTGACTTTAGGCAAGTCACTTACCCTTTCTGTGCCTCAGTTTCCTCATCGTTTTTTTTTGAGACAGGGTCTTGCTCTGTCACCCAGGCTGGAATGCAGTGGTCCAATCGTGGCTTACTGCAGCCTCAACCCCTAGGGCTCAAACGATCCTCCCACCTCAACCTCCTGAGTAGCTGGGACAGCAGGCGTGTGCCACCATGCCCGGCTACCTTTTTTAATTTTTTTGTGGAGACGAGGTCTCCTGAAGTTTCCCAGGCTGGTCTCAAACTCCTGGCCTAAAGTGATCCTCTTGCCTTGGCCTCCCAAAATGTTGGGATTACAGGGGTTAGCCACCGTACCTCATCTTTAAAATTATGGCTGGCCGGGTGTGGTGGCTCATGCCTGTAATCCCAGCACTTGGGAGGCCAAGGCAGGAGGATCACCTGAGATCAGGAGTTCGAGACCAGCCTGACCAACGTGGCGAAACCCCATCTCTACTAAAAATACAAAAATTAGCCGGGCATGGTAGTGCACGCCTGCGATCCCAACTACTCAGGAGGCTGAGGTAGGAGAATCGCTTGAACCCCAGGAGGCAGAGGTTGCCGTGAGCCAAGATCACACCACTGCACTTCAGCCTGGGTGACAGAGTGAGACTCCATCAAAAAAAAAAAAAAAACAAGGCTGAGAATCATCACCTTTCAGGGTGATGGTTGTGAGGACTGATTCAGCCACTATGTGAAGTCGGTCTGACCCACAGTGTGTCTCTCCTACACCCCAGTTGCTACTGGGGTTCTCAGGGACACAGGATGATCCACTTCCCTGCCCCCATGCCACTGCCTGTTCTCCTCGTTAGGGATACTTGACCCTGCCAGAAGGTCCAGCCCATGTGGAAGGGCATCATGCCCACAGTGGCCGTACCCAGAGGCCCTCTTCTCCTCAATACCCCTTGGTCCCCCAACCCTGAATCACAAGCTGGCTCTGGGCCAGCTGGCCTGCTGGTGATCTGCCTTGGCTCCAGCATGGGTGGCTTGGCTCCAGCAAGAGCTTAAAGGTTCTTCATTGTGTTTTCTGCTTCAGTGTAACCATCTGGGAATTGGAAGAAGAGGGAAAAATAAATACAATGTTCCCCCACTTCTACCTTCTCTGCCTCCCCCCATGGCTGGGTACAAGGCTGTGTACTGTCCAGCATTGTCTTGGGCCTCAGGAAAGCTCCCCCCAGAGGTCCCCTGCATGGTGTCCCGTGGGATGGGAGTCATCTGCTGCACCTCCACCATTCCTCCATCTGTCTCCCTCTTTTTGTGCCCTTTCCTGGCTCAGCCTCTCCTGCCTGTCAAGTTCAACAGCTCCTCAGCACTTACCATGTGCCTGGGCAGAGCACTGGGAGCACAGAGATGATGTGAGCAAGGGCTCTGCCCTCCAAGTGCTCATTGTATAGCACTGAGAATATAGACTGCAGCATACACAGCCTGAACCAGACTCTCTTCAGTAACCTTGGATCAACTACTTAACCTGAGGGTCCACCTCTGTATTTAAAACTTGTTGTCCCAGCTACCTGGGAGGCTGAGGGCCAAGGTACCCACATTTCAGGACCATTGTGAGAATTAAACATAATCCTGTATGCAAAGCTCTCAACTCAGTGCACTGCACACAGTGGGTGCTCAATCGCATCTGCCTGCCTTCCCTCCCTCCCTCTTTCCCTCTTTCCTTTTAGCCAGTTGCCTCTTCCAGAGGAGAAGGTCTGAAGGTCTGAACAGGGTCTATGGGCAGAGGTGGAGCCCTGCCCCTAGCAGGGCTGGGGCAGTGTCAGGTGGGCCTGTGTGGGGCCAAGCCAATGCTGGGCAGTCAGGGGTGATGACCAACCAGGGCTCTGCCTGCCAGATGCTTTCTTTCGGAAGTAGACTCAGTCCTCTGACCTCCTTTCCTCTCTCCCAGTGGCTAATTAGTGCCGATTGTGGGCTCCTTTTTAGCCTTTCCTTTTCTGAACTTCCAACTGGCTTCTTTTTCCCTTCCCCAGGGCAGGGATGGGGACACACTGGCAGGGCAAAGCTAAGGCCCCAACCACAGCCAGTCCTTGTGCTAAGAACAGGGTGAGAGCTGCCTATCCTGGCTGAGCTGTGGGGGCTGCTGAGACCCAGAGTTTGGGGTTGCCCCAAGGGAACTTCTTGCCTACACAACCTGCTTTTCATCCATCTGTTCTGAGGTTCATGTCCTATGTCCAGGAATATGTGGGACAGCCAATAATCAATGTACTGGCCAGGCTTCAAGGTCTTCTTGCACACTCACAGCCTTCCGGTGAGTGATGAGCTCATAGAGATCCCCAGGGGTATTATACCCGTATGGGGTTGGGGGAAGCTATCCCAACCCAACCTGGGGCTAAATGCTTTTTCTATCACTCTGAAACGCAGTCAGGGAAATCCAGTGACCTAGAACCAGACCCACTGGGGGAAGCCAAGAATAGGTCATCCTGGTAAATAGCCAACATGAGGCTGGGAAGGGAGACGTTCTGGGGTGGCGGAAGCCCCTAGTTCTGGAGGTACGGGCTAGTGGCAATAGATGATCTGTCTGCAGAGTGGAATCTCTTGGGGCTCCATCATGAACCCGGAGCTCCAGTGCTGCAGTGGCAGGAAATTAATTGACAGTCATTCATATGAGTCCCAGGACCAAGGGTTAGCAGCAAGGGGGTTGAGACCCAAGATGGGACTCAGACATCTTCAATCACTAGGAAAGGACTGCAAGTGCCATGAAATGGAGATGCTCCAGCAGGAAAGAGAGGAGAACTGCGGCAGCTGAAGCTAGGCAGGGCTGTCACTTCCAAAGAAGCACAGATCAATGGAAATGGGAGGCCTGTCAGAGCAATGTCTTATAGCAGCTCTGAGCAGAAGCAGAAAAGGAAAGAGACTAAGTGGGGGAGGGGGCAAAGGAGGCATCAGGATGGCTTCCTGGAAAAAGAGTGTCACTACAAAGGTCAGAAAAGCTTGTGTCAAAGATTCGGGAGGTGAACTGGAGGTGAGCTCACCGAAGGTTCCAGAGGTGAGCTCCAGGGCCCGCACTGTGGATAGCTCTACATTCTAGGTGGGTGCTGGGCAGGGGGTGATTCTGGAATTACTCGGTGCCAAGGTGTCCTCCATGCACCAGCTCCAGCAAGTGGGAGGCTGCCACATGTTCTCATCACGCCTTCTCACCTGGAGTCAGAGCCTGCTGCCTGATGGTCCCTCTGTTAATGGCTTCCAGATGTGTCCTTGGGCCCCTGGAGGGAGACTTCCTGGAGGACACACCCCCTCCTACCCAAGCCTCACCCCTCTGATCACCTTCAGTCACAGAGCCTGGTGAAGGCCATGGTGCACTACTGCAGTATCACATTGTAGATGAGAGGGGCACGGAAGGTCAGACTGCCCGCTTCTGTGATTGGCTACTGACCTCTGAGCCCCTCATCACTGTTATTTCTGGCTCCTAGGTATCTTCAGTGCATAGGATCCAGCTGGTAACATGAAAGTTGTCCATTGGAGTATGATGGCTGAGTGGGCCATGGGCAGTGGCTCATACCTGTAATCCTAGCACTTTGGGAGGCCAGGTGGAAAGACTGCTTGAAACCAACAGTTCAGGACCAGCCTGGGCAACATGGTGAGACTCTTTGTCTCTACAAAAAAATTTTAAATATTAGCCAGGTATAGTGACACGTGCCTGTAGTCCCAACTACTTGGGAGGCTAAAGCAGGAGGATCGCTTGAGTCCAGGAGTTCAAGGCTGCAGTGAGCTATGATTGCACCACCGCACTCAAGCCTTGATGACAGAGGAAGACCTGTCTCAAACAAGCAAGCAAGCAAGCAAGCGCACAAACAAACAAACAACAACAACAAAAAAATGGCCAGGTGTCCATATCTCTTTGGGGAGACAGATTGGCCATCCTTGTGAGACTAGTGTGTCTGTGCCTGTTGGTTTCTGATTGTGGGCCTGTTCCTTTCTGCATCTCTGTAACTCTCTCTCTGTTTTTGTAATGACTTGATTCTATTTCTGAAGCTATGTGTCCATGTGTTTCTCTATTTCACAGCAAAACTTTTCTTGACTATAACCACAAATTCCATCAGTGCTTATTGTCTAATAAATGGAAGTCCAATATTGCCCTTCCTGCTTCACATCCCTAAGGCGTAAAATTTTCATTCCAGAGTTATTTCCAGCCTAGATAGGGGGAATCTGATTCATGTTCTGCTGGGGATGACTTGTACCCAAGAAGGCAGGAGGCTTGTAACTGATGAACTGCAAATAGCAGGGGTGCCAGAATCACTCCTGCATGGCTTGGAGCAGACCCCAAGGCTCAGACACTTTGCAGTCACCGGGTCCATCTCCCAGTATTCTCCTGGTCCAGGCTAATGTGTAAGGGAGTGTGTGCTCCTGGATCTGAGTTTTACCAGCCACCAGCTTCATTCATCACCATCCGTGCTATCATCACCATTATCACCCCCACTCTCCCACCACCAACACCACCACTATTACCATCACCATTACTAACACTACAACTATTATACCACAATCTCTGTCACCATCAACACCTCTGTTCCATTACTAATGTCAGAGATTTGTAGTTGCTTTTCAATAGCTATTTCTTCTTCCTCCTCAGTAATAAGGACCATAACGTTTTGCTGGACACATTATCTTACTTAGCCTCTTGAAGCTAGTTAGGTGTGCTTATGTAAGTGAAAGTGTTGAATGAAAGTATAGAAAGTGCCAATAAAGGAAAGGGGGTACCCTTATTTATAGCTTTCCTCCATCTGCTATCTGATGTGATGGCTGGTGCTCTAGCAGCCATTTGGACCATGGCAATGAGAACTATAGGGAAGGCAGAGTGGGAGGCTAGAAGGATGTGAGGTACTCATGACTATGGAGAGACCATTCAGACTCTGGGCTACATCTGGACCTTCTTTTATGAGAAGAAAAGAAACTGAACTTCTATTTCTCTATCATTTAAGAAATTCATGTGGGCATCCTGACGCATATAGTTGAAACTAATCCTAATTAATATGCATCATCATCACCACATATTATTTTGCATTTAATAGTCCAGGCTAATGATCTGTATATGGGGGAGGGTGAAACAATGGAATGTGGGGAATGTGGGAAGTGGCCAGTCTGATGCAGTCACTGGCAAGAAGGAAAAAGACATTCAGGACCACGGACAGATCCAGGACTGCCAGTTGTGAGGCAACAGGGCAGGAAGAAATGAGAAGTGTGGTTGGTGGTGCCAGTTGTTGTCCTCAAGATATGTTCTGGCCAGACACTGTGCTAGGAACTGGGATGAATACTAAGATAAATTTCCACAAAGTCCACATTTGGCTCCCAGGACCAGAGCAAGCAGATCGATATAGGAAGGCTTCCTAGAGAAAGGGACTGAGAAGCCAGCTGAGGGGTGGAACCAGAAGACTGTGACAGAATGGGCACAACGCTAAAGAATAAGAGACACCTGTGGGTGGGGAGAGGGCTCAACGTTGAAAGATGAGTGGTCACCTGGTCTGACAGTGAAAGGAGAGGGTACCATTGGGTGGGAGTTAAGGCGTTTTCAGGACTCTTCTGTTTCTTGGATTCTACATCAGTGGTTCCAGTTTCTGGTCCTGGGGTTCCACGATGCTGTGACTGTCAGGGCATATTGGATCTATGACCAAGATTCTACAATGATGAGGTTCTGCATCCGTTATCTACTGCTGTGTAACAAACCACCCCAAAACTTAGTGACTTAAAACAACCACCATTTTATTTGTTCACAATTCTGTGAGTCAGAAATTTGGGCTCGGGTCAGCTGAGTAGTTCTGTTGGTCTTATCTGGGGTCACTCAGGTGGCTGGAGGCAGGCGGAAGACCATCAGGGAGCTGGTTCATCTCCAGCTGGGATGGTTTACTTCTGGTCTCTTCCTCTAAAAGGCATGCTTGTGTTCCTACACATGGCAGTTTCAGGGGAGCAAGAAGAGGTGAATCCCAATGCACAAGCACTTTTTAAGACTCTCCTTGCATCACATTTGCTGACGTCTCATTAACCAGAGGAAGTCACACGGCCAACCCAAAGTCAGTATGGGGTGGGACAACATAAAAGTATGGACTCAGATACGCAGAATTCATTTGGGACCATCAATATTAACAACCTACCACAAGCTCTAAGTGTCTCATTCACCACCACCATACTACCAATACCATAAGTCTTTGTTCTAATTCAGAGACCACAGTTCTATGGCTCTCTGAGTCTGTGGTTCTTAGCAGTCAATGTTTTGATTCCAAGATTCTGTGATTCTAGAAGCAGAAGGCTCAGTACATTGAAGAAGAGCATGAGGACCCAAGAGGAGGCTAAAGAAGTTGGGCAAACAAAGGTCACCCCTACAGAACCAGCTGCCTCTCCCATGCTCACCCCTCAGGCCCCAACTTCCTGCCTGAATCAGGGAAGTGGCATGAACACGGAGTTGGGAATCAGAAAACCTAGATTATAGGCCCTGTTCCATCATTAATCTGGGATGACCCCAAGCACAGCTCTTAACCTCCCAGTGTTCTCATATAGCCAACAGAGATATCAATCCCTGTCTTCTGAATAATGCAGAACAGTGGCAAAACCAGGAGAACTGGGCCCACTAACTTCCATGATCAGGATCCTGGGCCTGGGCACAGCTGAGGAAGAGGGTTTTGCTCCCACCTCATTAAACTGCATCCACAGTGGTAGAGACCTTGGGTTTTAAGAGAACCAAGACAGGTTATTGCCCTTGGTCTGTCCCAACCTCTACTGGCAAAAGCAAGAAATAATGAAAGGGGAGGGGAGTGGAGGGGAGGGAAGGGAAGACAAGGGAAGGGAAGGGAAGGCACCCAACTCTGCTCCTTTCCCTTTCCCCTCTCCCCTACCCACTCCTGTCCCTGACTCAACAGAGTGGAATCCTAGGGGTCAGACCTTAGCTGGCCTTTAGCCTCAGTCGGCTCTGCCCTTTAGCCTTTCCTTGAAGAGGAGTGGAGAAACAGAGGCTTCATTAGGGAAGGAGACCTAGGCCAGCACAGCAAATCATAACATTACACAGCCAAGGGGGACCAACAACAACCCACTGGCCGAACCACCTTGCAGCACAGATGAGGAAACAGAAGCCCAGGGAGGGACAGGGACCCACCTGCCCACAGCCACACAGCCAGCCAACAGCAGACAAAGACCAAAAGTCAAGTGGGATCTCTCTCCTTTTCTAAATGTCCATTTCCCATTCTAAACTGGGACAACAAACCCAGCCTGCCACCACTTAGAAACTGTAAAGCAAGGTACAGATGTAGTAAGGAGTCATCTTTTCCAATGGTCTGAGAGTTGGGGGTTGGGGGGAAGACTGAGGTGGGGGTAAGAACATTTAGGACTTTCGGAGGACGCATCCAGCTCATTTATTCTAGCCTTTCCCCAGAGGCCCAGGCCACAGAGCGGAGGAGGAGGGTATTAAATATCAGAGAGTTATTTAAAAGCCAGTTGCCTGCCCCTCAGAAGCAGCGCTGGCCTCTGCTGACTCAACGGAGAAAATGAATCTTGGGCCTATGGATTTTCCTGTGTCTCACAGCAGTGGGGGAGGGGAGGGGGAGTGAGAAATGGGAATGGCAAGGCCCACAGTGAAGTCTCCCGTCCCTGCTGGCAAGGAAGCCAAGCAAGAGGAGAGAAGCTGGGGCCTCCCCCACTACCTCGTGGCTGAGTTCATCACGTCAGGCCGCCTGCTGCTCCTCCATTTGCCTTGGAGGAGGGGGGAACAGAGGGATGGGAAGGCAGCAGGAGGGCTGCTGGGACAGAGGACAAAGGGAGCCTGGATCTCAGGATGCTACAGCATCCGCTCCAGAAGGACCCCAGACCACCCCTACCACTTTCTTCCTCAGCCCCCCTGAGTAGCTGGGACTACAGGTGCCCACCACCACGCCCGGCTAATTCTTTTTTGTATTTTTAGTAGAGACGGGGTTTCACCATGTTCGCCAGGATGGCCTCAATCTCCTGACCTTGTGATCTGCCCACCTCGGCCTCCCAAAGTTCTGGGATTACAGGCATGAGGCACCACACCCAGCCACCCCTACCACTTTCTAGTCGGGCAACCAAGGCCTTAATTGGGGTGGTACCAAGTTCAAGGTCATATATTGAGAAGGTGGGGGCACCAACTTGGGCAAATCCCAGTATGACCTTCCCCTCCCTGACCCCCATCCCTAAAATGCCAAGGGGCACAAGACTACTAGGCCCCCCAGGACCATCCCATCCACACACACTTTTTTGCAGACAGGGAAACTGAGGTGTGTCCAAGGACTTTAATAATATTGACACACCTCTGATGACAAAACAGAGCTGGAGAAGGGGCTACCTGCTGGGTGATCTCAGGGACGTCATCACACTCTGTGCTCCCTACCAAGGCTTAGTGGAGCTGATCAACAGCAGGGTCTGTGCCAGCAGAAAAGGCCCAGCGAAGGCACTAGAGGCTCAGGTAGAGACAACACCTTGGAATACTAAGAGAAGGGCTCTGGGACCTAGTGGAGTAATAAATTCAAGCAAGCGTGAAGATCCAGTGTGGCTGACATGAGGGGTACTCATCTGGGCAAAGGGCAGATGATCACTCTGCTTGGGTGGCGAGGGGTGCCTCGCTTCTTCCGAGTCCTAAGGAAACCCTGAGGGCGTGAGCTCTTTGCCCACAGGCTCCCCTGGGATCTGACCCAGCCACACTCCCAGGAGAGAGGGATCCTAGGATGAGGGGGGGCTGCGGCAAAGGAGATGGGCAAGAAACCCGAGCTTCTATCTGGCTCAGGTCCCAGTCAGGTGTGCAACCTTGGGGAAAGCACTTAACATTTCTGAGCAGCTATCTCCTGGTATGAAGTGTAGATGAGGGGTCCTCACCGAGCTTGCCTCATAGGGATGAGAGGCTCGAGTCACAGATTTTTAAATCATTATTTCAGTCAGCAAATATTCCCTGGTGCCTTCTCTGTACTGATCCCTAAGAAATTAGACCAGACCTGAGCCCTAGCTGCTGACAGTCAAGAAGATCAGGGGAGTCTTAGCCCTCTAATTGATCAGTGAAGTTCAAAGGATGGAGAGGGAAGCCATGAGGGCTCCCTGAAGGGGGCAAAACTCACAAGTCCTGAGGGACAGCTGACTGGACTGGAGAAACAGAATCAAGAGGAGAGCACCCCAGCTGGGGCAAACAGTCCAAGAAAAGAGACTTCCACCAGATGCATCAGAGAATAAACACACAGCCTCAGACTCAAGTGGACACACATTTATTGAACACTTAATGCATACTGAACACTGGCAAATCTAAGATGGAGAGCGCTGTTCCTCCAAAGAACAGAGATCCCTCAGCCCCAATGGCTCGCAGACTTGATTCCTTGGGGAACTTGGACAGAGAGAAATTGGTTCCAGGAGAATTTAGACGGGAAGCACCTTTACAAAGTGGGAAGAGAGGAGAGGAGGCTGAGTAGAGGCCATACAGAGAGACAAGCAGAGACTCATTAACATCCACCACAAATCTGCTGTGTTGGAGAAGGAAAGAACATGGAACAGGGAAAAATGACATGGGAGCTAATTAGTCCCAGAGAGGGGCAATGCCTTACCCAGGGTCTGGCAGGACGGGTGCTAGGCCCCCAGACCCAGGTGAAATGTTTTTTCTTGTTTTGAGGCACTTTCAACTCACTTTATCATAACAGCCCTGAGAGGAATAGGAAGAACAGGAATTTAAAGCCTATCTACCTTATAGAAGAGGAAGGTGACAGCCCAAGATTGAGAAAGGCCTGAGGTCACACCAGATCAACCATGGCATCCATTCCCAGCCTCAGCTTCTTGGGGTCAGGATAAGCATTCCTTGTGGTGCAGGACCCTCTCAGATGCAGCCCACCATCTTGGACAGAGTCCTGGGCAAGGACCCTGGGGTCAGGTTTCTAGGCTAAACTCTGAAAACTTGACAGGGGCCTTGGGGCCCCTCTGGCCTATTTCCCCATTTGTGCAAAACAGACGACATTTGCCTTATTCTCTGGCACCTGATGATTCTAAATTCTCTCCAGGCCTCATTTCCCCAAATGAGGTGTTGAGCACCCCCCCAATCAAGGCTGCCTGTGGTCCTGCAGCTCCTTTCCTGGGGGGCAGCAGGGGAGGGGGGCATCAGCCAATCTGAGGCCAGCCACCACCGGGGCCTGGGGAAGGAGTTCCAGCCTTGGTAGTGGTCTGATTCCTCAGGGCCTGGAAGCAGACAAGGAAACAGAGACTTCTGTTCATTCAGTCTGTCATTTGCACCACACACTCTCCTGAGATAGTCTCTATACTGGAAACAGAAAAGTGAAAACGACCTAGTGCCTCCTACCAGGGGAGATGTCAGAGCTGGGGCATGTTGCTGTGTGGGCCGGGGTTTAGGGGAGGGCTATAGCTGGGGGCCCAGCCCCAGTGGCATCTACTTGAGCACGTGTGCCCATGTGAGAAAAGACATCACCAGCCTGTTACCTCCACAGACCAAGGGCATGGTGCAGGGCAGGAGGAGTAGGGTCTGACTGTGCTAGCCAATCGCTGGGTCCCTATGCTTGGCATGGCTTAAGCATGGGCCTGTAAGCTTGCCCTCTGAGAATGTATCCACGAACCTGCATGGGCTCAGAAGTGTGCATATTCAAATATGTATGTCTTTATGAATTTATGGACACATGCCAGGACGCACTCAAACCTACGATCCTATGTCCACATATGAATGAGTCTGCATGGACTTGCATGAGACACATCTGAGCTCTCATACCTGGGAGAGTTAAGACAGGGGGTAGGGAAGAGAGAGGGGCTTGGAGGAGGGGAGAGCTGGGAGACCCCCATCATCACCAGCTCTGTTCCTTAATGTTGGTCCTTGCCCAAGACCCAGGCCACTGCAGGGTCTGCCTCTTCTCCTTAAGTGGTATTGATCCTTTGGTCGATCTGTTAAATATAACCTCAGGGAAGGAGTCAACATAACAACCGTACCCAATTCAGGAGAAAGAGACTGATTCTTGGGAGGAGGTGGGGAGCCTCTATTCCAACCAGCTCTGCTGATACCCGAATGGCCTGCGGATCAAGTGTCAGCCTCTCCAGCCTGAATAATTCATGCTAAGGCCAGGAATCCTCCCTTCTCAGGAGCCTGTCTCTTTAAATCAGGTTTAGAGCTTCCCAGTTCTGGGGGAAAAAAAATCCAGAACAAAACAAATCTGTAAACAGCTCAGCCCCCCCACCCTCAGCCCTGGCCCCTTCTGAGACCCCCAACTCCATGCTGCAAAATCTGCTCCTGCTCTCCCAACCTCTGGTGCCCCAAACCCCACTCACAGGCGGAGAAGCCTGGAGGGACTAGTTGACAGTGTCCAACGGAACCCCAGGAGTCTTAAGAGGTTTGGGGGCAGGGAGTGAAAGCAAAGAGCAGAATCACTACACCCCCGGGTCTCTGTGCCTAGGACAGTGCTTGGCAGAGAAGCCCAGCCCGGTGGAGGAAACCACACGGGGGAACTCCTGGCAGAGGCAGAGCAGCCAGAGTTGGTGGGTGGGAGGGGAGCGGGTGCCACAGACTTCTCCTGAGAATGGGATGGGATGGGATGGAGAAAAAGCTGGTCCCATAGGACCTGCAGGGGTGGTGACACAGCCAGGTCTAATGGAACTAGGGTCGCAGAGGAGGAAGCAGAGACTGGGGATTTTCCAGTCTCTCTGCCTTAGGAAGAGGCCGGAAAATGAGTAACTTTCTCAGCCCACCCCTCATCCCTTCCTCCGGTAGTAGGAGCAGCTCTAAAGTCCTCCCCAACCCCCGAATTCTCCCTGGTGGTGACCCACCTGCCTGCTCTCCGCAGTCGGGCCCCGCCCCACACGTGCTGGAGAAGGAGGAGGAAGGACCCAGCTTAAATGTTGGGGGTGGAGGAGGAGGAAAACCAAGTCGGAGCCTCCAGGAGCCAAACTTCTCGGCAGCCCGGAGGGGCGGGGGCGGAGAGGATGAAGAGAAAGCGCAGCAGCCGACAGCCCTGATTCTCGGGAGCCTCCCACCCCGCCTCCCACGGCGAGGAGGGCGCGGAGACTCCGCTGGGGGCGGAGGACGAGACCGGGAGGCGGGGAGGGGGGAGGCAAACCCTGCCCACTCGGCTCGGAGCCCGGAGCGGCCGCGGAAGCCGGAGGCCGGCGCGCAGGGCGAGGGCACCGGGGGCGGGGGGCTCCGCTCCCCGTCTGACCCCTCTTGCCCCCGGCCAGTCAGCCAGTAAGTGCGGCTCCTCAGACTTTCGAGACAGCGAACGGACCGACCGGGACTGCCAGCCGCTCCGGGTCAAGGACTCGCCCCACCCGTGCCCCCCACCAGGCGCTCCCAACTCACTGGTGAGCGCGGCGGCCCGGGCGCTGGATGCGGGGGCGGCCGCGATGGCCCCGCGCGCGGGACAGCCGGGGCTCCAGGGGCTGCTGCTCGTGGCGGCGGCGCTGAGCCAGCCCGCGGCACCCTGCCCCTTCCAGTGCTACTGCTTCGGCGGCCCCAAGCTGCTGCTGCGCTGCGCGTCGGGAGCCGAGCTCCGCCAGCCTCCGCGGGACGTGCCGCCCGACGCGCGCAACCTCACCATCGTAGGCGCCAACCTGACGGTGCTGCGCGCGGCCGCCTTCGCCGGCGGGGACGGGGACGGCGACCAGGCGGCGGGCGTGCGCCTGCCGCTCCTGAGCGCGCTGCGCCTCACGCACAACCACATCGAGGTGGTGGAGGACGGCGCCTTCGACGGGCTGCCCAGCCTGGCGGCGCTCGACCTCAGCCACAACCCGCTGCGCGCCCTGGGCGGCGGCGCCTTCCGCGGGCTGCCCGCGCTGCGCTCGCTGCAGCTCAACCACGCGCTGGTGCGCGGCGGCCCCGCGCTGCTGGCCGCGCTGGACGCTGCGCTGGCACCGCTGGCCGAGCTTCGCCTGCTGGGCCTAGCGGGCAACGCGCTGAGCCGTCTGCCGCCAGCCGCCCTGCGCCTGGCGCGCCTGGAGCAGCTGGACGTGCGCCTCAACGCGCTGGCCGGCCTGGACCCCGACGAGCTGCGCGCGCTGGAGCGCGATGGCGGCCTCCCCGGGCCGCGCCTGCTGCTCGCCGACAACCCCCTGCGCTGCGGCTGTGCCGCACGCCCCCTGCTGGCCTGGCTGCGCAACGCCACGGAGCGCGTGCCCGACTCGCGGCGCCTGCGCTGCGCCGCCCCGCGGGCGCTGCTAGACCGGCCGCTACTGGACCTGGACGGGGCGCGGCTTCGCTGCGCGGACAGCGGCGCCGACGCTCGCGGAGAGGAGGCGGAGGCCGCCGGCCCGGAGCTGGAAGCCTCCTACGTGTTCTTCGGGCTGGTGCTGGCACTCATCGGCCTCATCTTCCTCATGGTGCTCTACCTAAACCGCCGCGGCATCCAGCGCTGGATGCGCAACCTGCGCGAGGCGTGCCGGGACCAGATGGAGGGCTACCACTACCGCTACGAGCAGGACGCCGACCCGCGCCGCGCGCCCGCGCCCGCCGCGCCCGCGGGCTCCCGCGCCACCTCCCCGGGCTCGGGGCTCTGAGCGGCGCCCCCGGGCTCGGGGCTTCCCTTGCCTGGCCCGAAGCCGTGGAGATGAGACACCCGCGAGCCCCGAGCTCTGAGACCTTCCCCTGACTCGGAGGCGCTAAGCCGTACCCTCTCGTTCCCGCCTCCGAGAGCTCCCACCGTCAAAGACCCAGAGATAGCCGGTCCGAATCCAGAAACCCCGCCTGCCCACCCTAGTTTCCGAAACCTCCCTCCTGAACCACTGAAAGTCCGTTCCCCGTCTCGGAGCTCACACAGAGAATCTGTCCTTCAAGGCCAAAGCTCTGAGACTTGCCCCCAGCACCCTGTGCTTGGAGCTCCGACACCCGAGACTGCACTGACCTCCCTCGCCAGCTCGGAGCCCTCAGTCCCCTCCGGGGCTTGAGGGCCCTTCCATCCCATTCTGGACTCGAAGCACAGCACCCCCATCAGAATGGTTTTGTGGATTTTGAGCCCTTTGTCCCATCCCAGAGCTCAGAGCCCTCCATCCTGCATGGAGGCCCAACCCTGGGGCTCTGAGGATTGGGCACCCTCCCCTCATCTAAGAATATATTTCATACCCCTGCCCCCCCTTCACCCACCCCCGCCTCTGGCTCAGGCCCTTCCCTTCCTCGGCTCAGGCATGGGGCTCAGCTCCTAGTCTGTCCCTCCCATCCCAGGGACAAGCACAGCCCATCTAGCCTTAGTGTGGAGCCAACTCTCAGCCTTTCCCACCAGGGCGCTGACCTCCCGATACTCAGTGCTGGTCCCCAGTCTCAGACTCTCAGCTCTTCACCCCGATCTGACTTTCGTCCTCCTGCCCAAGCCTTTGGCTCTTGACCCCCCCCCCATACCCAATGCTGGCACTCAGCACCCACCCCTGCCATTCACTAGTCAAGGTCCAGTGAGGAATCCGTCCCTGGGATGTCCTCATCCCCTTTTCGTCCCAGGACGAGCTCTTCAGTCCTGCCGGATAGGTGCAGGTGCCATGCACCCCTAGTGCATACTGGCAGATCCTTGTAGGGAAGGAGAGAGTCTTGGGTGTGTGAAAGGGATAGTGGGGCATCGTGGCCTCAGAGAGGGGCAGGAAGTGGGGTCTGAAGGGCTGGAAGTTGCTGCCCTTCGATTTCTCTATGCTCTCTCCCACCCCTGTGGCTCTTCGCCCTTGGGGATTCCTTGCCACCACCGCTACCACCACCACCTCACCCCGTGTATCTTCTGAAAGAGAAGTAGGTCTTTCCTCCTGCCTCAGGCACAAGCCCTCCTGGTTCAGGGTCAGAAGCTCAGCACCTTGCCTTCTCCATGATCCCAAAGCACAATTGGTGAGTGGGGGAGAGGACCCCCTCTCCCTGACTCCCCACCCTCTAGATCAGGCAGAATGGCTGGCCTGTGCTGCGTCTGCACACAGGAAGTCACCTTCCTTTAATATATTGGCTTGAGGCCTGCCTGCCCTCCCCATACCCAGAAAATCTGGATCTCCCTTGAGCAGTTTTCTATAAAGTCTGCAATAATCTCAGATACTCTACTCTTGTTAGTGGTGCCGTATCATTCCTGCTGACCTTGGAGTACTGATGGGGGTGGGAGGGGACTCTTGGGAGGGCATTTTGGACTTCTTTTTGGTGGGGCAGTGACCCTTGATGCGTTCTCCCAGACTGTGGGAGGAGAAATGGGTTCTGATTGCACATAGCAGGATTAAGGTTAGATACATGGAGGGACTTCCCATTGGGATGACATTGTTCCCCAAGCCAGCCTGCTTTCTATCATCGGAGGAGGGGTTATGCACAGCCAAAGTGGGATTCGACACTTCCTCTACATCCTCTTCCCTCCCGTTCCTCATCTTCAGGATGGGGATGGAGTTAGACTAAGAAACATTAGCCTCAGCCAAGACCATCCGGGAGGAAATCCAGCTACAGAGAATGAGGAGTTAATTCAGACAGGAAAGAGGGATTGTTTGCTGCTTTGGGATCATCCCCTCTAATGAATTATTATCTGATACTCCTTTATGTCCTGTGTCACTTCACACTCTCCTGGCCAGAGGGTAAGACCTGCGTGTTGGGTATGTGAGAGGCTGCGTGTGGGGAGTGTGGATGAAATGACTCCTTGAGATATGTGAAGCCAGGGGACCGGAGGGCCAGGAGGGCCTCCAGGTCCCCAGGCTGGATTGTTTTGCATTCAGGGTCACAGAGCCCTAGAACCATAGGGCAGAAGCCTAGAATTCTGGCATTTTCTAATTTCAGGGCCACATAATTCTAGAATGTGTGCCTTCTAACTATTGAAAAGGACTGCAGAGGTAATGTGGGAAGCCTCCTAAGCTGTCTCAACAGGAGGCATCATCTCGTGATGGGAGGCTCCCTCCCTCCCTTCCTTTCAGTGTCTGAGGAGCCTGCCTGGGACTCTGACAGCCCCAGCTTTGCCATGGGGCCAGGAGCACCCCTCAGCCCAGGACAGCTCTTCACAAGTCAGAGACCGTGCATGGGGCTCCTTGTCTTTTCCCGGCACGCTCTCTACCCCTTCTCCAAGTCATTCCTCATGAGAAAGTATTAAGTCCTCTTGACACATTCCCCTCTGTCAATGACCTCCAAAGGGTGCCCCGCAGTCCCCCAGGACAATATAGTGATGGTCTCTCTAACGCAAGTTAGAGCTTGTTAGTTGATTTTTGATAACTATTGATTTAATACTTAGTTTAGCAGTAGCTCTCATAAAACCTCAAAGATTTTTGCTGACAACCCATAGCTAATTGCAGTTTCACTTGCCAGGACTTACTGTAGTCTTAAGCTACATTAGCAGAGAGCATGTCCTTGGAACTGAGGAGGTGATCTGTAAATCTGTAGATCTCTCCAGTTCCAACGATGTATGTGAGAGCTACTGCTAAGTATCAAATCAATAGTCATCAAAAATCAACAAATTGAGTGTCTACTGTGTGCCAGTTGGTGTTTAACGTTAGTACCATTCACTGATCCCCATTAAATGTCTTTTCTGGGCTGCCATCCTCCTTGCTGTCTGTCAGTGGCCTATAGCCTTATGGGGCTATCAAGGTTCAGGGCCGCCAGCTTCACCTCTTCTACAAACCCAGCCATTCACTCAGCCCTTACTGAATGCAACTCTGCCAGTCCTAGAAAAGCTAACAATCCAGGGAAGGAATCACATTTAATCAAGATCTGGAGAAAAGAAATCCCAGGAAATAATGAGAGCTCAGAGTAAGAGCCCTGACCCCACCTAGACAGACTTCTTAGAGGAAGTCACATTTGAACTGGGTTTTGACGGATGAGTAGAAGTTTGCTGAACAGAGAAAGATCAGAAGTACCAACTTCTGCAAAGGTCTGGAGGCAGGAAGATCTCATTAGCCTGAGGATTGAAGGCCAGCAATGGCTGGGGGTAGGTAGGAGGATGCGTATGGGGTAGAATGGATCTACTACATTCACCACATTCTCCACTGGGAAGCGCTAGAGGGACCTCTGCCCTTGAAGGAAGAGTCAGGAAGGTAGAGAGGTGTGATGGGGGCACAGGCAACTGCACTGTGCCTCCTGCTTGTAAAGCCTGGTTGTTCCTTCCTTCTGCCCATCCTTTTTGTGCCTGGCCTCATGCTGGGCACTGGAGACACAGAGAGGAATCAAACCAACACCATGGCCAGATGAGGGCAGTGAGAGAAGGGAAGGGGAGGGGAGCCCGGAGAAGCCTTGCAGTAAAAAGTGAGATGGAGCAGCCGACTGGCCCTGCCCAGACTCCCTGACACCATCCACTCCAGACTCTTTCTCAGAAGTGCCAGGACCCCACTAAATGGCCAGCCTCCTCCTCTGATCACACACTGGGAGTGCTGTTGGAGTGTGAGGTGAGCAGAGGCCCAGAGGCCTGGGGCCTGCCTGCAGAAGCCAAATGACAGAGGAAGAAATCTACCTCTAGGATGTCCCCTTAAGGAGCAGGCATGGTAAAGAACAGGAGAGGAGAGGACAGGTGTGTATGACTGTCAGAAACGTGGGAGATGTGAAGCCAGCTGCACACCTGGAGAAATGTGGCAGACTTCCCAGGTTCTGTGACCTCAAAAACACTGTGAAATTGCCTTTCAAAGACGTCTCCTTGAGAAGCCTTTTGCTTCCAAGCCCCCTCACCTACTCACACCCTCAGACCTGGGCTGGGAACCAGGGAGGACCTAGCTAGAGTCGAGAGGACTGGGTTTGAGTCTGAACTCAGCACCTGACTTGTCATGTCACCTAGTCCTTAGCCAGAAATACCAGTTGAGACCCTACTATGTGCCAGGGTCTGGGGATTCAGCAGTGACCACAGCAGAACCAGCCCCTGCCTTCCTGGCCCAGCCTGACACTGTGGCCTCGGACACCCCTGCCTGCCTCTGGCTCCGGGTTCCTTCTGTCCAGGCTGGGGCTGGACTTGTGACCTCTAAAGGCACTGCCTGCTCTCCCTGAAGTCCATCTCCTTCTTCATTAAGCCGCTGCCTGGCAGACTCTCGGCCCTAATTTATGGGTATGGCCTTTCCCAGACTGGGAGAAGTGACGGGGGCAGTTAATATTCCTGTGCTAATAATACACTTGGCTGCCTTCTGAGTCCCCCCTCCACCCTTCACCCCTGCCTCACCACCCCCACCTGCTTCCCTCAGCACTGTCACAGGGCGATTTGCCAGGAGCTGGCCAGGCCCATGCAGACCCTCAACTAACCCTTCATTGGATGGGTGGGGAAACTGAGGCCAAGAGTATGCAGGAGCTCGTCCAGGTCACACAGATTGTCAGGAGCAGATCCCGAGCCCAGGATGCCCCAGGGCTACCCCTGCTCTGCCCTGGGTCTGAGCGTCTGGCAGAGCCACCCCGCCTCCTAACTTGCTATCTCCACCCTGTCAGTGCATCCAGGAGCCAGTCCCAAGCCTGAGGTAGCCTGAAGATGAAAATAAGAAAGTGAGCCGTAGAGGGTTGGAAGGACTCTTCAGCCTCTGTCAGCGGCTCCGGACAGGCCTCAGGAGCCCCATGCCAGCATCTTGCAGGCAGCGGCCCTGCTGGGAGTTATGTCTCCCCTCCCTGAGAGGAGAAAGGGGCTTGTCTGGACCTCCAGGCTCTGAGGTCCCAGGCATTAAACTCATTCTTCCTGAGCTTCTATCATCTGAGCATGAGGCTCACCTGGATGAACCAGATCCTGCTCCTGTTCTCGATCAAGATGGTGACCACACACACAGGACACTGTGATCATGGAAGCACAGGGATCCCAGGGAGGCCCCTAACTTAGGGGATCATCCAAGCTGGCAAACTCGGGAGTGAAAGGGGCCACTATTAATCATTACATTGGAGCAAGAATAAACTAGGACTGGCTGGGTGCAGTGGCTCACGCCTGTAATCCTAGCATTTTGGGAGGCCGAGGTGGGTGGATCACCTGAGGTCCGGAGTTCAAGACCAGCCTGACCAACATGGTGAAACCCCGTCTTTACTAAAAATACAAAAAATTAGCTGGGCGTGGTGGCACATGCCCACTCGGGAGGCTGAGGCAAGAGAATCGCTTGAACCCTGGAGGGGAGGTTGCAGTGAGCCGAGATTGTGCCATTGCACTCTAGCCTGAGCAACAAGAGCAAAAGTCTGTCTCAAAAAAAAAGAAGAAGAAGAAGAAGAACTAGGACTGTACCAAGATGCTGGGCCCTGGACTTCAATGACTTTTGACAAGACCTGGAGAGAAAAGAAAAAGTACTAGACTGCTAGACAAGACCAGCAAATCTACCAGCAATAAATAACGAATACACTCCCCTTCTTTGAACCCTATTTTCCAGCTGCACCAAACTATGGGGATGTTAGTAATAGGGCCCAGCTCTTCCATGCCCTGTGCCTTTGCTCACACAGTACCCTCTGTCTAGGATGCCTTCCCCAACACAGGGAGCACTCAAGACAGCCCAGGAGTCCCCCAGTCTTTATGACCCCGCTGTCTTTCTCCTACTGCTGTACCACCCAGAGCTTTCTTTCTACGGACTGGTTTCCTTGCCTCTTGTCTGCACCAGACCAGAAGCTCCCACAGGACAGAGGCCAGACCCAGTCACTTTAAGTCCCCAGTCAGGGTGCACAGAGATTTGTGAACGCTCTCCCAGCCCCTGCCCCCACAGAAATACAAAACACAGAGGAAGAAGCATCACGCAGGACTCTGTGGCCTACCCCTCTGCACGTTGAATGGGTGCTTCCTTTGACTCCCACAACCCCCCCATCATTAAACTGGGGTTTCGATTATATAAGATCCCAGGATGGCTGACTCCGTTGTCTACAAAGTGAGCGAGCAGAAAGAAAATGCAGTTTTAGAATATGTGGTCATGCAAAACACAATTTAGTCTTAGCCTCTTAACTTTGGCACTGATTTATTTGTTTATTTATTTATGAGGTCGGCCTCTGTCACCCAGGCTGGGAATGCAGTGGCGTTATCATAGCTCACTGTAACCTTGTACTGCTGGGCTCAAGCAGTCCTCCCGTCTCAACCTCATAAAGTGCTGGGATTACAGGCATGAGCCACCGCGCCTGGCTAACTTTGGCTTTTTAATACAATTACAACTTCTGGCCCTGCGTTTGGGATCTTTGTCCAGGGCTCTGTTTGGGCAGCCCCTGCTACTGGCTTAGTCTTGGTTCCTCCCCACAGGGAGCTGCAGCGACATCTATTGGCCGATCCGTGTGGGAGCCGAGTCAGCTTTAACTTTTCTTGGTATACATGCGTCATCTGCTGGTGGAGATGGGAAAGTGCCTTTCTTCGTTCAGTCAACAATCCAACAAGTATGTAAGTGCCTGCTGTGTGCCAAGCACTGTGCTAGGAAGATGAGGATACAATTTTAAAGAAAACTAGAGCCGGGTGTGGTGGCTCAGGCCTCTAATCCCAGCACTTCGGGAGGTCGAGGCCGGCGGATTGCTTGACCTCAGGAGTTTGAGACCAGCCTAGGGCAACATGGCGAGACCCCGGTCTCTACAAAAAATGCAAAAAATAGCTGGGCGCAGGGGCGCCCTCCTGTAATCCCACCTACTTAGGAGGCTGAGACGGGAGGATTGCATGAGCCTGGGAGGTGGAGGTTGCAGTGAGCCGAGATCATGCCACTGCACCCCAGCCTGGGCAGCAGAGTGAGACCCCATCTCAAAAAAAGAAAAAAGAAAAAGAAAAGAAAGAAAACCAATAAGATCTCTGTCCTTATAAAACAGTAATAGTAAAAACTAACACATACAGAATTTACTATGTGCCAGAGATTGTTCTAGGTACTTTATATATATTAATCCATCTTGTCCTGATGACAATTCTGTGAAGCAGTTATTCTTATTCCTACTTCACAAATGAGGAAACTAAGGCACGTAGAGATGAATAATTTGCTCAAGATCACACTCCTAATAAGAGGCCAAGTTAGGCTTAGAACTCAGGCTCTGCTCCAGAGCCCTCTTCTTATTTAGACCATAAACAAGCACGATACTTATGAGGGAAATAAGCAGGGTAATGTGAGAGTGAGTGACAAGGAGAGGTCTCCTTTGAGTGGGGTAAGTCATGAAAGACCCCTCTGAGGGCGACCTACCCTGAAGAATGGGAAGGAACAAGCTATGCAGAGAATCTAGGAAAAGTTAATCCAGGCAGAAGCAGCAGCGAGCACAAAGGTGCTGAGACCAAATACTCAAACATCAGGTGGAAGGCAAGTTCTGGCCACTCTACTCCTACACCTCCCCACACTGTCCTTAGACTCATTCCCCACCTGGTCGCAGCTTGGACTTCTCTCATCTGCATCCCTGCCCCAGCTTCCTCCCTGTTCCCCCAGCCTGCAGCCCCCCTCTCTGGTCCCACACTGCAGCCCACACTGCAGTGAAAATGCGTGAATCTGATCCCTCTCCTTACTCTGCCTAAAACCTGTCCCACTGTCTTCTGGATAAAAACAAAGATCTTTGAGGCCAGGTGCAGTGAGTGGCTCACACATGTAATCCCAACACTTTGGGAGACTGAAGCAGAAGGATCAGAGGACAGGTGTTGGAGACCAGGCTAGGCGATATAGCAAGAACTCATCTCTACAAAAAACAAACAAACAAACAAACAAACAAAAAGCTTTTTTTTTTTTTTAACTGATTATCTGTAACTTCCACCCACTAATCAAATCTCCTGCCAGCTTTTCCAGCTCCCTTCACTCTTGTCACTCCAATGTGGTTATAGTTGCCTGAAGGCCCCAGCTTGTCTCACCCTGAGCCTCCCTGTGTGCTGTTTCTTCTACCTGGAAGGTCTGTAGCCCCTCCTTGCCTACCTAATTCCCTTTTTACCCTTAAAAACTCAGTTCAAGACCAGGTGGGGTGGCTCACACCTGTAATCCCAGCACTTTGGGAGGCCGAGGTGAGCGGATCATCTAAGGTCAGGAGTTCGAGACCAGCCTGGCCAACATGGTGAAACCCCGACTCTACTAAAAATACAAAAATTGGCTGGGCATGGTGGGTGTGTGCCTGTAGTCCCAGCTACTCAGCAGAAGAATCACTTGAACCCGGGAGGTGGAGGTTGCAGTGAGCAGAGATTGTGCCACTGCACTCCATCCTGGGCTACAGAGTGAGACTCCGTCTCAAAAAACAAAAAACAAATAACAAAAAACAAAAACTCAGTTCAAGCATTTCGTCCTCTTGGAAGCTGCCTATTTCTCATCTTGGCCACTCTGGCTAAATGTGAGACCTCTCCTTAGGTGCTCTCATGGCACGCTGTGACTACACAACAGGCCCCCTCTGCAATACTCCTCATCAGCAATTCCAAACCTTTAGCATCATGCCTTATCCCCCAATTAATCTGTAAGCAATTTGACTGAAGGGATTGTCTTTTTTTTTTTTTTTTTTTTTTTTTTCTGAGACTGAGTCTCGCTCTATCGCCCAGGCTGGAGTGCAGTGGCGCAATCTCGGCTCACTGGAACCTCCACCTCCCCGATTTAAGAGATTCTCATGACTCAGCTTCCAGAGTAGCTGGGATTACAGGCGCCCACCACCATGCCCAGCTAATTTTTGTATTTTTAGTAGAGACAGGGTTTCACCTTGTTGGCAAGGCTGGTCTCGAACTCCTGGCCTCAAGTGATCCGCCCACCTCCGCCTCCCAAAGTGCTGGGATTACAGGAATGAGCCACTGCACCCAGCCAGGATTGTCTCATTTAATCTTAGTGTCTTCAGGGCCAGCAGAAGCCCCAACAAATGGTACATGCCCAGTAAATATCGTTTGCAGTTGTGAGCTGTAAATTGCTCCATTTCTTTTTATTGAAATTTATACAAAGTCCACTCTTTTTGGCATACAGTTCTATGAGTTTTGACAATTAAGATATAGAGTGTTCCATTGCCCCCCAAAATCCCTCTTCATAGCAGCCCTCCCCCCAAGTCCAGCCATTGGCAACTACTGCTTTGTTTTCTGTCTCCATCGTTTTACCTTTGACACAGTGTCATATAAGTAGAATCATACATGTTTGTCCTTTTAAATCTGACTTCTTTCACTTAGCATAATGCAGTAGAAACTCATCCATGTTGTAGGTATCATTATAGTTTGTTCATTTTTATTGCTGCGTAGTATTCCATCATATGGTTGTACAATCATTTATCCATTCAATAGCTGAAGAGCATTTGGGTGGTTTCCAGTTTTTGACAACTATGAATATAGCCACTGTAAACATTCATGTACAGGTTTTTGAAGGAATGTCACTTTTTATTTCTTTCTTTATTTTATTTTATCTTTTGAGAAAAGATTTCTCTCTGTTGCCCAGGCTGGAGTACGGTGGTACAAACACAGCTCACTGCAGCTTTGAACTCCTGGGCTCAAGCGATCCTCTTTCTTCAGTCTCCTGAGTAGCTGGGATCACAGGCATACACCACCATGCCTGGCCAATTTTTTCCTTTTTTGTAGAGACAGGGCCTCACCATATTGCTTAGGCTGGTCTTAAACTCCTAGGCTCAAGCAATCCTCCCACTTTGGCCTCCCAAAGTGCTTGGATTATAGGCATCAGCTACTGCACCCAGCCACTTTTTCTTTGAAGAGTGGAACTGCTGAATATTATAGTGAGTATGTTCAAATTTATTATAAGAAACTTCCACATTGTTTTCCAAAGTGTCTGTACCATTTTGCATTTCCACTAGCAGTGTATGAGAGTTCTAGTCCCTCTCCATCTTTGCCGAAACCATTTGTTGAAAACAACAACTGAATTTCCTTTGTGCCTTCGTTGAAAATCAATTGACCACCTATGTGCAGGTCTATTTCTGAATTCCCAGTTCTGTTCCATTGATATAGGTGTCTATTCTTTCACCACTGCCACACTGTCTTGATTACTGTAGCTTTCTAGTAAGTCTTCAGACCAGATAGTAGAGTCCTTCAACTTTGTTCTTCTTTATAAAAATTGCTTGGCTATTCTAGATTTTTTACCTTTCTATATAAATTTGGAATCAGTTTCTCTATGTCTTTAAAAGAAAATCCTACAGAGGTCTTGATTTGTATTGTATTGAATCTACTGTCACTTTGAGGAAGATTGACATAACAATATTGAATCTTCTTAGCTGTGAACATGGTATAGCTCTCAGTTTATTTGGGCCTATTTGATTTCTTTCATCAGTACTTTTTACTTTTCAGCATAGAGATTGTGCACATATTTTGTTAGGTTTGTATCTGAGTATTTCAGTTTCGGGTGCTGTTATAAATGGCATCATCTTTTAAATTTCTATTTCAGTTGTTGCATGTTACTCTACAGAAGTACAGTGGATTTTTGTGTGTTAATCATGTTTCCTGCAATCTATCTAAACTCAGTTATTATTTCTAGTAGCTATTTTTTTGCAGATTTCTTAGGATTTTTAATGTAGATAATCAAGATGTCTGTGAATAGAAACCATTTTCATTTTCTTTTTTTAGAGACGGGGGTCTCTCTTTGTTGCCAGGCTGCAATGCAGTGGTGCAATCATAGCTCACTGCCACCTCTAACTCTTGGGCTTGAGGGATCCTCCCACCTCAGCCTCCCAAGTAGCTAGAATTACAGGCATGCACCACGGTGCCTGACTAATTTTTAAATGTTTTTGTAGTGATGGGGTCTTGCCATCTTGCCCAGGTTGGTCTCAAACTCCTGGGCTGAAGTGATCCTCCTGCCTTGGCTTCCCAAAGTGCTGGGATTACAGTTATTTAGCCTCTGTGCCTGGCCTTATTTTATTTCTTCTTTATAATCAGTAGGCCTTTTCTCCCTTTTTCTTGTCTTATTGCACTGGCTAGGACGTCTAGTATAATGTCAAATAGGAGTGGTGAGAGTAGTCATCCTTGCCTTGTTCCCAATTTTAGAGGAAACGTATTAAGTCTCTCACCATAAACTATGTTAGTAGATGTAGGTTTTTTTGTAGATGCTCTTTATCAGGTTAAGAAAGTTTTCTAAGAGCGGTTTGCTTTTTTAAATCATGAACAGATGTTGAATTTTGTCAAGTGCCTTTCTGCATCTGTTGAGATAAGCACTGCTTTTGCTCAAACCCCAAAATTTAGATATTTGTTTTTATTTTCATTTCACTTCATAAATTTCCTTGTGATTTCTTCTTTGGCCCATTTAGAAATTGCTTAAGTTTCAAATATTTGCAAATTTTCCAGATAATTTTCTGTTATTCTAGTTTAATTCTGCTGTGACCAAAGAATGTACTTACTAAATTCTTTTAAATTTGGCCAGGTGTGGTGGCTCACGCCTGTAATCCCAGCACTTTACAAGGCTGAGGCAGGAGGATTGCTTGAGCCCAGGAGTTCAAAACCAGGCTGGGCAACATGGTGAGACCCTGTCTCAATAAAGAAAAATAAAAAAATTTAAAATAAAAAATATATAAATTATTTAAAATTTGTTAAGGTTGTTTTTCCCAGAAAATAGTTCTTGGGGAATGTTCCATGTACACTTGAAAAAAAATGCATAGTCAATTGTTTTGAGATGAAATATTCCATAGTGTCTATTAGGTCAAACTGATATCGTTGTTCAGGTCTTCTATATCCTTACTAATATTCTGTCTTCTTGTTCCATCAATTACTGAGGGAGGAATGTTGTGGATTTGTATATTTCTCCCTTTGATTCTATTACATTTTGCTTTGTGTATCTGGAAACACCATGATCAGATGCACACACATTTAGGGTTGTTATGTTTTCTTGGTAAATTGACACTTTCATTATTACTTATGTCCCTTTTTATCCCTGGTAACATTTGTTGTTCTGAAGTCTATTTTGTTTGGTATTAATATAGCCATTTCAGCTTTATTTTTATTATTGTTTGCATGGTATATCTTCATTCTTTTCATAAAGACATGCCTATCTATGTCTTTATATTTAAAGTAGGTTTCTTTATATTTAAAGTATGTTTGTGGACAGCATATAATTGGATCTTGTTTTTTAATCCAATCTAGCAACCTCTATCTTTTAATTGTTATGTAGAGATCATTTACATTTAGTGTAGTTATTGATATGGTTGTATTTAGGTCTACCACTTTTATTTTTCTGTTTGTACCCCTATTTTTTATTCCTTTGTTCCAACTTTCCTGTCTTCTTTTGGAATACTTGGATATTTTTAATATGTCATTAAAATTTTTTTTTACTATTGTGATTTATCTATATGTTCGGCTCTATTTTAGTTGTTGCTCTAGGGACCACAATATACATATATAACCCTTCACAATCTACTTAGGGTTAACACTGTACCATTTCACCATTTCAAATGTAATATAGAAGCCTTAAAAACAAATAGGTTTACCGGGTGCGGTGACTCACGCCTGTAATCCCAGCACTTTGGGAGGCTGAAGTAGGAGGATCATTTGAGGTCAGGAGCTTGAGACCAGCCTGGCCAACATGGTAAAACCCTGTCTCTACTAAAAATACAAAAATTAGCCGGCCATGGTGGCAGGCGCCTGTAATCCGAGCTACTCGGAAGGCTGAGACAGGAGAATCGCTTCAACGCGGGAGGCGGAGGTTGCAGTGAGCCGAGATCATGCCATTGCACTCCAGCCTGGGGAACAAGAGCTAGACTTTGTCTCAAAAGAAACAAAAACAAAAACAGAAAACAAATAGGTTTCTCTCCCTCCACTGACCTTTCCATTATAGTTGTTATATGTATTTCATCTATTTATCAACATTGGTAAACCTATCAGACAATGTTATAAATCTTTTTTCAACAGTAATAAGCCAGGTGCAGTAGCTCATGCCTGTATTCGCAGCACTTTGGGAAGCTGAGACAAGAGAATCGCTTGAGCTCAGGAGTTCAAGACCAGCTGGGCAACATAGCAAGGCCCTGTCTCTACAACAAAAATAAAGAAAATTTGTTGAGTGTGGTGGTGCATGCCAGTAGTTCCAGCTACACAAGAGGCTGAGGTGGGAGGATCACTTGAACCCAGGAGTTCAAGGTGGCAGTGAGCTATGATCACACCACTACACTCCAGCCTGTCCAGCCTGGATGACCAAGCGAGACCCTGTCAAAAAGCAAACAAACAAAAAATAAACAAACAAACAAAAAACGCCAATAATAAGTACTTTAAAGAACTTAAGAAGATTAGGGGATAAATGATAAATATAGCCTTTTAAATTTATCCAGATAATTACCATTTCTGTTGCTCTTAATTTCTAAACATCTGGGTTTATCTCTGGCATTGTTTTAAACTAAATAATTTTGTTTAGCTTTTTTTTTTTTTAAGAGTAAGTCTGCTGGTGACAGATTCTCTTGGTTTTCCTTCATCTGATAATCTATTTTGCACCCTTCTTGAAGGATGTTTTCACTGGATATAGATTTCTGGGTTGACAACTCTTTTAGTGCTGTAAAGATGTTGTACTCCTTTCTTCTGGCCTCCATGTCTTCTATTGAGAAATCCACGTTCTGATAGTCATCCTTTGTATGGAAGAAAATACAAGAATGTGTCCTTTTCTCTAGCTGCTTTCAAGATTTTTAAATTTGTCTTTGGTTTTCATAAGTTTGGATATTTTGTATGTTTATGTGTGATTTTCTTTGAGTTTAACCTGTTTGAGATTTGCACACCTTCTTGAATCTATAAATTTATGTCTTTTACCAAATTTGGGGTGTTAGTGGCCATTATTTTCTCAACTATTTTTTCTCCATCAGTCTCTTTCTCCTCTCTTCTGGGAGTCCAGTGACATGGAATCTTAGGCCTTGTGATATTGTTCCACAGGTCCCTGAGACTGTTAATTTCTTTCAACCTATTTTCTCTGTTTTTTCAGATAGAATAATTTCTATTGATCTATATTCAAGTTCACTGGCTCTTTCTTCTGTCAACCCCCCATTCTGCTATGAACTTATCCAATCAATTTTTAATTTCAGATATTGTATTTTTCAGTTCTAAAATTTCCATTTGGTTCTTTTTTAATTGTTTCTATATCTCTGTTGAGAACTATTTCAATCCATTTCAAGTTATAACAGCCACTTCAAAATCTTTTATAATTCCAACATCTAAGTCATCTTAGAGTTGGCACCTGTTGATTGTATTTTTCCTTGAGGATTGGTCACATTTTTATGGGTTGTCACCCCACTCCCCCATCTTTAGTTTTACTTTCCCTGGTTTCAGTTATTTGCACTCAATGACAGTTGAAAATATTAAATGGAAAATTCCAGAAATAAAAAATATTAAATGGAAAATTCCAGAAATAATTCATAAGTTTTAAATTGCACACCATTCTGAATAGTGTGATTAAATCTCACAGTGACCCATTCTCTCCTGCCTGGGACGTAAATCATCGCTTTGTCTGGTGTACCTCGGCTGTGTATGCTATCTACCCATTAGTCGCTTAGTAGCCATCTTGGTTATCAGATCAACTGTTGCAATATCACAGTGTTTGTGTTTAAGTAACTCTTATTTTACTTAACATTGGCCCCAAAGTGCAAAGTAGTGATGCTGGCATTTGTTATAATTGTTCTATTTTATTATTAGCTATTGTCGTTAATCTCTTACTGTACCTAATGTATAAATTAAGCTTTATAATAGGTATGTATGTATAGAACAAAACATAGTATATAAAAGGTTTGGTACTATTTGCAGTTTCAGGTGTCCAGTGGGGATCTTGGAGCTTATCCCCCATAGATAAGGGGGGACTACCATATTTGTATGTTGAGTAATTTCAGATTGTGTCCTGGACATTGTGAATGTTATATTGTATAGACTCTGGGTCCTGCTATAATCCTCTATAGAATGTTGATCGTGTTGTTATTGTTGTTTCAGGAGGCAATGAACCAACTTAAGTTCACATTCTAAGCTCTGTCTCACTTTCTGTGGATGGTGGTTCTAATCTTAGTGAAAAGCCACGAGAAAAGAGAAAAATGGGAAAATCATCCTATGGAGATGACTTCTCTAAATTTTAACTCACCTGTATCATTTGCCTTCTTTTGTCTAACTTTCACAGAGTTGTTATTTAATTGTGTTTTGTATTTTTGTCCAGCGTTTTTCGGTGTAATCAGTAGGAGAGATAAGCTATAATGAATTTACTCCATGTTGGCCAGAATTTGAACCTCCTGCTCAGTTTCTTTTGATTTGCTGGAGTTTAAAAAAGCTAGGAGAAATGAAGCTCCAAAGCACAGTGAAGACAGTGATAGTGGCATTAAGGTTGAAAGCTATGAGAAAACAGCAAATATCTCTCCCTTGTTTGGAATCCTGTTCAGATGTCAAAGCATTCCTTCCAAATTGTGGTAACCAGGCCAACATAACTACTTCTACTTTTTGGATGAGAACACTAAGGAAGAGCTTGCCATTTGCCTGTTTGATCTCAGATCAAATCCCTTGACCTTCTCTTGCTCTGTATTGTCAGGCCCTGACCATTGCAAACTACATTTTCATATTTCTTGAAAATCAGCTTTTAATTAGATTCTGCCAATAGGAGGCTCTGGCTTAAATTTGGAGGACAGGAGGAGAGAAGAAGCCAGAGCATGTCTCCAGTCTCTCTGCTTTGGGCAGCATTCCCAGCAAGGGTGATGTTTCCTCTGTGCTTCTGGCTTTCGTAGATACCCTCTTCCCCAATGTTCCTGCTAGGCTGCCCTGGTTCCTCAGCTCCTCTCCTTGTCCCTCCACCCTAGGGGTAGTAATGGTCTCCTATTGTCCCACATCTTTGGGTGGTCTCAAACCCCATTTGCACTTTCATCTCATCCAACATTTTAATAAACATTTCCCCAATTAAATTTCTTTCTTTTTTTTTTTATTTTAAAAAATTTGAGATGAAGTCTCGCTGTGTTGTCCAGGCTGGCCTTAAACTCCTGGGCTCAAGCAAGCCTCCCAAAGAGTGAGTCACTGCACCTGGCTTTTTTTTTTTTAAGTGACAGTTTCTCACTCTGCCACCCAGGCTGGAGTGCAATGGTATAATCATAGTTCACTGCAGCCTTGAACTCCTGGGTTCAAGGGATCCTCCTGCCTCAGCCTCCCAAGTAGTTGGGACTACAGGCATGCACTACTACTCTCAGTTGTTTTTTCTCTCTCTTTTTTTTTTTTTTTTTTTGAGAGATCGGGGGGTCTCCCTATGTTGTCCTAGCTGGTTTTGAACTCCTGGCCTCAAGAGATTCTCCTGCCTTAGCCTCCCAAAGTGCTGGGATTACAGGCATGAGCCACTGCATCTGGCCCAATTAAATTCCTGCTGCAGGGATAGACTGCTTATCTGGACTCAGACTGACACAGTCCATATGCGAGGGCAGCTGAACAAAAGCTGTAGCTCAAGTCTCCTGATTCAAATGTCAGTGTCTTCCCACTGCCCTACTCTGGCTGGAAGGGAACATCAGAGGAAAAGACTCCTTTCTGGGCAACCAGGAGGGCAATGTTCTGATCTACATTGCACAGTATTTTACAGGAATGTTAAAAAATATATTGTTCACCTGGAGTTCAAGACCAGCCTGGCCAACATGGCAAAACCCCATCTCTACAAAAAATACAAAAATGAGATGAACGTGTTGGCACATGCTTGTAATCCCAGCTACTAGGGAGGCTGAGACATGAGAATCGCTTAAACCCGGGAGGCGGAGGTTGCAGTGAGCCGAGATCGCGCCACTGCTCTCCAGCCTGGGTGACAGAGCAAAATTCTATCTCAAAAAATATATATATAGACCGGGCACGGTGGCTCACGCCTGTAATCCCAGCACTTTGGGAAGCCGAGGCGGGCGGATCACGAAGTCCGGAGATCAAAACCATCCTGGCTAACACGGTGAAACCCTGTCCCTACTAAAAATACAAAAAATTAGCTGGGTGTGGTGGCGGGCGCCTGTAGTCCCAGCTACTCAGGAGGCTGAGGCAGGAGAATGGTGTGAACCCGGGAGGTGGAGCTTGCAGTGAGCCGAGATCGCGCCGCTGCACTCCAACCTGGGCAACAGAGCCAGACGCTGTCTCAAAAAATAAATAAATAAATAAATAAATAAATAAATAAATAAATAATATATATATATATATTTCATATATAATTAATTTTCTAGGAAAGTCATCTTATATGCATGGGCGTCTTCCTTTTGTGTTAATACAGTACATTATCTATTAGAACATCGACTCTTCCTCACTGATATCCTTACTCCTCCCATATGTTCTGTTAGACCAGGTGGCACATAAGTCTTTGAAAACTGAAGTGACTTCAGGAAGACCCAGCAGGGCAGGAGATAAGAAGTGAACAAGAACCAGGGCTGGGGCTGGGGTGAGGACTCCCACTGATGTGGTCAGTGGTGCCAAAGATAGAAGATAGGATGGCTTCACCCCAGGAGCAAACCATGGGTCACAAAATCCTGTGGTATCTGAGAGGGATGAGAGGTATGCCAGCTTCCCAAGGCCATAAGGCTGAAAAGTGGCAGAAGAGGGACAGGAGAAAAGTTTTTGGCAGTCTCCAGAAGTTGGTACAAGGACCAGGCTGGAGCTGGGGCCACAGACAAGGGAAGAGAGCACCTCACCCAGTCATGAGCCCCATCTGCCAGTCCAGGGCAGCAGGGAGGCATTTCTTGGTCTTTGACCTGCCATGGGCTTATGAGACAGAAATGAAAGCACAGCCAGCATCCTCTGCCACAAAAGACCTTTAATGGCCTCCTATTTATTGTTCTTTTGTTCATTTGTTAGAGTTGAATGAACTATAATAACTTGTCTGACATAATAAGAATGCCACAGGTATAACAGATAAACCTGGCAGGTGGTCCAGGAATGAGAGTGTCACAAAATAATCACTCAACACAAGGGCCACAGACCTGGAGATTCTTCCCAGCCATCCCTCACTCCTGCCCCAGGACACAACCCATGCAGGCCCCCATTCCATAGGAAGAGGCAGGTCCCACAGTGTCTGTGGCTAGACCTTAACACTGAGCAGAGATGCCCGGGAAGATGGCACTTCCTATGCTCGTTCCCAAGTGCTCTGCTCATCTGCCATGCAGGTCAGGACCATACCCCGAGTTTGTGAGGCACCCACCTCTCATACTCACCACCTCATATGACCACCTATCATACCCACCTCTCCTATGACCCTTGCAATTGTCCCAGTGAGGTGGGAAGAGCCTGGACTAGCCCCATTTTGCACACAGGGAAACTAAGGACACACTCGGACCGAATGTAATACACCCGTGTCATGCGCTTGCTGTGCCCTGAGCTTCACATTTTCACCTAGAATTCCCTGGGGGGTGGGAGTGGGGGACAGGGCAGGCAGGGTTTTGTGCCAAGGGCTGGTCCAGTTCTCACTAAAGTGTCCAGGATTCCTGGGGGAATCCTGCCCTCAAAGGAGGGACTTTTGTCATAAAATCCTCCCTGAGTCTGTCTTTTATGTGAGCCAAGATTTCCATCCATCCGGCGCTGTGTAAAGATGAATTTAACCCTAGCCTCTCTCCTATCACACTGCTTCTCCTGCTGTGTCCCTTGGGCCTAGGCCAGGAAAGTGGGGTGCCAGATAGGGGTGCAGACACAAGTCCTCAGTGGGGGATTGAGCCTGTTTCCTTGCTCCAGAGCTCCCCATGCTTCATGGGCCAATATCAGGGTCACGACCCATCCCCACTGAGCACCAGGTCCCTGTCCAAATCAAACCTTGGCCAGAGCTTCAGGGTGGGTTGGCTAGAAAAACCATCAACTATGTACGTGTGTGTGTGTGTGTGTGTGTGTGTGTGTGTGTGTGTGTATAAATGCTTGTGCCTGGGTCTGTGACCCAAGTTCCAACACAAAGACACTTTGTACTGGAACGCTGGAGCCATTCCAACATGAACAGCAAGAATAGAACCTGTGCTGGCTGGTCTAAGATCAAACCTCGAGATGGTGGTTTGAAGTTCTTCTTCAAAGAAAGCTTGAAAATGAAATCTCAGTAGGCAAGACAGATAAAAGCAGAGTTATTCTGGTGGCGGCGGAAATGGGAGGAGGGCTGGAAACCTATCCTTTGCCTCCACTCCCATCTTCCCACTTTAGCATCCCCTGACAAAGCTCTGTGGAATATCAGGGGTTCCGCAGCACCTGGTTTGAAAACCACTGTGTCAGTGTCTACAAACCATAGGCCCCACGGACCTGTGCTTTGACTTCCCTTTTGGGGTGACGAGTTGGAGTGTGATGGGGGGAGGATGTTTCCCCTTCAACAGGGCGTGTCTTTGAAGCCGCTGTGCAGTGACCCTGTGGGGAAGTGGTAGAGGTGGGGTCCTGCCACTTTCGTCCAGGAGGAATGGCAGAAGAGATGGAGCTGCCTGGGCCAGGAGGAAACACCAAGCCCAGTGCAGGCCGTATAGATGAGGGTTCAGGAGTGTTTTGGTCCTTTTGAGTTTAAAAAATTATAGATATCAGAACAGGCATAGGCCTATGTCCATGAGACCCTATAAGAGTGTAAGACTGGGACCTAACCCCTTCCTCCTGGATGGGTGGAGAGCAACCAGTCCCCAGTGACAGGCAGGAGAGAAGCTGCCGCTCTGGGATGCTGACGCCACTGCATCCGCTGTGGCTCGGCTCTCAGGACAAAAGGCTTGGGTTTTTCCTGGGCCCGAAGCCCTCCCAATGTCACTGAGAAGCTGTGGTGGCTCCAGTTGCTCCTGGAAGAGGCCTTACACTTTGAAGGGAAGGAACAGACAATTTCTATTTCTCCTTGCCCTTAGATTTCTGCGGATGGGTGGTTTCAGCTCCCTGAGCCTGGGGGCTGGTGGCTCTCTTTAACCTGGGTCAGAGCCAAGGCCCCTTGGCCTCTGTGGGGTCTGAGAGATGGGAGATGTGACACCAGGCCTAGGAGGGTCCAAGATGTCCCCCTCCACCAATCACTGACAATATCCAGGTCTTCCCTCTGTGTCCTGGTTGCTGGGACCACTATTTTTGGGCATGATATTCCTGAATTGTATCTAAATTTCCCTCTCAGCTGGGTCATCAAAGCCAAATTGGCTGTATCTCATTCTGGTTGACATCTGCCTAAGTGAGAAGCAGGGCAAGCGATGAAGACTGGTGGGGAGGGCTCCTCCTGCAGCAAACTTTCTGTGTGACCTTGGGCCATCCCTGCAGTGGCAGGGCCACACACATCCAGCCATTTTCAACTTACAGAGCCCTGACCGCTGACTTTCATCTCATCTGGGCCTCATAACAATTCCTGCGTCAGGCAGGGAAGGGATTACAATCCCATTTTACAGTTAGGGAAATTGAGCCCCAGAGGTTGAGTAGCTTGCCCAAGCCCCCCAGGTGGTTGGTGACAGGCAGGACTGAGAGGCGGCATTGGGGACTTCCAGGACAGAGTTCCTTTCACTGCACCATGTAGGAACCAGCTTGTCAGGAACTCTCCCACAGAACCAACAGCCAGGTGAACCCACTCTAGCAGGTCTGAGCTTTGAGGCTGAGGAGAGGTGCAGCCAAATAACTCAGTCCTTATCTTCATGGGGACTGAACTCTTCCCCTGGGTGGAATGCTGAGGAGGTCCCGCTGGCTCTCTGCTCGGTGGGTTTTCACCGGGGCATGCTTTTCCTTCCTGCCCGGACCGGTGTCCACACGCCACCCACAGGGCACACTGCAAAGTCCCAGTGACGGATGGCTTGGCCAGTGCAGGCCCCAAACACTTGGCAGAGAAACCGCCAGTACTGTGGGATGGTGCCTGGGGCCTAGTGAGGCTCCCCCACCCCTAGTTTCACTTCAAGGTATCACCTGGGCAGGCTGACTCCAGAAAGGAAAGGGGCCCTGCAGAGAAGCACTGGCTCGGCCATGTTTGGGGGCTGGGAGGTGGTGCCTGGAGTTGACCAGAAGCTTGGAAACATGACCTGCGGCTTCCTCTCCAGGAAGAGGCTGAAGGAAACACTTTGGCCTGTGTGTCCCTCGAGGCTGCAGCGTATGGCCGTGCAGCAGGGCACCTCTGGCCAAGGGGCAAGGGGTGCTAAAATCCAACCTGTGTGTCACTCCCAAAGCTGTGCGTTCTAGTGTAGGTCTGAATCCACCTGGAAAGGGCACCGTCTTCTAATTCACATCAAGGCACCATAGGGACCAGCAGCCACCAGGAGCCCTGAAGGCAACTGCCCTCTATTACTTATCCCTACAACGTTTCCCTGACCATGGGCTTCCTGAGGACAGGGGCTGGGACTGACCCATCTCTGTGGCTCCAGTACTTGGCATAGAGCTGAGTCATCAGCAAAGGATGGTAGGCTGAATTCAACTAAATTTGGCCATTGCCTTGTGCAGTCCTGGCTCCAGGAGAAAAAAAAAAAAAAAAGATAGTGCTCTGATCCTTCCCTGCAGCTGGAGAAATTTGCTAAATAACACTGGGCTAAACCCAAAAGGGTGAGCGTGATGTTGAGGTGCAGGAGGCTCGGGAAACCAGCCTGACAAACGTTTTCCATGCATGAGTTAGGGATAGGGGAAGAAGTCTGCAGGAAAGAGGTCATCCCAAACACTAAAGGATCTTGTGTCAGCCCCAAAGGTTTCAGAAGACACTGGAGGGCATATGTTTGCCATGCATTGCTCCAGCATTTCATCAGCTCTGCGCCTGCCCAGATGAGGTGCAGCCTGCCCAGCAAGCTCTAGGAGGGGCTGGATGCCTGGGGGACCTGCAACTAGGCCCTCAAGACTGGACAGGGTAGTACGACAGCCCCCAGCTGACTTGGTTCTGGTCTGGGGAGGGGTCCCTTGGGTTGAGTGGTCATGAGACTCAGAAGTCGCGCTGCCAGGCTTGTGAAACAGGTGATTTCACCACAGGAAATAAGTCACACTGCCTGCCCCAGGAGGTGCTGGACTGGAAAGGATTGAGATGCCACTTGTATAAGATTTTTTGTCTCCCTTTTCAGACAAGTATGGGAGAGAGATGGAAGGGAGCAGAAACTGAGGAGAGAGCCCTTGTCCTGCTAATCAATATATTTGCCTGGGTAAACCTCAGGGTGTCTGTGCCCACAGGGGGCTGTGAGGTACTGCAAGCCCTATCATAAGCCCCTCAGCCAAGCCTCAGCAAAGATATGCTCTGTCCCTCCTTGGGCAACTCATGCTACCTATGGCCACAGCCTGACATCAATCCCTTCCCAGTCTTGGGCACAGGGTGGGGTTGAGGGCAGTTGGTGCTCCATAGGGCCCTGCCACCTCTGAGGTCCAATAAATCCCCTCTGGAGGCAGAGAGACCAGTCAGCAGCTCTGGCTCTACCCACCAGACCAGGAGCTCTAATGTTCACAAATTCTTGGTGGCCAGAGCTAGGAAGGCCCATTGTGATCATCTGGTCAAACTCCTTGCTTTCCCAAGTGAGAAACTGAGGCCCAGAGTGGGGAAGGAACTTGCCCAAAGTCACACAGTAAGTTATTCTCAAAGGCCAGGCAAAGAGGATAACTCCTAACACTTTCTATCTCATCTCCCATCTGGCTTCTTGCCCCAGGAACTGCCCCAGGTCTCAATCAACCCAACACCAGCTAATGCGTACTGGGTACCCATGACACTGGGAGCTATTGGAGGTCATCAACTCACCAAGAAAAGAAGGGGCTTATTTGCTACCCAGCAGCCTCCTTCCCTTCGGGTGAGGATATCTCAGTGGATGCTGCCACCTTCTGAGATAGGACCCCCTTTGACTGTGGCATGGTGGCCTCAGGCACTCTCTCCCAGTCCATAGGGTCAGTCCAGCCCTGGAGAATGGCAGGGGGAAGCAGGAGGATACTAGTGGCCTCGGCCCCCGCTGGACACCCATCCTCACTTCCTGCATGACCATGTGAAGTCCACAAGGAAGGGACATAAGGCAGACTCTCCTCTCCCCGCCCCCTGCCCCCATCTCTGAGCGCCCCCCTTCGGGAACCCTCCTCAGGAGCTTCAGCTCACTCTGCTGGGGGCTGGTGCTTGCTGAAGACCCCCTCCCTCCCTCCCTCTGCTTTTCTCTCTGTGCATATCTCTAGACAGGGCCATGCACTTGAAATACAAGGTAGCTAAGATGTCACAGCCTGACAGTACTGAAATATACTTGGGTGAGTCCACACAGCTTGCCTCAGTCTAGGTAACTGCTGGTAAGAAAGTCAGTCCAGTTGCTTTTCTCTACTCCTGGGGTCTACGAACTTTCACCAACATCACTATCAGACACAGAGGGACATCAGGTGGGGAGGAGGGTGAAGGCAGAAGGTCTTTGGTGGGTCAGAACTTCAAAAAGGCATTGAGAATCTGTCCACAGTTCTGCCCCTCCCAGCCAGAAGGAGGTGGCCTTCAACGCGGTCATCTTTTAGCTGCCAGAACTTTGTTAACCACCTGGGACCGTGGACATCTTCTCTCGTGTCTTGAGCCCTCATCCCCACCCCTCCAAGCCCTCATGCCCACCACACCGTGTCCCACATTCCCCATCCTCCCCTGTCTGCTCCCCATCTCAAGTCCAATTCCAAGGCCAGAGCCCTGGCAGCTTTTCTGGGAGACAGCATGAAAAGGAGGGGAGTGGAGATGGCAGAGATGGGGTGGAGCCAGTGCGCTGTGGTCCTGTTGGCGTGGTGATGTGGGGCCAATCCTGAGGCCAGAGGTTCATCACCGTGATCTGGAAGCCCACGGGGCCCCCTGGTAGAAACTGGAAGAACAAAGGGGAAAAGAAACCAGAACAGGAAGAAGACGAGTAAGCATCCGAGTGCACGAGAGTGGAGCCGGAGCCACGTGGAGGCAGGGCCGGCCCGTCTATCTGTTGTTGAGCTGTGGAGAGCCGGTACCATCCTCCTCTTCCTCCTTGTCATCCTTCATGCCTTTCAGTCTCTGGCGAGCAAAGTCCTCAAATACAATGTCGTCATCACTGGTGGGAGAGACAAGGAAAATGTGGTGTGTTTGCAGGGGCAGGGAGAGTAGGCTTATCCAGAGGCCCGGCCAGATGTGACTCAGAGTATGGCTCTGGGGCCGGGGAGAACCACCCTCTCTGAGGTCTCTGGCCTCTGGGGCTGACCATGAGCAGAAAGGCCTGTCTGGCTGGCACATGTGGATGCCACCTGTGGCAGTGGGGACAGTCACATCAGGACTCGGGCCAGTCATGAAAGGGGCAGAGAGGGGCATGAATTTGACTCTTGTGCCTGAGGGCTAGAAAAGTAACCTGGTTCTTTAGGAGGTGGGGGGAGCAGTGTGGCTCTGTAGCCAGAGGAAGGACTTATTCCCACTGTGAGAGGCCAGGCCACCAGTAGTTTCACAGCATGTTCTGAATCCCCCAAGAATAGGCCCGGCAAACCCCACCCCACCACCCAGAAAACTACCCTTAGGAAGCATTCCCGTTTCTGGACAGCAAGGAGTAGTTTGGCTTAATGAAAGAGAAGACCATGAAGAACCTTTCTCCCAGAAGTGTCAGCTCAGATTCTACCTTGGGGGATCCCAGACAGAAGAAGGCTGGGGTAGGAGGATGTGAATCTAAATAGGGGGGCAGAGGACCTGTTCGTGAGGAAAGGGGAGGCTTGAGTGGGGTTTCAGGACTAGACTGCCTTTAAGAACAGCGAGTTCCCTTCTACCATGAAACATGTCCATTTAGGACCATGCAGGTGTCCACCTGGGTCCCCTGCCCAACAGGGTTCAGCCAGTGCATGGGGCATCCTCATGGGGTGACCTGAGACCCCCACACCCCAGATTTCTCCTGGGGGACAAGGGAAGATTGGCTTTGGAGCTGGAGCAAGAAAGCCACTTGGACCTGGAGGCGGTCCGCGCAGTCGGCCCAGGTCCTCCCCCTCTGGCCACTGTCCGGTGACTCGATGGCCTTTGACTGCAGGGAAATCCACATCGGTTGGTCCTCAGGAGTCAGAAGCAACAAGATCCCCAGTCCCCTGCCCACCCCACAGCCTGATTCCACTGGTTGGCGTGGGCAGGACAGGAGAGCCGAGCCCAGGGCCATGGACCAGCCCTGTGTGAGCCGAGCAGGCGCTGTGGATGGACGAACGGACTGACGGACGGACGTGCAAGGACGAGGGAGGAAGACAGACCCCACCAAGGCAGGAGGAAGAGGAACAGGCACGGAGGGTCCTTCAAGTCACATGCAGGCAAGCGGGTTGCTGAAGAGGCGAGCAGAGGTGGCTCTCAGCAGACGGGGTTAGACCAGCGGCTCCTCAGGAGTTAATAAGCATATATGCAAATGACCCCCTCCACCCCGCCCACCCGCGGCCCACCCCCGGATGTCTGCAGGCAGGGTTCAGCTTACTTTGTGTCAAGTTCTATGAGATTGGTATCTACTGGCGTCTCGTTCTCTGGAACTAAACACAGGGTGGGTGGGCAGGGTGTCCAGGGATTAGTGAGTGGATGAGCACGGGGCGAGTAAGCACAGGCCCCCACCCTGGGACAACCAGACTAACATGAGAAGGGCAAAGGATAAAGGGGAATGGAGATGGGGGAGGACTCATTCCTGGTACTGAAACACCCCAAATCATCTGAAAGGCAGGGAGGATGGCACCAGGAGGGCCCCGGATCCCCACTGCAGCCCCAGAAGAACAGAAAATCCTCTAAACTTCTGTTTCTTTTGACAGGTCTCCAACATGAATTACATTAATTCCTTGCATGCATGCCATTCACCAATTCTAAGACAATCTTTTTTATATTTTCCTTCACATTTTAACATCTCCAAATTTGGAGTGTGTCTTACCGTCGATGGCACTGCACAGTTTAACCATGGAAGTTTTTTCCTAATTGTACCTACTATTATGTTGTCTCTCTCCACTGAAAGTCTCAGATTCAATGAAATATGACCAATCTGCTATCACTTGAAAAACAGGCCAGGCCAGGCATGGTAGCTCATGCCTGTAATCCCAGCACTTTGGGAGGTTGAGGCGGGAAGATCACCTGAGGTCAGGAGTTTGAGACCAGCCTGGCCAACATGGTGAAACCCCGTCTCTACTAAAAATACAAAAATCAGCCAGGTGTGGCGGCAGCCGCCTGTAATCTCAGCTACTCGGGAGGCTGAGGCAGGAGAATCTCTTGAGCCTGGGAGGCGGAGGTTGCAGTGAGCTAAGATCACGTCACTGCACTCCAGCCTGGGCAACAGAGTGAGACTGTGTCTCAAAACCAAAAAAAAAAAAAAAAAAAAAAAAAAGAAGAAGAAAAACATGACAATAGCGTGTCCAACGGTCATCTTATCCAAGCAGCCCCTTCCCCTACTTCCAAACGGGATCCAGCCCATGCCTGGGTGCAAGATAGAGGCTCAAAGCATGGCCAATGAGTTCCCTTCTCCACTCCTGGCCTCCCTCTCCCATGGGGAACAGGAGCCACGCCTCACTGTCTCCTGGTGGGGTCAGAAGCAAATCGAGTTCTGGACCCCACAAAAGATCTGGGGACCCGAGAAAAGGGTGACTGGGCTGAGGGCGAACCCGGGGCGGGGTGGGTTACAGGGTCACGTGGCAGCTGCTAGAGAACCCCTACCCCAGAGACCTACAGATTCTGCTCACCTTCCCGATGCGGGGGTTCCTCTTTGGGCTTGGGGTGCATTAGGGTGAAGGGCAGTTCCACGGCCACGTCGCTGAAACAGAGACCCAGACCCAGTGAGCCTTGAGCGGACTCACAGGCTGTGAGACTTGATGTCGATGCCCTGTCAGTCCGAGGACTGCAGAGGGTTTTGCCGTCAGAGGAGGTAGATCCAAAAGATGCCCTCCAGCCCCAGTTCTGCCACTCGGAGCCTCGGTCTGCCTGGGAGCTGGACGAGGAGACTTCCTCTGGTCCCAAAAAGAAATGGAAGCCTCCTCTTTCCTGAGAAGGCTCTCTGGGTTCCCACGGGCTGGGAAGAGGCCCAGGGGTGGGAAAGGATTGCCCGGGGCAGCATGCACCGTGGTCACTGCGGGGCTCCAGAGGTGCCCTGGGACCCCCCCCCACCTCAAATCGCCACAGCCACCCTCGCCTCCCCTGACACTGCCCTTCCCAACTTCCAGGTCGGAGCTCCTCCCACCCTCACGCCATCCCATCTCCCAACACCTCCAGGGTGCTCTTGTAAAAGTGCTCAGGTGACCCTAGCACCCCTGCAATCTGGATGAAGCACTGTTGAGGTCAGTTTAGTCAGGTTTAGGATGGCCCCAGGGCCCAAGGCTGATTACACTGTGGGGATGCAGGGGAAAGCGGCCGGGAAGACCCAGCCACCAGCCAGTGCTTCTGATGGGGCTTTCTCTGTACTTGGCCCTGATGGACAGAATAAGAGAAGGTATTCACATGGTACTGACCCTGTGCCAAGGATTACTGTAAGCCCCTTCCATAGAGTAACTCATTTAATCCTCGCAACAACCATATTATTATCCCCAATGTACAGACTGGGACATTGAGGCATGAGGAGATTAAAATATCTTGCCCAAGGCCACACAGCTATTAATGGTTATTATTAGATTCTGGCTCCATAACCACACCCTTGATCACTGTGTGACAGTAGCAGAATTGAGACTAACAAAAGCAACCCTGAAGGCTCCTCTCGGCTTGGGGTGACATCACCCTAGGAGACCACCCAACTGCGAGTGCCTACAGGCACAAGCCACATCCCACTGATCTTGTTGTCCAGAGCCCAGTTGGGAAAGAGGAAGGGACAGGGAATGGAGTGGTCAGAGGCACAAGCCGTGCAATTAGAAAGGTCTGTTCCACCAGCCTCGCCACCCGCTGGTGCAGCACTTTCTAGCTTTGAGTCTCACTGAGCTCAACTTGGAACAAAGCCTGTCTTCTAGAACCACGGGAACTTCTGGGAGATGAGGCAGCTAAAGAGCTGAGTTAAACTGTGAAGCTTGACCAGGCGCAGTGGCTCACGCCTGTGATCCTAGCACTTTGGGAGGCCAAGGCGGGCAGATCCCTTGAGCTCAGGAGTTCGAGACCAGCCTGGGCAACCTGGTGAGACACTGCCACCACCACCCATCTCTACTAAAAATACAAAAATTAGGCTGGGCGCGGTGGCTCACGCCTGTAATCCCAGCACTTTGGGAGGCCGAGGCGGGTGGATCATGAGGTCAGGAGTTTAAGACCAGCCTGGCCAAGATAGTGAAATCCTGCCTCTACTAAAAATACAAAAATTAGCCGGGTGTGGTGGCGGGTGCCTATAATCCCAGCTACTTGGGAGGCTGAGGCAGAGAACTGCTTGAACCTGGGAGGCAGAGGTTGCAGTGAGCCAAGATCGTGCCACTGCACTCCAGCCTACCCGACAGAGTGAGATTCTGTCTCAAAAAAAAAAAAAAAAATTAGCTGGGCATAGTAGAGCACACCTGTAGTCCCAGCTACTCAGGAGGCTGAGTTGGGAGGATGGCTTCCACCCAGGAGGCAGAGAAGGTTACAGTGAACCAAGTTTGTGCCACTGCACTCCAGTCTGGGCAATAGAATCAGACCTTGTCTCAGAATAAAAAATAAAAATAAAAATGTGAAGCTTGTGCCTGCCAGAATCGTTACTTAAGTCCCCTCATTGGGAACCTGGGGGTTTTATAAGGCTGTCAGAGCTATTTGGCCTTTTTTTCCTTCTCTTTTTTTTTTCCTTTTGCTTTGGGGATTGCTTCAGAATGGAGCTGGTGGAAGACTGGGTTTGCCAACATTTTAGTGGAAGAATCTGGATCTTAACCTTCTACCGGGCCAGGAACGATAAGGTCAGGGACCACATCTGATTCCTCTCTGGGACTCTGGCACTCAGCACCAGCCTGGACGCAAGCCTGGGTTGAGGAAATCTTTGCTGAATGATATGGAACTGAATTGAATTGAATGAATTTCACCTGTCAAATTAGTTTAAGATTTCTTAGGATGAGCCACACTGCCATCTTGTGACAGAAGGAGGCCAAACTGCTGTGTTTGGGGTACATGCATTTTTGGAATATAAGTGCATCCAGCTGGCTGCAAGGAGACCTTGTTTACAAAATAGGATCTCCTGAGGACCTCTCCTTAGCAACACTTGGCCAGCAGTTCCCTCCTCACTAGTGTAGAAGTTTGAAAGCCATGAAGTCTGCATTTCTCCAAAAGCTCCTATAATTCAGGTGATCAGTAATTCAGACAGCTCTCTTGGGGGCCACTCCCTGTATCAGTGTAATCAGGCTTTGCTCTCTGTAAAGATCCCTGTCACTCAGGTGGGATGGAAGAGCAAGGTGAGGTTTGTTAAGGAGAAATTGTGTCTCCCAGCTCACACCTGAACCTGGCTATCTGAAATGACCACTAAGATTCCTTCCAACCCAGTGCCCTGTGATTCTGGTCAGTCAAGCCAATGGGCTCCAGGCCCTCCAGGAAGGTGGGTGAACCAGGTGGAAGGGAGGAATTTACCTGGATGCAAGATCTCCCAACAGGCTGGGTGGGTCAGAGGAGGCAGGAGAAGTGGTCAGGAGAGAGTTCAGAGAGGAAGAAAACAAAAAGCACATTCATTCACCACTTCTGCTGTCCCCCGGATAGAGAAGACCCACGGGACACACTCCCACCCACCCCCCTGCACAGCCCTGACTGCTCTTTCAGGGATACACCGAAATGGCATTAGCCCTGCCCCGAGGGACTGGGATCCAGACCCAGCTCAGCAAACCCCTGAGCCCCAGGATCCTCATCTGTCAAGGCAGTGTAAAAATTAACCCCAGTGCTGCCTGTCCCAAGGGAGGCCGGACTATCTAAAGGCAGAGGGAAGGACTCCGGGGTTGCCAAGAATGTTTGAGGGACTGTGGGTCCTGAAAGGTCACCAGACACAGGATTTGGGATTTGTAATTTTGAGATGTCCTATTATATAAGGTCAGGATTACATACTGCCACCTGCCAAGAGGCATTCTTCTAATAATCAAGGAGACCCAATGTCTAATGGGATTTAGCTTTTCAATCTTTTCATAGAAATTTATGAATTAAGTTACAAAAAAGAAACACAGTAGTTTGTTTGTTTGTTTTTCTCCCTGAGCTTCCACCAAACTATGCTCCAGGGCAGGGCAGTCTGGTCCACCACTATGACCTGAGTTAGGAGAGGAGATTTCAGGCAATGTTTGGGGCACTGTCTGGGCCTCTGTTTCACCATCTGTAAAATGGGAAAGCTGACTAGCAAATCCCCAATCCAGCTCTGGGTTCTGAGCCCTTTTAGCTGTTTCCTCAGAAAATCAGCTTGGGCATGCATGGGGGTGGGTGCTATGCCCAAAGTGTGATAAGGAGATGGCACCCCTGGGGACCCCACAGCAAAGACTCTGAGGACGCCGTCCCCTGGGCATGGCCAATCCTCAGTGCGAGCCCAGACCTAGGATAGAGGAGGAGGAGAGAGAGAAAGAGATGGGTGGGGGTAAGAGAGGGGCTGAGGGCCAAGGAAGGAAGAGAGGGAAAGCGGGCGGGGGAGAAAGAGGAACAGAAGGGAGGAAAAGAAGGGACAGGAGGTTCCTCCTCCAAGGTGGATGCAGCTAAAAGGGCTGCAAACAGGCAGAATGGGGCAGGGGCCTGTGGGCACCTGGGACGCTCCCCTCTGCACTCCGGGGTCTTGGGCTTGGCTGGAGCACTCACCCGCCCCGAGACACCACCAGCTTCACTTTCACTTTGTAGGAAACAATGATCCCCAGGATCTCACGGTTGGCACCTTCCCTCAACCTGCAAAGTGACACAGGGGAGCCAGTTCAGGGGCCTTGCCAGGTGGGCGAGACACCTCAGGGGTGGGTATGCTGGGGGGCAGTGGCCGTCCATCCCCCATCTGGCTAGCCACTCAGCTACCATGTCCAATAGAGCCCAGTGGAGATGAGGAAGGCGAGCAGTGCCCTTAGGTAGCAGGGACCCAGAGCCCCGGTTCCAAGTCTGACTGTGAGACTCGCTCACTGTGTGGCCCTGCTGAGCCCCTCTCCCTGCCCAGGCCAGCGTCCCCGCCATGAGGGCCAGGCTCCTCCTCCCCTCAGATGGATTCTGCTTCTCTCAGCAACCCATGGGCAGAAAGGGCCACACGGGGAGTTCACAGAGGGCGAGGCAGCTGGGGTGGGGTGGGGTGGGGGCCATCAGAGAAGGACTTCTCCGCAGAGGTGGTGCTTCAGCTGGGTCTTGAAGATGGGTAGGGTGTGAGCCAGGGTGGAGACAGGGCAAAAAGCTTCAGGTAAGTGGGAGGCTGTGCAGGGGCTGCTGAAGAGAGCTGAGTCTGTGCTGGGAGTGGCGGCTGCTCTAGACGTAGGCCAAAGCCCCACTGAAGGACCACACTGGCAAGAGGGCAAGATGGCATCCCCATAGCCAGGGCTCTGCTGGAGCAGAGTAGCCTAGAGGCGTCCACGATGACTGTGCAGCAGGAGTGACCAGATGCCCTGGGACCCCTGACTTGGAGGGGCACCCCATGTTGGGTCTAACCCAGCTCACCACCCTGGTCTCTCCTCAGGGACACCCCATCTGACTGAAGGCATTACGTCAGAAGCTGCCACCTCTTGCAGGAAGCCTTCCCAGGTTGCCCTCCCCCAGGCATGGTAGCAGAGCCCAGCACTGCCTGAGTGAGCTGGCCTAGTGGTCCATCTTATTCTCTCAGTCACCCCTGGGTAGGGTTGGGAGTAAGGAGGCAGCTTCCCTGACAAGTCAAGCACCTGAGGACAGGCCCTGACAAGGCTATGGAGAGGGTAGCCTGAGCCTTGTCTTTGAACTGGGGGGACCAAGGAGGGTGTGGCCCCATCAGGCAAGATGCACTAGGAGCCCAGGGCTAGGAGGGCAGGTCCTCACAGGGTGCTAGAGGCCAAGTTCGTGTCTTCGTGCTTGAGCTTCCCGTCCAAGGCGAGGCCCCGCTTCTCTCGGTTATTGGCTAGGAAGGGGGTCAGTGTGTAGACCTTGCAGAACGTCGAGCTGGGTGCCACAGTGTCACTGGGAAGAAAGGAAGCAGCTGTGGAGATGGCCCTCCCCAGAGCCAACCCCAGCCCTGATCTCCAGCCCAGCAGAATATCTAGTCTGAGCCTGCTCCAAGTCTCCCTCTCCCAACCTCTGTCCCCCAGACACACGGACCACTTGGGCCAGCCCAGCTCGGGCAAGGAGACCACTGCCACTCAAAAGAGGCACATCTACATTCTACGCACAAACAGGACTGAATCTCGGATATTCTAAAAGATTATCCTAGTCAAGCAGCACAGTGCTAAAAAGCACATTTATTTAAAGAATTACAGCCAGCCGGGTGCAGTGGCTCACGCCTGTAATCCCAGCATTTTGGGAGGCCGAGGCGGGTAGATCACGAGGTCAGGAGTTGGAGACCATCCTGGCTAACAAGGTGAAACCCCGTCTCTACTAAAAATACAAAAAAATTAGCCGGGCATGGTGGTGGACGCCTGTAGTTCCAGCTACTCAGGAGGCTGAGCCAGGAGAATGGCATGAACCTGGGAGGTGGAGCTTACAGTGAGCCGAGATTGCTCCACTGCACTCCAGCCTGGGTGACAGAGCAAGACTCCATCTCAAAAAAAAAAAAAAAAAAAGTACAGCCACAGCAGGCACAGTTGCTCATGCCTGTAATCCCAGCAACTTGAGAGGCTGACAGGAGGATTGCTTGAGGCTAGGAGTTTGAGACCAGCCTGGGCAACATAGCAAGACCCCATCGCTACAAAAAATTTTAAACATTAGCCTGATATGGTGGTGCACACCTGTAGTCCTAGCTACTTGGGAGGCTGAGGCAGGAGGATCACTTGAGCCCAGGAGTTCGAGGCTGGCTGTAGTGAGCCATGATCATACCACTGCACTCCAGCCTGGGCAACAGAGTGAAACTCTGTCTCTAAACAAATTTAATTTAAATTTATTTTATTTTATTTTATTTTATTTTATTTTATTTTTTTGAGACAGAGTCTTGCTCTGTCGCCCAGGCTAGAGTACAGTAGTGCGATCCTGGCTCACTGGAACCTCCACCTCCCAGGTTGAAGCAGTTCTCCTACCTCAGCCTCCCAAGTAGCTGGGATCACAGGGGCGCGCCACCATGCCCGACTAATTTTTGTATTTTTAGTAGAGATGAGGTTTTGCCATGTTGGCCAGGATGGTCTCAAACTCCTGACCTCAAGTGATCTGCCTGCCTCAGCCTCCCCAAGTGCTGGGATTATAGGCGTGAGCACCAGCCCTGTCTCTAAACACATTTTAAAAAGAAAAAATTATAGCTACACATAAACCATAAATGAAGCTATTTGGGCACCCATATACCCACCATCTAGGCTCAACAATTAAAACTTTACTTGCTTGATCACATCCATCATATATAGGGTGTTTTGATTGTCCAATTTTTACTTGCTTTTGCTCTATCCCCCATCCTTTCCAATGAGAGAGCTGTCATGCAGCAGATAGTGAACAAGCCTTGGAGTCGGACGACCGTGTTCCAGCCCCAGCTTTGCTGCTTGCTAACTTGCAAGTCACATCTCTCTGAGCCACTTCCTCCTCTACATACTGGGGCAGCAGCAACCCCAGCCCCACAGCGCTTCCTGAGAAGTAAACAAGTCTGTGAGTGCAAATGCCTCCCCAGCCATCCCTGCTGGTATTCGTTATGCAGACGCTGGCACCATCTGCAGTGGTTGGGATTTTCTACTCTTTAGGGATTATATGTTACTCTGGTTCTAGATCACTTCACTTTACCATCAGGAATCTATGCCTCATAGCTCTGATTTTTTTGAAAAAATCAACAGTGGATATGAAAAATATCCAGTAACCAGAGAAAGCTTGATCTAATCATAGCATGTTCACCTATAGGACATTAAAAACTATTTCAAAGGCCATGTAGTAACATTTTAAAAATATTTTCAGTTGCAAGAAATACTGATTGGAATTATACATAAACAAATACACATATACATGTAAAATTATATCAGGTATAATTGCCCCAAGAAATTACTTGCAGGGCCAGGAAAAAAAAATGTGTATGTCTTTGAATGGGAGCATTTACTTCCTTTAGGTAAGTAAAGATGTTTCACTTCAGATCTCTCCACTTGCCTTAGCTGCCAACAAGCCTGGGACAAAGTTCGATCCATGCTCAACCATAGCAGTTCTCCTCAAACCTAGATGATTTTTTTGTGTGTAATTATTCTCTGCACTCCCACACACAACCCCTTTTTCCCAATGAGTTGGATTACCCCTTTATCAGACAAGAGCTGTGTACCTAGTGCCTTACCCACTTTGCCCTGGCTACCAGGAAGCCAAGAACAAAGTATTTCCCTTCAACCTAGGTTTCTTGTACAACGTAATTATTTCTTCTCACAACCCCAATCCCCTTACATTCATTAGCTATTGTTTTGTCACTCTAGTTTTAGTGGGTCTCTTCCTTGACTGTAGCATGCATTTTCTTGAAGCTAAATCAGGTGGATGGTTTCTAAAAGGCTCTTCGGGATCATCTACTCTGAGTGGCAAGGAAGTCTGAGGCCCAGCCCTCTGCCAGGTGGAGAAGAGCCACCTGGACCTGTAACAGGACACCTAGAGCTTCTCTTTTTCCCACCCAATCCCATACGCCCAAGGCCAGACTTGTGCCCACTTACTCAGCCTCTTCCATGGCAACAGGGCACTTGTACTGAGCTGTGTTGAAAAGGCAGATGTCTGCATACTGGCGCACTAGGGAGGGAGAGGAATCAAGGTGGAGTGAGTCGGGAATGTAGCTCCCATGGAGTCTCACAGGCGTCCCCGGGTTGGGGATATTCAGCCCCAGGCAATGGCCAGAGGCCACCAGTGGGGACTTCTGCATAAGACCACCCCTGTCTTACATCCAAAGGGTAGCCCCAAACACACCCATTTCCTTCCATAACCAAAGCCTTCCCCTCAAGGACAGCTTTGTCCAGAACCCAAGAAACTGAAGAGGTGGCTTAAAGAGCAAACTCATTACCTAGCCAATAAGCAGCCTGCCTTACCCAACTCAAAAGCTTTGCCCTGTGGCTCAGAGCAGGCCCTGGGCTTCAGTGGCTATTTTTTATACAAGGCTGTTAACAAGGGGAGATACTTCAGCCACCCCCAGCCCTTGGGAAGATTGCCTCTCGCTGTCCCCTAAGCTGACCCTCTGTCTGGGATACCTGAGATCTTGATCTTCTTCACCGTCTTGTTGGTGTTGTTGGTGACGTGGACGTTGACGCTGATGGGTTCTCCATGGTAATAGATCTGGGGGGCATAAGAAGGGACGGGGTTGGCTGGGAGGACAGCAAGGTTCTAGGGAAAGGGGAGGGAGAAAAGCCCCCACGCGATCTTCTGGGGTTCCCCAGACCTTGCGCAGACCTTCAGAAGGGTCTGCTGCTCCCATCTGAAGTCCATCACATCCCTCAGGTTCATGCCCCCTCTGCCACTCCTTTAGGCCCAAGAGGCTTCTCCGAATCCCCCAAGGCATTGTGACATTTGCCCCAAGTTCATCAGCCACTTCCCACTGCTGCTAAGGTGGCATGAAAGCCACCAAGCACATTAGCCTTCAGTTCCCTGGTGGGACCCTTGAAAGATAACGGAATTGGAAGGTGATAGTCCTGGGCTCCAGCCCTGGCTTGGCCAGCAGTAATTGTGACAACAATAACAACAATAACATTGACGATGATGAAAGCAGTGTGACCGTGGGTAGGTTATCTAAGCCTCAGGGTCTCCCTCTGTGCAACGAAGGGGTTGGACTAGGTGATGTCTGAAGTCCCTGCCAGCTCTAAATTCTGTCCACAGAAGGATCTGGAAGAAGCAGGGAAAGGTGAGGATGGGCTCACCAGCTCACTGAGGGAGCCAGCTCTGAATCCCTACAAAAAGACCTCAACTTGCATCTTGCCCCAAGGCACTTCCCTTCAGCCATGCCCCGAGAGAGAGGGGGTGCCCACACCTTGAGGAGGGGCCAGCCTAAGCTCACAGCAGTCAGCTGGGTTTGATTCAGAGTTTGAGGGGAGGCCCTTCCTTCTGCAGGGCTTGTCGCCCTGACGCTCAGTGTTTGGCAGGAAGGTCACGGCCCCCCACCGTGCCCCCTCTGCAATGCTGGTTGACCTTCAGCACTCGGCCTGAGGCAGGCAGCTGGTGGAGGTGTGGGGGAGATGTCCAGGACCTTCAGGAAGGTCTGCTCCTCACTTCGGAAGTCCATCACATCTCTCAAGTTCATGCCCCCTTTGCCACTCCTTTAGGCCCAAGAGGCTTCTCCAAATCCCCCATGAGAGGTCTCAGATTCCCTGACCCCTGTGGTCCTTGGGCTGGGGATAGAAGCTCCTACCTGAGGCATCCTTGCAGGCCAGGAGAGAGCTGGGATCTGAGGCCCAGGCCCTGGTGGAGCAGCCCCCACCCCCTGCCAAGTCCGAGCCTCCTACCTCCTTATCCAGAGAGGCTTCTAGGTGCAAGGGCTTGTCCGACATGAGGAACTGCCTGGTGGTCTCGGCTGTGGGCTGGGGGCCAGGCCTCTCTGGGGCATACTGAACCTTCCGGATGACCAGACGCACAGAATTCCTAATGGAGATGGGCGGAGTGAAAGAGGACCAGGGTCACCTGCCTTCATCCCCTCTCCTTGCGAGCCTCACATCATTCTCCTGCTCAAGAGACTGGCATGGCTCTCCATCACCTTAGAATCCAGCCAAACTGCAGAGATCAGCATAGGGGTCTGTCACCATCTGGCTCCATTCCATCCTCCCCTGTTCTGTCCCAGAAGTGCCCTGTGGCTGCACTTCATTTGGTCCTGGTACCCAGCAGGATGCTGAAACAGGGACTACATTTTTCACCTCCTGCTTCCCTATGTCACCAAATAGGTAACATTGTCACTTCCTGACTCCCTATGTCACCATACACAAATAGTGTCCCTCTGTCATCTATTTTGGTGACATAGGACACTATTTGTGTAAGTTCTTTAAGGACAGAAATTTGTGTCTAAGGTGTTCACAGCTGTACTCTCAGCACCTATGACTGTGCCTGCCATATAATAAACAACTGCCAGATATCTATTATGTAAAACTATGCAGAGGGGACAGCGGTCTCAAGAAGAAATGGGGCTTGGGGAGGCGTTGGGGTTCAGGGAGGAGGCGTGGATTCAGTCAGGGGGATGCAAGCCAGTGAAGGGGACAAGCCCAGGGAGGGGAGAAGGCCCATGGATGAGACTGGCTCCATGAAGATTACAGGGGATCAGGGAGCAAATGAGGATCTGGTGAGGGAGGGGGACTTGGTGAGGCCGTCTCTGTGGCATGCTGGGAATGCCGGCATCTCCGTTGCTCAGATAAGCTGCCTCCATTGCCTGTAACCAGGGAGCCAGGGTCAAACTCCCAGCTCTCCTCTTACTAACTATGTGGCCCTGGGTACATTAACCTCTCTCTGCCTCTGTTCCCTAATCTGTAAAGGGTGATGACAGAAGGACCTACCTCTTTTTCTCCTTTTTAAATTTTTATTAATTTATTTATTTTGAGATGGAGTCTCACTCTGTTGCCCAGGCTGGAGTGCAGTGGCGCAATCTCAGCTCACTACAACCTCTGCCTCCCAGCTTCAAGCAATTCTCCTGCCTCGGCCTTCTGAGTAGCTGGGGTTACAGGCATATGCCACCACACCTGCCTAATTTTTGTATTTTCAATAGAGATGGGGTTTCACCATGTTGGCCAGGCTGGTCTGGAACTCCTGGCCTCAAGTAATATGCCTGCCTTCGGCCTTCCAGAGCTCTGGGATTACAGGTGTGAGCCACCACGCCCAGCAAGGACGTACTTCTTAGAGCTGCTGTGAGGATTAAATTAGTTCATACAGCCCAGCACTGTAAATGGTGTCTGGCACCTAATCAGCCCTTGATAAATGATAGCTTCTATATCATTATTATTAGTAACTCCTTGGTGTGGATTTTAAATGTCCCATTGGTGGTAGGGTGAGAGGGGTGGCTCTCGATGTCACCTCCTCTTTCTTGTGCTTACCAAGCCTCCTCCCACATCCCACAGCACCCTTCCTCTTCCCTGGTCTCAGGTCTTAAGAGGAAAAGGGAGACAGAGAAGCAAGGGAGAAAAGTCCCATCTCCTCACACACAGCTGCCAGGGCTGCAGATGCAAATGCATGCAATACACCCTATAGCCACCAGGTGGCAAACTCAGCCCACGCCCTAAAAAGGCTGCTGTGCCCTCAGCCAACCTCCTCTGGGACCAGTGCCTCTGGATGCAGGCACATCAGCGTCGAGGGCCCACCAGCTATTCCAGGAGGCAGACAGAGCACAGCCCGACCCAGGAGGGGCAGGCATGAGACATCCGGGCCAGCTGTTTCTGGCTGCCAGCCTGGGCTCTCTGTCTGCCCGGGCTGTTCTTCTCCAGAGAACGCTTCCCATCTCTTAGATGTGGGCCGACCTCCCTGTCACTCTCCCCTGGATGGGTTCACTATCTCCACTTCCTCCTCACTTAGAAGCTGCCATTGACACACACTCCACTCCTGCTGAACGCCTCCCAGGAGGAAAACTGGAAAATGAGAATGGTCAGGAAACAGCCTGCTCACTGTTTAACACAATCTGAATTTAGGGTTTTTCCAAAACAAATTAAAAAGACATGCAGTCTGGAGGGGATGAAATGAGAGGCAGGGAGATGAGGGAGGAAGCTGCCACAATGGTGCAAAGGAGAAGATGCTGCAGCCTGAACCCAGGCAGTCGAAGCCACCTCCCCAAGGAAGCCCTCCGTGACCTCCCAGCTTCCAGAGTGCCCTTCCAAGGCTGGAATGTGCGCCCCTCCTCACACACTTCCAGGTATTGTTACTTATCTCCTCTTGGACTTTGCCCATCCTGTCTCCCTCCCTCACCCAGCAGGCGGCCCACACCCTGGCATCCTACTCACCGCTTGTGGATCTTCTCCTCCAAATTCTCCGCGCAGAAGGCTTTGACTTCATAGTCCACACCGCAAGCCTGTGGGGAAGGGGTCACTGACCACAGGGCCTTGGAGAAGCAGGGTCCCCAGTACACAGCCAGCCCACCTCTCATTTTACAAACGAGGACACTGGACAGGAACACCAAGCTCCCACAGCCCAGCCTTCCTTGGTCTGGAAGAAGCGGGGGAACGCCCTTGTGCTCAGCCCCAATGCTGTGCTGCCTCCTCCATCTGACATGGGACATCTCGAACCACCCAAACGGGGCTCTGCTCTTTGGATTCCTGCCTCAGTCTGGGTGGCCGTCCTCATCCAGGCAGCTGCCCAGAAATAGCAACAGGCACCTGAGCAGACTGGGGGCGCCTACTACTGTGTGCACACCCGGCCCTGGGTGGCTTATCCGGTATTCCTCTAACAAGACAAGGAGGCACGTGCTGTTATCTCCATCTTGCAGATGAGGAAGCTGGGCTCAAAGCTCTGGAGCTAGTGGTGTCACTTCTCTCCAACCCTCAGTTTCCCCATCTGTGAAATGGGGATGATCGCACTTTGATTCCAGGTTGCCAGGGGTTACATGAGGCCAGGTGTAGGTCCTCAGAACACTTTGGTCCTGTTGCAGCCAACGCCACCCAGGAGAGCCTCCAGACCCATCACTGAATGGGAGAGTGAGGCTGACCCCGTACCTGCTGCCCTGTCTGAAGAGAGACTGGTTGTCCAAGGTGGGACCAGCTTAGCCTAGACACAAAGACTGTTCAACAGGGAGAGTGGTCCTGTGTGTCCAGCACCTCCCAGGGAGAAAGCCAGGGACCTGGGGACATGAGACTCCTGGAGCCAGAGAGATGGTCCCCTTGGGGTGACCTACCTTCCCCGTGTCTTCGGGCCCCGGCTGCAGTGTCACAGAACATGGAAGGTTTGGAGGGATCTGTCAAGAAGAGGACAGAACGAGCCACCTGTCACATCCACCACTGTCCTGTCTCATGTATTGCAGCCCAGACACTCCCATACACCCATCAGACCAAGGGCCCCAGGGGACAGGCCATGTCTATCCCATCAGACCATGCCAAGCCATGCCCCATCTAAAACTCTTTAGATAAAGAGCTTTCTTTATCTAAAGGGTTTGGCCCAGCCCAGTCCTCGCAGCAATGGTTTAAATAGATCTTTCTATGATGTCTACTGTGGTTGGCAGAATAATGTTCCCCAAAGATGTCCACACCCTAATCGCCCAAACCTGGGACCTTAATGACAAAAGTGACTTTGCAGATCCAATTAAGGCCTTGAGATGGGGACCGTATCCTGGATGATTTTGGTGGGCCTAGTATAATCACAAGAGTCCTTAGAAGTGGAAGCAGGGGGCAGAAATGTCTGAGCCACAGTGATGGGATGTACAAAAGACTCAACGGCCACTGCTGGCTTTGACAATGGAGGAAGGCACTGTGAGCCAAGGAAAGCAATGCTGGAAAAGGTGGACGCTCCCCGAGGGCCTCCAGAGGAGCCAGCCCTGCCACGCCTCCATGGTAGCCCACTGAGACCTGTTTTGGGACTTCTGACCTCCAGAGCTGTAAGCTCATACATCTGTGTTGTTTTAATTGCTGCCGAGTTTGTGGCAATCTGTTTCAGCAGCCATAGGGAGCTAACATGTCTACGTAGAAAAGGTGACTCCATGACCCTCTCCACTCTCTCAGCCTCCAAGAAAGGGAGAGACCACACTGAATCTCAGAATCAGAGAGCCTAAGAAACTTGAGATTTTGAAATCCAGCATCTTAAAGTCTCTGATTTGAAAGGTGGTGGGGCAGACAGATCACCTACTTGCCATCCCTCTCTTGCGAGCTGGGTTGCTGCCGGGCAAGTGGGGAGCTGATCTGAGCGGGAAACCCCTTGCAGTGATGCAGGGTCCAGAAAGGGCTCTTTCTTTCTCTGAAGCCCCTTAGCACCCCCTTTCTCCCACCAATGACCTGGCCTCAGAAGGGTCTGAGGAGTAGCCCAAAGGTACAGGTGACAAACCCCAGCAGGGGCTGGAGAAGAGACACTTACCAGGTAACACAGGTGACAGTGCCCCAGGTCCCAGCATACACTGGGAAACTGGGTGGCAGGGAGCAGCTGACCCTCACCGCCCTCTTATGCCCACCCCAGAGGGCTTCCTAGAGGTGGCATTTCTGGAATGGGGCCCCAGGGATGGCAGTTCCTGACCTCAAAGGTGAAAGGGTAAGCGTGCTCGCCCAGCTTCTTGATGAGGCGTTCCTGCAGCCGCGTCAGGGGCTTCTTGTCCTCGGGGGCCGGTGGGAACGACTGTACGTTGGCCACAAACAGGTCCTTGCGAAAGGTCAGGCCCAGGACATCCAGGTCCTCCCGGCCATAGCGGAAGGCGCAGGTCAGCGTCACATAGACTGTGGGGAGCGAGGAGCACTGAGGAGGGGCCTGGGAGAGCAGCAAGCGAGCCCCCCAGAGTGCCGGCAGCAGCCCTGGGACGGGCCCCACTGGAGGCCCCAAGCCTGTCCCAAGCTCTGTGGGGATGGCTGCACTGTCTCCACCAGGAGGGCTGGTAGTGAGTACCGGAAGGATGCCATGGCCTGGCCCCTGGGAGGAGGAGGGGGCTGCCTGCTGAGCCAGCTCTGTCCTTCCCCCTCCCACCTCTCCCCAGGGCATATGTGGAGGGGTATGGAAACGGTCTGACAGGCTTGGCGGGGGCTGGAGTAGTCTGGCAGGCCTGGGGTGGGGGTAGGGGACCTGGGGAAGGAGCAGGGAGTTGTGGGGGCAGGGCAAGTGCTGGGTGGTATCTGGACGGCAAGCGTCTTGTCACAGCTCAGTCTGCACTCTTGTCTTCCTGCGCATTGATACTGCCCCGGTATCAATGTTCTGTTCTGTTAAAGAAGAACCTACTCCTACCCTGCTGGCATCCCCAGCCTTGCCACAGTCATGACATATTGATGTGAAAGTGCTCAGGGCATGGGGAAACCTTCTCCCAAAGTAAGCTTGGGGCAGGGCCGTCCCAGGCTGGAGGAGGCAACGGCATCTGTAGAGGTATTTGTTGGGGCTTTCAGGGGAACCAGTGGGGATGGGCAGGGAGTTCCTATGCTAGAGGTCCGGGGGGAAGAGGAGGCGGCCCTTGACAGGCTGGGGATGGGGGCCACAGCCTACCTCTCCGCTCTTTGAGATACTCAGGATCCACCAGGACCACACCATCTGGGGAAAGGACAGAGAGTAAGCGGCCTCTCCCAACCTGGTCTCCCAAACCTCTGTGCCCCAAACACCAGCCCAAGCCCAGATCCAACCATCTGTTCATCTAAAATCATCCTGAGAAAAATGGAAAGGCGGGCACCTAGAGGGTGGCACTGCCCACCTCCACCACGCTCCACCCTTCCCCCATCCCAGGCCAGTATAACAGACCCAGCTGGTGACTTTAGGCAGGTTAGAGACCATTTCTGTTTCTTCATCTGCTAGTAAGAATAATAACCTAGGTCCGAAACTCCTAGAACCAGGTATTCTTTGGAATTTAGAAATTGCGAAGTATAGAGAGGCAAAATGGGCCGGGCGTGGTGGGTCATGCACATAATCCCAACACTTTGGGAGGCTGAGGTGGGCGGATCACTTGAGGCCAAGAGTTCAAGACCAGCCTGGCCAACATGGTGAAACATCAACTCTACTATAAATACAAAAATAGCTGGGCATGGTGGCGGGCCCCTGTAGTTCCAGCTACTCGGGAGACTGAAGCAAGAGAATCACCTGAACCTGGGAGGCAGAGGCTGCAGTGAGCTGAGATCATCCCACTGCACTCCAGCCTGGGCAACAGAGCGAGACTCTGTCTCAAAATAAAATAAAATAAAATAAAATAGGCAAAATGGTACATGTTCCATATATTCTGTAATGACCTCTGCAAGATCTGTACCTTATTATTAAAGCCATTAATACCTCTGTAGGAAAACACAAATATTCTCACCAAGAGGCTAAATAAGGCATAAATAGCCTCGCATCAGTTTGGGTCAGGTTTGCCAATAAATGAATTCTGCATTAAACTTGGAAGCAATGTTAGGTTTTCAGAGCTTGGGCTTGGCACATGTGGATTGGGGGTTGTGATCTGCAGTGCCTCCCTCATGGGGCTCCCGTGACGACTGAATGGGTACATGTGTGAATGTGCATATGTGTACAGCGCTTAGACAGTGCCAAGCACTCGAGAGCACTCTGCAGATTGTGGAAGGCGCCTCAGTGCCCTGAGGCCTGCCCTTGGGGGCAGAGTCCAGCTGGACACAAAGGACATCTCTGCTCAGCACCCCAGGAGGCCAGAAACACTGGCTCAGGGTCACCCCCTTGGCTGACATCCCCTGTCTATCTTTGGCCAAACCTTTCTTTCCTCTCTCTCTCCCCCTACCCTCTAACCCATTGTCACTTCACTGCTGGTGGAAGAGGAGGGCCAGGATGGATCATCAATGTCCTGTTGGGCAGGCCAGTGGGCTTGGACTTGTGTGCAGGTTTGGTGGGGAACCGGTAAGCATAGGGAGGGTGTGATCAGATCAAGCCAAATGGCAGCGTCACTATGGGAGAAGAATCTCTCACAGTGAGTCCCTGATCAGCTCTGCACAGTGCCCCAGAGTTCTCGGGGATACCAGGGCTCACAAGGGGCCTGGCACAAAGGGGGTGCTCTGTGAACACCTGCTGAACAGCTCTCAGGGTGCCTGCGTGTGTTGGGGGCTGGTTTCCTGCCCCTGTCCTCTCCCAGTCTCTGGGCCACCTCTGCTGCTGTCCTTAGTAGGCCAATGGACATGGACAACCCTGGCCTCAGAGGGCCCACTGGAAATGACAACATGAAGCAGCCACAGATGAACACCAGGATGCCTGCTCCCGGCCTCTGAGAGGCCACCTCAGGGAGAAGATGCCAATGGCAAAGGGACACTGAGCTTCAGAAGACACCAAACAGCATCCCAGGCAGGGCTGGAGGGGAGAATTGGGGGTGTTCTGCTCTAGGCCATGAAGGGCTCTGCTGACAGCCCCCTGGCCCTGGGAGCCCAGGGTCCCCAGGTCTTCCTCCTGGTGAGCTGAAGCCTGCAGCCGGGCTCGCTTCCTTGGCTCAGGAACCACACAAATCACTCCTGCCCTGGACCCAGGACAGCCCACAGGGACATGATGGGAAAGGCCATACTAGGCCTCACTTTGATTTGCTCATCTTTTTTTTTTTTTTTTTTTTTTTTTTTTTTCTGAGCCAGAGTCTTGCTCTGTCACCCAGGCTGGAGTGCGGTGGCATGATCTCGCTAACTGCAACTCTGCCTCCTGGGTTCAAGCGATTCTCATGCCTCACCCACCCCAGTAGCAGGGAATACAGGTGCATGCCACCATGCTCGGCTATTTTTTTTTTCTGTATTTTTTAGTAGAGATGATATTTCACCATGTGGGCCAGGCTGGTCTCAAACTCCTGACCTTGGGTGATCCACCTCCCAAAGTGCTGGGATTACAGGCGTGAGCCACCGCACTTGGCCTAAAGACATTTTTAGTTGGCCTAACTGGAGCGTGAGGTACTCTGGGCATCGAATGAGTAGAGACCAGGGATGTGGCTATCCAGCCTATAACACACAGGACAGGCCACACTAACAAAGAACTATCCAATCCAAAATGTCAAGCATGCAGAAATTGCAAAACCCTGAACTTGAACAAGAACTTGGAAGGTGCCTTCAGCCACAGCCCAGCTTCTAGCAGGAACCCCATGTACATGAGGACAGCCCCCATTTCACAAGTCCTAAGAAGGGTTCTCCCTCTGTCTCCCACTCTTTGCCATCACAAGGAAGCAGAACAAAGAGTTTTGCAGACTCTGCCAGGTTTGAACCGGGCTCCTCTATCTACTCACTCTATGACCTGGAGTAAGTCACTGAGCCACTCTGTGCCTCATTCTCCTTGTCTGGAAAGCAGGGATAGTCATCATAGCCACCCCCACTGTCTGCTACATGACACGCCTTATAGTAAGTGGCGGTGTCTGTCGTCATCACCCTCACCCTTCTTACCATCATCAGGACGCCTTCCCTGATTGTCACCTCAGTCCTTCCCACAGTCTCTTCTTGCAGTCCTCACTTGAGTGGGAAAGTAGCTGCTCAGTAAATGCTTGCTGCCTGAAGCAGGAAGCCATTCACCCCCGTTCTTGGCACCGGGCCCCTCTGGAGAGCTGAGAGCTATTTCTGGGAGGCTTGGCCAGCCACATCTTCCCCCAGCCCTCCTCTCGCCCTCCAGGGACTCACCCACAGGGTCCACGAGGTCGATGTGGTCCACAAAGTCCCGCTTTCCCAGGTAGACGGTGAGCTGAGGAGGAGAGGCATAGGGGGCGTTAGCAGCTGCAGGCCCAGAGGACACAGGACCCTGTCTTGGAGGAAACCCTGCGGGCAGCCTCTGAAACTCCAGACCCATCCCTAACCCTTATCAAAATCCTAAGTGGACTTGGGCCTTCACCCCAGCCCTAATACCAAGATTCGCAAACCCCTGTAAAATCTTAAAAGCACCACTTCCTCCCAAAACCCTTGAAGGAGTCATTATTGTTCCTGTTTTACAGATGAGGACACTGAGGCCCGGAGAGATCTTCATGCCAAGCACCACTGCCAGTGGAGCAGCAGCGGCAGAGAAGCTGGGTGAGTGGGAGTGTGGGCATCTCAGAGGGTGAGAGCCCCCAGGCAGGCGGGAGCGCTGAGCCCTCAGAGGCTCTGAACGCGGGCCGCGCTGTGTTCTTCAGTTGCTCCTTCTCCCATGCAGCCAGGCGGGGATCCACTGATACGAGGACTCGTTTCCTTTTTCTTAAATAATTTTTTTTTCGAGATGGAATTTTGCTCTTGTTGCCCGGCCTGGAGTGCAATGGCGCGATCTCAGATCCCTGCAACCTCCGCCTCCCAGGTTCAGGCGATTCTCCTGCCTCAGCCTCCTAAGTAGCTGGGATTACAGGCATGCACCACCACACGCAGCTAATTTTTGCATTTATAGTAGAGATGGGGTTTCACCATGTTGGTCAGGCTGGTCTCAAATTCCTGACCTCAGGTGATCAGCCTGCCTCAGCCTCCCAAAGTGCTGGGATTACAGGCGTGAGCCACCGTGCCCGGCCTAATTAATTTTTTAAATTGAGTTAAAAGTATATGTTATTTATCATGTACAACACAATGTTTTAAAATAGATATACATTGTGGAAAGGTGACATCCAGCTAATGAACAAATGCACCACCTCACACAGTTAGCAGTTCTGTGTGTGAGGACTTGCCTTCTGAGGCACTGAGGGTTTGGGGGCTCACGCCCCACTCCATAGCCAGCCGGGAGGGAAAAACCCCCGAGACAGAATTCCAGCGGCTAAACCAGATCCAGAGCGTCATCCTGATGTGTGCTGTTCCTCAACAACCCTTCAATCCTTGTGACTCGATCGCCATCATTATTTCTCAAGTCCGTACCTCTCCATCCCCACAGCCACTCCTGCCTAGACCACCACACCAGCCCCTTGCTGCTCACTCGCTGAGAGCCTGCTCTCCTCCTTAGCTAGACTAGTCACCCTAAAATGCAAATCTTTCTTTTTTTTTTTTTTTTTGAGATGGAGTCTCCCTCTGTCGCCCAGGCTGGAGTGCAGTGGTGCAATTTCAGCTCACTGCAACCTCTACCTCCCGGGTTAAAGTGATCCTCACACCTCAGCCTCCCAAATAGCTGGAACTACAGGCATGCACCACCACGCCTAGCTAATTTTTGTATTTTTAGTAGAGACAGGGTTTCAAACTCCTGACCTCAAGTGATCCACCCACCTTGGCCTCCCAAAGTGCTGGGATTATAGGCGTGAGCCACTGTGACCAGCCCTAAAATTCAAATCTAACCATGCTACTGCCGCCTGAAACCCATTAATGGTTCCTCAGTGTCCAAAAATAAGGATGACAAATGGGTTTCATTCCAAGTGCCAAGTCTGATCTACCGGCGGGGAGAGGGGACGGGGAGCTGTCTCGGACTCTGGGCTGAGAAGGAATCTAAGATGAAACCCTGGTGCAGCAGGGAAGGGCAATGGTGACTGATGTTATCTACTGTGGACACAGAAGAGAGATGTGGAAGCACACGTGGTGCTATTTGCCAACCCAGGCCAGCTCATAAGCCAAGCCACAGTGTTCCCGTGACCAGCCCTGCAGCCTCTCAGCCTCAGCCTCTCTCTTGGCACTCTGAACTCAGCTGCTTAAGATTCCCACAGTTCCTATGCTTTTATGTCCTGCCTACAATGCTGTTTTCACCTTGCCTTGCTGGAAATGCATCCCTCCTAGAAGCTGCCGCTGCCCACCAGGCTGGGTCCTGCAGCCCCAATGGCCCCGTATCTCCCCTCTGCCACTTCATGTTGAAATGATGGATTTCTGTGTCTGCCTCTGCCATCTGGCTGTGAGAGGCACAGACTGTGCCTCATTCATCTGAGTACACCCTGCCCCTGTCCCCGCCGGCTCAGCCCAGACCTGGTGTGGAATGGTGTCAGTAATGTCTACCTGCTAAACTGAGGGGGAAGCAGGATGGCATCTGGACCTGCAAGGAGAAAGCAAGGAAGCCAGGCCCTGGGAGCTGCCCTGGCTAAGGAGGTGACGCTAGGGTCCTCTCACAGCAGGGGACTCACTCCCCCACGGCCCTCGGCGCTTACTGGTTGGCTTGTCCTCCACTGTCACATACTTACTGAAGTCTCTCTATGACAGGCCGTCTCTCCCTACACCAGAGCTCAGGGGAGCTGTGCTTCCCCACTCTGAAAGTTTCCTGAGTGTGTCCCTCCCCCTTCAACTGACAGCTCCAAGAGAGAGAGCTGTGTCACCCCTAAGACGGGGAGCAGCACCTGCCCCCTCCCACAGAGGTGTGCATTTCAGGGGACATGCCGTTTCCTCTGCTTCCCAAGAGAAAATGACCAGAGTGTGAGGTCAGGGAGGCGCTGGGCGCAGCTGTTACAGACTCACCTTTCCATTTGGACTGGCCTTCTTGAACACTCTGTGGAGAGAAAGAGAGGTCAGGCCAGGGTTCGCGTATCCTGCCCAGGGGCAAGCTCCTGCGGGCCACCTTGAGGCAGGACTGGGGACCAGGGCTGGAGTGACTGACAGGCACCATGCAGGCTTGAGATCCGAACAGTGCCCATGTAATCCGCTCTTACCATCTCCACTGGTAAGCCTCCACGATAGCCATTAGAGCTCTCCTGGGCTACGCAACAGCCGCCTTGCAGTCAGGTCTTTGCAGGGCAGGCTGCGGGAGTCTCCAAGTGCAAGTTTTCTGAGCTCAAGTGAGGAAAAGCCTGGCATGCTGTAAGGTCTGTGTGATCTACCCTCACCTCCCGGTGTCACCTCCTACTACTCTCCCTCACCCATCTCCAGCCACATCTACCCCCGGCTGGTCCTCAAGCACACCAGGGCGATTCCCACCTCGGGGACAGTTCTCTTCTGGGAGGCTCTCCCCGAGACATCTGCATGCTCAGCCCCACTGTGCCTCCGGGGCCTGAAGTCCCTCTCTTGCTCTACTTCTTCTTTTTCCATAGCACTCATCACTCTCTTTTTTGAGACAAGGTTTCACTCTGTCACTCAGGCTGGAGTGCAGTGGCGTGATCTCAGCTCACTGCTTCAATCTCTGCCTCCTGGGCTCAAACGATCCTCCTGCTCAGCCTCTCAAGTCACTGGGACCACAGGCACACGCCACCACCCTGGGCTAATTTTTATTTTTTGTTTTCTTGTTTTGTTTTGTTTTTTGTTAGAAATGGGGTTTCACCAAATTGCTCAGCTGCTCTCAGACTCCTGGACTCAAGCGATCTGCCCACCTCGACTTCCCAAAGTGCTGAGATTACAGGCGTGAGCCACCACGCCCAACCAACACTTACCACTTTCGAATGTACACATATTTTGCTTGTTTATTATGTGTCTACTCTGCTAATATGTCACTCCACGAGGGCAGGGATCTTTGTCTCTCTTATCCACAGATGCATCTATCCCAAGCACCCAGAACAGCACTGCAATCATTGTTTAATAAATGATGGGACCAGGAACGGTGGCTCATGCCTGTAATCCCAGCATTTTGGGAGGCCGAGGAGGTCAGGAGTTCAAGACCAGCCTAACTAATGTGGTGAAACCCCATCTCTACTAAAAATGCAAAAATTAGCTGGGCATGGTGGTGGGTGCTTGTAATCCCAGCTACTTGGGAGGCTGAGGTAGAATTGCCTGAACCCAGAAGACGGAGCTTGCAGTGAGCCAAGATCACGCCACTGCACTCCAGCCTGGGCGACAGAGCAAGACTCAGTCTCAAAAACAAACAAACAAAAAATGATGAATGGCAGGTAGCAAACACTCAATAAACATTAGTTGAACAGGTGAATGAATGAATGAATGAGTGAAGGAATCAACTGCCTTACTTCACAGAAACTGAAGCCCAGGAAAGGCAGAGAATAAGCCATGGTCACCCAGCTGGATAAGGAATCAGGTTGAGATGTAGTCCATGACTCCCAAAAAGTGGAACTCACTTGCCTTCCGTATCTCCTCCTGCCCTCTCCCCCGAGCTGGGTCTTGGAGCCTGAGACCCCCTTCCCTAGCTGCCAACAGGTAGCTCCAGGATCTCTCAAAGTAATTGTTGGGAGGGAGAGAAGAAAATTGAAAGATAGAGACAGAGACCGCGAGATAAGAGAGGGGGTTGGGGAAGAGAGGGGAGGATAGGGACACAGGCCCTGGACGGGCGAAAATAAAAGATGGAATAAGAGAGGCTAAAACAGCCATGGACAGAGGAGTAGGGCAGGAACACATGAGGCTGAGAGGGCTTCCTGCCACCCAGTCCTCCCCCAGGAGCACAGGGTCCAGTAGGCACCAGGGTGGGCAGGACAGTGAGGCCCGCCATGGCACATGGACAGCCACTCCTGCCTCCTTCCAGAAGAGAAGGCGAGTGGGTGGTGGCTCTGCGCTGCATTGATGGCCCTGGCCCTGCCCACCCTCACCTCTCACTTCTGGGCTGGCAGGAACCACTGATGAGTGTGAGCATGGCTTACTAAGAAGCCTGGCACATCCCGCCCCACCTCCCCTGGGAGCCCTGGGCTTTTCTCCTGCTCATAAATATTTATTTATTTATTTATATTTTTTTGAGATGGAGTCTCGCTCTGTTGCCCAGGCTGGAGTGCAGTGGCGTGATCTCAGCTCACTGCAACCTCCATCCCCCAGGTTCAAGCGATTCTTGTGCCTCAGCCTCCCCTGTAGCTAGGATTACAGGCATGCACCACCAGGCCAGGCTAATTTTTGTATTTTTAGTAGAGATGGGGTTTCTCCATGTTGGCCAGGCTGGTCTCAAACTCCTGACCTCAAGTGATCCTCCCACCTCCAGCCTCCCAAAGTGCTGGGATTACAGGCGTGAGCCACCGCGTCCAGCTTCCTTCTCATAAATATTTATTAGTGTTCAGAGTGTGAAGATGCCACAGTCAGCTGGGGTGTGATAATTGCTAAAGTGAGGAAAAATACAGATCACAAGGTTTGAAGCAGCAGCTCCCAAGCTGGGGCTGGACGTGCAGAGAAGACCAGAGAAGTGGCACCGGCCACAAGGGACTCCACCTGCTTCCAGAAGCCTCGGGAGCCCATGGTCTGAAGGAAAGGAGAGGCCACAGGTGCCTGAGGCCACAAACAACTGAGTCAGGGAAAACCATTCCAGGGACTGCTGGAAGGAGCGAGACACCCTGGTCAGGCTGGAAGAGGCAACTTAAGAAGGGAGGGAGGGAAGACAGAACTTTGTTGAGTGGCTAATTATTTCTCATAATAGCTCTGTGAAATGGGGATTATCATCCTCATTTTACAGGTAATTAGCTCAAGGCTCAGAGAGACGCAGTAATTTCCCCAAGAACACACAGCAAGCCAGGGGCTCGGTCAGGATTCAGACCCAATTCTATCTGCTTGCCTCCAGAAGCTGGGTGCTTCATATCCAACCCGGCTGTTTTCCTAAACCGGGTGTTTTCATCAACATCGGGAATAACAATAAAGAGGAGAAATGAGGAGAGGAGAGGGGCAAGGGGCACAGTGAGGGTGGCCAGGGTAGGAAGTGTGGCCAGCAGTGGGGAATGACCTGCTGCTAACCTTGTCAGCACCAGGACCACCTCCTTCAGGAAGCAGGACTCTGATGGCTTCCTCAAACAACAGCAGCAGCCACCACATTCCCCAAGAGCATGCCATGCTCTAGACATGACTTTAGGTATTTTTCCTAGAACACTGCTGATCCTTACAATACCATTTCAGAGATGAGGAAATTGAGTCTCACCAAGGTGAAGCATGGTCTGCCTGTCTCCCGAGCCCATGTCCTTTCCACTCTGTGACACTGCCAAGCCCTCTGTGATAAAACTCCTCTGACTTCCTGACCCTAACACTATCAGAAAAGAGGCCCCTGTGAGGATGCTTCGTTTCCTGGGACCTCCACCTATGCAGCGTCACACAGATGGCTCTGCCTGTCAACTTTGAAGAGCAAGCACACACGTCCAAGACTGGTCAAAGCCAAATTTCCAGGATGCCAGAGGCAGGGTCTGCCTCATCCCCAGCCCCATCTATGCCCCACAGCCTGATTCACAGAGCTGGGTGCCTATAAGAGAAATACCAGCAGTGTTCCAGCTGATTAAGGCTCAGTGGAGACAAGGAACAGAACCAGCCCCCACCACACCCAACCCCACCGCCCAGGGTAGCTCAAGAAAAGGGGGAGGGCATGTTATAAGAAGGCAAAATTCTCACGGGATGCAGGCAGGATGCATGGGGGCTGGCGCAGGATCTGGGAAGCCATCTGAATCTCAGGCAGTCTCACTCTCTCTGCACCTCTCCTCCCGGGGCTTCATTTTCCCCCGGTTGCACTGCTTTCTGGGCGGCTGCCCCATTGCCTCTGTGGACCAGCTATCTCTACTTACTCAAGGCTTTTCTCCTCCTCCATCCTTTTGGCTTGGATGTGACTCCCACTCTGACACTGTTTCCACTCTGATTCTCACTCAGCTTCCCACTGCTAACTGGTTGAATGGCCCACTTCCAAATTCCCAGTAGAGGAATTTGATTGGTCAGCACTGGTCATGTGTTCTACACCTGGGCCAATCAGCTATACCTAGGTGTGTCACACATCTAGGTCTGTCATGTAGTCAAGGAGGCCCGGGCAGAAGAGGGTCTGTAGAGTAATGTTTTCCAAACAGGGGGTCACAACATACTAGTTGATAATAAAACCAACTTATGGCTGGGCATGGTGGTTCATGCCTGTAATCCCAGCACTTTGGGATCATGCCTGTAATCCCAGCCGAGGTGGGAGGATCACTTGAGGTCAGGAGTTCAAGACCAGCCTGGTCAACATGGTGAAACCCAGTCTCTACTAAAAATACAAAAATTAGCCGGACATGGTGGCATGCACCTGTAATCCCAGCTATTCGGGAGGCTGAGGCAGAAGAATCGCTTCAACCAGGGAGGCGGAAGTTGCAGTGAGCTGAGATCATGTGACTTCACTCCAGCCTGGGCAACAGAGCAAGACTCCGTCTCAAAAATAAATAAATAAATAAATAAATAAATAAATAAATAAATAAATAAATAACTTAAAATATTTTTTTAATGAAATGGAATGGAATAGACTAGAAAATATAAGCATGCACTGCAGGTAGCAAGGTATAATAGACATTACTATATTCACCAAAATTCAGTTTCCTTCTAAGCCTGGGGGTATGGGAGTATCAGATTTCTCTGGTCCTATGAAGTTAGGCATGTCCATGTGGCTTGCTCTGGCCAGTGAAATATGAGTAGAAGTGCCAGATGTCAGTGCCAGGTAGATTTAAGTGCTGGTGCTTGATTCCCCATGCCCTCTGTATTCATTTTCTATGGCTGCTGTAACAAATTACCACACACTTAGTGGCCTAAACCAACACAAACAGGCCAGGTGTGGTGGCTCATGCCTGTAATCCCAGCACTTTGGGAGGCCGACATGGGAGGATCACTTGAGTTCAGGAATTCAAGACCAATGTGGGCAACATGGTGAAACCCCATCTCTACAAAAATACAAAAATTAGCCAGGCACAGTGGTGTGTGCCTGTAGTACCAGCTACTCGAACGCTGAGATGGGAGGATCACTTGAACCTAGGAGGTGGAGGTTGCAGTGAGTCAAGATTGTGCCACTGCACTTGAGCCTGGGTGACAGAGTGAAACCCTGTCTCAAAAAAAAAAAAAAAAAAAAAAAAACACACACACCCAACATATTATCTTATAGTTTGGTAGTTCAGAAACACTAAATGGGCCTCACTGGACTAAAATCAAGGTACCCACAGGGCTGCATTCATTTCTGGAGGCTCAAGGGATGAATCTGTTTCCCAGCCCTTCCCAGCTTCTAGGGGCTGCCCACATTCCTTGGCTCATGGCCCCTGCTTCTATCTTCAAAGGCAGCAAGAGCAGGTTCAGTTCTTATCACATTGCCTCACTTTGACCTCCTCTTCTGCCTCTCTCTTCCATTTATAAAGACCCCTGGGACTATGTTGAACCCATCTGGATAATCCAGAACAATCTCCCTATTTTAAGGTCAGTTAATTAGCAACCTTAACTCCATCTGCAACCGTCATTACCCTCTGCCATGTGACATATCCTATTCACAGGTTCCAAGGATTATGATGTAGACATCTTTGGGAAGAGCATTCTTTGGCCTGCCATGCTCTCTTTCCTTTGCCACTGAAACCAGCAATGATCTGGATGAGAAAGCCTCCATCAACCTAAATCCCAGGGCTGTCCCACTACATGACAGATGTGTAGCATAAGGGAGAATGAAAGCTCTTGAGCCACTAAGATTTGGGGGTTCTTACCGGCCACAGGCTAGCTTCTCCTGGCTGATACAAAAAGTGAGTATTGGCTGGGCACAGTGGCTCATGCCTGTAATCCCAACACTTTGGGAGGCTGAGGCGGGCGGATCACTTGAGGCCAGGAGTTTGAGACCAGCCCGGTGAACACAGTGAAACCTTGTCTCTACTAAAAATACAAAAAATTAGCCAGGTGTGGTGGCACATGCCTGTAATCCCAGCTACTCAGGAGGCTGAGGCATGAGAATTACTTGAACCCGGGAGGCAGAGGTTACAGTAAGCTGAGATCGCACCACTGCACTCTAGCCTGGGCGACAGAGTAAGACTTTGTCTCAAAAAAAAAAAAAAAAAAAAAAGAGTATTATTTAGCAAAATGTTTGTTTCAGGTGAATGTGTGTGTACTGAATTACAATGTAAAATGAATTTCATGCTGCAAATTTAAAAATGTTTCAGATCCGCTGTTCTAGAAAAACATGCCTAAACCAAACATGCCCTATCCGTGTCTGTGCAGACTGCTGGATGCTGTCTTCTGATTCCATTCCATCAAGGTGGTGCCGCCAGGAAGACAGGTAGGTCAACTCTCCATGAACCAGAATGTCAGTTTCTCCAGTGAGCCTCATTCCCCACCTGCAGCATAGGGTACCTGTGGACCAACTTTGACACTAATATTTCACTGCTCTTCTGTGAGCCATCAGTCCTCCCAGTGTCCCTTTGTGCCTGTCAGGGAGAGGGCTACACAACAAGGAACCCAAATGAAGTACCTTCCAAGACTGATTACACCAAAACAAGATTTTCTAATTCTATATGATCAGCTAAACAAGGAATTTTTTTTCCTTTTTTTTTTGAGATGGAGTCTCACTCTGTCACCCAGGCTGGAGTACAGCGGCACCAGCGAGGCTCACTGCAACCTCCATCTCCCAGGCTCAAGCGATTCTCCTGCCTCAGCCTCCCAAGTAGCTGGGATTACTGGTGCATGCCACCATGCCCAGCTAATTTTTTGTATTTTAGTAGAGATGGGGTTTCACCATGTTGTCCAGGGTGGTCTCGAACTTCTAAGCTCTGCCTCCCAGAGTGCTGGGATTACAGGTGTGAGCCACTGTGCCCAGCCAACAATGGAATATTATACAGCACTGAAATTAGGTTTCCATCTTTGATAACACAAGGAAATGCCTATCATAGAATATTAAGCAGAGTAAGTCAGGAATCAGAATAGTACGTTTGGCATGAGCTGAACTTTACACTCAATAAATACCCAAAAGAAATAAATGAGAAGACTTGATGTTAAGATGCCTACGCTCCCCTAATTGATTCAATGTAATCTTTATCAAATCGTAGCTAGCTTTTTTGCAGAAACTGAGAAGCTCATCCTAAAATTCATAAGGAAATGCCAGGGATCCAGAATAGCCAAACTATCTTGAAAAAAAAAAAAAATAGAACCAAGTTAGAAGACTCACACTTCCCATTTTCAAAACTTACCACAAAGCTACAGTAATCAAGACTATATTGTGCTGGCATAAAAACAGACATATAGATCAATGGGATATAATTGAGAGTCTAGAAATGAACTCATATATTTATGGTCAATAGATTTTTTTACAAAGGAGCCAAGGCAAGTCAATGGGGAAAGAACATTGTTTTCAACAAATGATGCTAGGACAACTGGATAGTCGCACAAAAAAAAACAAAGTTAGATCCCGACCTCACATCACGTACAAAAATTAACTCAAATGGGGCCGGGCGCTGTGTCTCACATCTGTAATCCCAGCACTTTGGGAGGCTGAGGCGGGCAGATCACCTGAGGTCAGGAGTCCGAGACCAGCCTGGCCAACATGGTGAAACCCTGCCTCTACTAAAAATACAAACATTAGCCAGGTGTGGTGGCAGGCACCTGTAATCCCAGCTACTTGGGAGGCTGAGGCAGGAGAATCGCTTGAACCCAGGAGGCGGAGGTTGCAGTGAGCTGAGATCATGCCACTGCACTCCAGCCTGGGTAAGAGAGCAAGACTTTGTCTCAAAAAAAAAAAAAAAAAAAAAAAAAAAATTAAATGGACCAAAGACCTAAATGTAAAAGCTGCAGCTATAAAACTCTTAGCAGAAAACGTTAAGTGTAAGTCTTCATGACCTTGGGTTAAGCAATGGTTTCTTAGATATGACACCAAAAGCACAAGCAACTGAAGAAAAAATAGACAAAATTTTAAAACTTTTGTGCTTCAAAAGTCACTGTCAAGAAAGAGAATATTGGGGGGTGGGGGCTGGGGGAGGGATAGCA